>NC_000014.9:104156716-104459716 GCF_000001405.40 Homo sapiens
GGCGGCTTGTTCTGCTGACGTGCCGTGCCTGGCCTCTGGCCTGTGCCACTTGGGACACCCTGAGGACGCTGGGCCTTCCAGACCAGCCCACGTCCCCTCAGCACGGGGACCCCAGTCCTCTGCTAGCCTGGGTACAAAGGACGCCTCGGGCAGTGGTTATCGACTGGACACTTGGGGCCGAATGACGCTTGGCACCTGGGTGACCGTGACCTGACCAGGCCACGGTGCCCAAGGGGGTCCTTGGAGAGCTTGGGGCACTGGGCCCTTGGGGAAGGGGCCGGGGCGAGGGGTGGCCAGGCTGAAGCAGGCTGCCTTCCCTGCCTTGCCTGGGGTTGCATCCCCCCACGCCGCCCAGGACCAGGTTTGGCCTGAGGGTTCGGGGTCCCACGTGTCTGGGAATGGAACGTGCGGAGGTGGAGCTCACGTTTGCTGGGCTGTCCCGGGCGTTTAATTACGTTTGTGCTTCATTATGAGGAGGCCTCCCTTTCTGGGATTTATTTGAGCTAATGAGTTGGAAATGCCAGGGTAGTATTTCAGATGAGGGAGCGCCACACATCACCGTACGTGGGGCAATTAGTGTTCCTGCCAAATAGTTATCGTGGTTTCTTCTCTAATTACGCCGCTGGGTGCTCCCAGGAGGCTCAGGGGTGAGAGGGTGGGGGGTCTGTGTCCATCGGTCTTGACCAGTGTGGTCGCTGCGATTCTGGAGTTTGATGGGGGAGAGGCGGAAAGTCTGGCTTCTGGACCACCATCTGCCTCCCTCTCTGCCTCCAAGGAGTCCTGCTGGGGCAGACCGCCCACACACCCCGAGCTGGGAACGTGACCTCACGGCCCAGGCAGGCCTTCCCCACTGGCCTCTCTGCCAGCCCTGATTTCTGGGGCCTTCCCGGCTTCACAGGCTGGGCCCTGGGGGTGCAGAGCCCCCAGGAATGTGCTGGGCTCTGGGGTGCCCAGGCCTGTCTCTCCCACTCCGGGTGCCAGGGGGCAGTGGTGTCTCTGCCCTTGCGTTCCTTATACGCACTCTCTCCTTCCCTCCAGGCCGAGGCAGCGGTGGCGGCCGTGGCGGTGGCAGACACGGTCCGAGAATGCCCCCCCGTGGCCGGCCCTGATGGCTTGTCGAAGGCCTGGGGCCGTGGTGGAGTCTGCACGTCAGCCCTGGTCACCCCCACCCCGGGCTCGGTGGGGGGCTCCACAGGCCCCTCAGCTGCAGCCTCCTTCTTCATAAGGTATGTCCTGGGGCTTCCTGGGCAGCCTTGTGGGCAGGGCCCCATGGCCCCGGCTGTGGGCCCCTGGGGACCTATGGGCCGTTCTTGGGGGACCTCGGGCATGCTTGCTGCTGAGACGAGTGGATGGGGAGCTGCTCCGACCACAGCTGCTGAGCCGCTCACAGCCTGCCGGCCTCTCGGGCCCCATGCCCGATGTTGGGGGGCATCTCATCCTCGGGGGAGCACTGCCAAGGAGGGGCTCTGTGGCCAGGACCCTGCCTGAGTTGGAGCCTGGTCCCTGCCTCTTCTGAGCTGTGCAATCTTGGGCAAATCAACTAACCTCTCTGTGCCTCAGTTTCCTCCCGTCAGCTGGGCTCTTCCTCATAGGAGTCGCTGTGACTGCAGCAAGAAAATGTCTGTGAAGCCTGGAGAATGTGGCCCGGAGTGGGGCAGCTCAGCTGTGGACATTGGGGGCTGCCCGGGGGAGGCGCAGGCTGGGGCCACGGAGAGGACAAGGCTGGCCTTCAGGCAGCACAAGGGGAGGGGCAGCAGGGCTTGAGCGGGTGCCCACGGTGCCAGCCGGGCTTGTGGTTGGCAGGTCCAGCTCCACCAGGAGCATCCCACATTGGGGGACCATGTCTGACATCACTTGGTTGCTTTCCCAGGCCCCGAGCTCGGGGTGCCTGGTTTCTCTGCTCTCCCCCCTGCTGATCCCCACCACTGCCAGAATGCCAGGCCTGAGGCCCTGCAGGCACCAGGTCCTTGCCGACTGGTGGTGTGGATGGGGTGGGCCAGGCAGAGGGAACAGGAGAGCAGAGGTGGGGAGGGGGAGTTGGCATGGAGGGGCGTGGTGTGGGAGCCTCCACTGGGCCCTTCCCGGCAGGGCCTTTGGTCCTGGGACCCGTGGCAGAGCCTCCTCTCATCCTGATGGTGTAAGGATGCGGATTACAGGATGTAATTGCCATAATGCCTGGTAATGGCAGGCCCAGCCGCGGGTCAGTGTCCCATTAGCAGCCCCACGCGGGTGCTGATAAGCTTGAACATGCATCACACCCAGCGGCCAGAGACGAGGGCGTCTTATCAGCGCCGGCCCTGGGGACCGTGTGGTCTGATTGCAGAGTGACGGGGCATATGATTAGGGCATTGTCGCACGCCGTGTGCCGGGCTGAGGGCTGATGAGCACACCATCGCGTTGGAGCACAGCCAGACCGCGCACGTGACCAGTGTGGCCTCAGCGCCACCCCAATTAGGTGCCGAGAGCACGGCTGGCTGGGACCCTGGTGGGAGCAGATGGGGGTCTTGCCCATCCTGCTCTGGGGTCCCCCGTGTGTGGGACAGCCCACCCCGTCACAACCGGCCTAGTCCTGAATTAAAGGGCCTGTGCGGCTGTTCTGGGCACAGCCCTGTGGCCGTGCTCCTTTGGGTCCTGTTTGGCAGGAGGATTTGAAACGTGGAGACTTCCAGAAAAGAAAGAATAGCTCCAGTGCTCAGAGCTCCCCCGGTCCCTGATGCTAAGCCCCCTGGTGCCAAGGAGGGTTCCTGACACTGGGAAGTAAGGGTAGGGTGTCGGCCCCCAGGCCGGTGCGTTGGTGACCTGGAGCCCAGCAGAGCGGCCCTGGCTGCCTTTTGTTTGGGAGCCGAGGCCGGTGCCGCTTGCCAGCCGCGCTGCCTGCTGACCTTGGGAAGTTACCATAGAAACCAGCGCATCGGGCTGGGGACCCAGAGGCGGTTCTCCCAAGGCGGGGGCGCTGCCGGCTGCCATTACTTCCAGCCTGTTAGGCACCCTGGGTCTCAGCGGCTTCTGCGAGGCCACTGCAGGTGGCAGGTCGTGGTTCAGGTTGTGGCGGGGGACATCCTGGCAGGTGGGCCCTGTCGGTGGATGCCTGACGTGGGCTGGGGTCGGTGGTGGGTGACCTCCTCTGTGGGGCTGCAGTACCCTGAACCCTCAGGGGTGAGATCAGAGGGGGTGTCCACTCCTGGGTTTTGTGGGTGTGGGGCTGTGGCTCTGAGTGGGGACGAGTCCACCAGGAGACAGTGGAGCTTCAGCCCCCGCCCCAGGGGTCTTGGGCACGTGCTGAGGGTACCTTCTGTGCTCCCACCTCCACCCTCGAAGAGGACCTGGGAGGGAGTGGCACTGACCCCAGCCCCTGCTCTGCCCTTGGGAAGTTTCCAGTCTGGAGGGACCGAGGGGCACCTCTGTGGAGGCAGCCTTAGATGGCAGCACGGGACCCGTGTAGCAGTCAGGGCAGAGTGGCCTCTCAGGGAGCGGGCTTTGAGGGTTGAGTAGGAGTCTGGCAGGCAGCATTGCCAAGTGGAGACGGAATGGGGTGGAGGTCAGGAGTTTGAGTTTTTGAATCCCGTGGGCCTGGGGAGTCTCAGCTCTGCTGCTGCCCACAAGCACCCCCCAGCCGGATTAGGGCACCAGCCTCAGGCTGCCCCCTGATCCTTTCAGTGGCCTCTGGGCTCCTTATGTCCACACAGGGAAGCTGGGATGTGGAGTGATCCCATGGGTGCCCGGGTACCCGAGTTTCGTTAATGCTAACAGGGGCATAGATAGAGCAGGGGCTGAGCCCCATGCCCTCACCCCCTGGGTGGGGCCTGGGGAAGCTGCAGGGATTGAGGCAGCGCAGCTGTGACAGAGCTTGGCATGCTGGCCCAGCAAGTGTTCGGGAGGGTGGGGCGCGTGGGCCGGGTGGCCCCGGGGTTAGGAGTTCTCCGAAGGCTCTGGTGACCCCCAGGGTTAGGAGTTCCCTGAAGGTTCTGGCAACTCTGATGACGCTGTCTGAGGCCCCGCTGGTTTGTGCCGGCGCTGGGAGCCTCTGCAGTGCCTCCTCTGAGGTACTTCCGTCATCATACTCTCACCTGCTCGCTGCCATGCTGGTATGGGGGTCCCCTCCAAGACCCCAAATCAAATGTCTTTGAGAAAACTGCTAAGGGAGGTTGCTTCCATTGGGTGGGGAGCACCTCATGGCACTTGCAGGTACCCAGGCCCCCCACTCCCCACCCCACTGTGGCCTCAGCAGAGCCCCCGTGTCAGCCTGGATGCCCAGGCCCATGGACGGTCAGGCTGGCACCCAGCAGAAGTGCAGCGCCTGCGGGGAGAGTGCGCTGCCCGAGGCTTAGCTGGGGACCCACATGGAAGGCACTGTCTGGAGAGGTGTCCCCACCTGTCTTCTGGCCTGTGGGTGAAAATCCAGGACACAGGAAGTGTGGACCACAGCAGGGCTGGGAGTTGGAGGGGCTGATGCCTCAGTCTCCAGCTGCCTCCAGCTGGGGTCCAGGGTCCCCTTCGCAGGTCTGCAGGACCCAGCTGGGGTCCCCCGATGCCTGCCCTGGTTCCTTGGTGGGGCAGGTCCGGCAGGTGGCAGGTGCCCCTGGGGTGAGGTGGGGGTAGGGAGGGTGGGGCTCCGTCCACCAGCCTCGCACGGCCCAGTGTGGAAGCTCTGGGTTGGCCATAAGTGATTCCTGCACGCGACAGAACAGGCTCGTGTGTCTCCTTGGGGTAATTAAGGGCCTCACCATCAAGGCCAACTGCCTGTGAAATTACCCTCTTGTTTGGAAGCGGTGATTTTTCTCTGTAAAAAGGAAAATATTTCCTTTTCTGTTGACATGAATCGATGGCCAGGGCCAATGAGCCCAGGCAAGGCTGTGGGATTGCAGCAAGACACCTGGTGGCTCTGGGGGCCGTTCAGGTGCCCGCTGTCTCGTTCATCCTCGCTCACGCGTGTTCTGAGCTTCTTCTGTGAGCATCTGCCCCCAGACCCCCTGCTGGCAGGGACATAGCTGTGTAAACTGGTGTCTCACGGCAGGGGGTAGTTGCTATAGAAGCAGGAGGCGCAGGGGCTGGGGACACCCATCTCAGGGCATCAGGGCAGGCTTCCTGGAGGAGGTGTCCTGTGAGGATGGGGGCTGTTTATGCAGGTGAAGTTCCTGCTTTTCTGAGTCTTCCCTTCAGAGTCAAACCCCTCAGACTTGCCCACTGAGGGCCGCCGCTCCCTGGCAGTGTTGGGTGTGGGCAGTGTCTGCTGTGGCCTGGGGGAGACAAACCCCACTGCTCAGAAAGTAAGTTCCTGCCTCCACAGGGCCGTGGGCCCTCAAGGGCTGTTGAACCCAAGCGTGGTAGCCAGATGGGGGCTGCTGTGTCTGATGGTCGTTTCCATGGGGGCCTGAATTTCATCAAAGGAGAAAGTGCTCGTTCTGGGGCCTCGTTAATGCAGTGGCAGGTCTTTGAGTCATACCAGTGAGGTAAGCCCGTAAAAGCAGGCACCGGGAGGGCCCAGCAGGCTGGGGTGCAGCCTGTTGGCGATGGGCCCCAGGAGGAGGAGGCGCCTCAAGTTAGGTCAGATTGTGGGGTGGAGATGTGGGGCGAACAACCTTCCAGACTTCCAGGGCTGATGGAACCACAGAGGACGCCCGGTCCCAGCCTCTGTCTAGGCGGCCTGGGCCCTGGGTGTGCCCGCTGTGGCCCAGGCATACCTGAGATCTGTGCTGCGGACGCTGCTCCTGGGAGGGTCACTGGAGGGGCAGAGCCCTTGTGTGGCCGACGGGGCAAAGGGCCAGCCTGGTTTTGGCCTCTGCAGACCTAAGGCTCCAGCCTCAATCTCCCTCTGGCCTCTCCAAGTGCTGCTCCAGTCTCCAGTGCTTGCCCGGCCTCCGCGTCCCCTGGAAGCTTGGGGGTGTGGGTGCCGATGCCCTATTGCCCACAGCCTTGGGTTGCAGCTGGTACCTTGACCCTGCCCAGCCTTGGGAGGGGCTGCAGGGGAGGGTGGAGGAGCTGGCTCTGGGTGGGCGTGACCTCTCCCCATCCACTTGAGGCCGAGCCAACACCCTCCAGTGAGGGCTGGTGCTGGGCGTCCCCCACATCCATTTCCAGAGGAGGAAAGGGGTCCAGGGAGGCTCCCTGTCCCTTATAGGGGCCACCGTGGGGACCGTCCTCAGCCCTGCCTGTCCAGGTAGGGTGGGGGGCTTCCCACCTGCACCTGCAGGGCCCTGCCCTTCCCCCCGCCCCGCCCCAAGAAACCTGGGGTCCCAGCCTTGGAGCAGCACCAGGCAGCAGGGTGGGGTAGCCCTGTCCCAGTCCTGCCTGCTAGATGCGGATGTTTTCCAAAGCGGGGCCGCAGCTTCTTCCCTTGCAGGCAGCTGGCGGGAAGCTGAGGTGTAACCCAAGGTCGTGGGGTGGGGGGTCTGGAACAGGAGGCTGAGGCTGGGGTGGTGGGCAGGCAGGAAGAACCCCAAGAGCAGACACTGGTGAAATCCAAGCCTCCTCCCACCTGTGCCCCCAAATGGGCAGATGCAGCCCTGCCTGCCTGCCTCTGGCCTCGCCCAGGCCCCTGCCCAGTCTCCCTGCCCGCTATGGGGGCTCACTTTGAGGTTTGGGTTGTGGCTCTGCCCTCTGCGCTTCCCAGCGTTCCCCTCTGCCCGGGCTTCTTGCCCTGTGGACAGACGCACAGACACACAGACAGCGTGGGCGAGTGTGTCGGCCTCCATCCTGTCCCTGATCTGCTGTGTGAGTGATCTTTGGGCGACGAGGGCACAAGGGCCTCTTCCTTGCAGGGCAGTTGTGAGGTTTACAGAGACGAGGCTTAGGCACGGTATTGGGTAAATGCTGGCGATGCTGGGTGAGGTCCAGGGGTCTCAGGCACACAGGCCCGGGCCCCACGATGCAGGTGCCATTGCCTCCCCTTGCAGGCCTCCCTGCCGCGTTGGGCCCCACCCTGTGTGGCTCAGCTACCAGAGGGTCACGAACCTGGGACCCCAGTGACCCCGGAACCCCGAGCATGCGCGGCACGGGGCGGCCATGGGCCCCGACCCCTGCTCTGACTCACACCTGCATCCTGGGGCCCAGGCCCGTGTGCCTGAGACCCCTGGACCTCACCCGGCATCGCCAGCATTTACCCAATACCGTGCCAGCTGTGGGCAAGGAACCCAAGTCCCCGAGGCGGCGGGTGGGCTTCCCACACCTGGAACTACCGGGGCTTCTCCTGGGTAGCCGTGGGTTTGGTTCCTGGGATTCTTCCTCCTGGCATCCCCCGGCTCCACGTCTTGCCTGGGTGGCTGCAGGCACCGCCCACCACTGCCCTACTAAGGACTCCACCATGTGTCATAGATTACTTTTACTTTCCACGATGACACCTCACTAGGAGGAAAGCCGTCCCTGGGGTCTCTTAAGAGACAGCTCCTATTCAAAATGAAAGAAATTAAGCAAAACGCCAGCGCTGCAGCCGCCGCAGTGGGGGCAGCGAGAGGCCGGGCCCGGCTCTGGGGTGCAGGTCCTTCCACACTGGGGTCAGTTTTAGGGAGTCAAGATAGACGTGAGAGGCCGAGGGCTGTGGGGGGGGCGTGGGGCATGTTAGGGGACAGAGGAGCCCAGGGTGGGTCGGGGGAGCGCCGGTGGTCAGCGTTCACCACACCCTTCGCCGGGTGGCATCCTGGCCTCTGGCCCGCGTGGGAGCGCCTCCTGTTGGGAGGTGGTGACACCCAGTGTGTGTGTTCGTTCACCCCTGTGGCGTCCTGGTGTCCCTGTGCTGGTGGGTCCATGATCCGGGGTAGGGGCTCTGGGTGCCTGCAGCACAAAATGTGCTGGGAGGGTGTGGGGCCCTGCAGAGGTGGGGTGGGTGGGCCACAGAGAAGCCACCCCAGGGAATGAGTAGGTGTGGCCCAGTGATGGGACCTGGGAACACATCCCCAGCAGCAGGGTTAGCACAGCCAGGGCTCAGAGGCGCGGCGGGCCTGTACTCTGTGTGTGTGCCTGTCTGCGTGTGTATGTGTGTGCTCTGTGTGTGTATGTGTGTGAGTGTGTGTGCGTGTCTGTGTGTGTGCGCGTGTCTGTGTGTGTGCGCGTGTCTGTGTGTGCATCTCTGTGTGTGTGTCTGCATTTCTCTTTCTCTGTGTATCCTTGTCTCTGTGTGAGTGTCTGAGTATGTGTGTGTGTCTCTGAGTGTCTGTGTGCCTGTGTCTCTCTGTATATGTGTCTCTGTGTCTTTATGTGTCTGTCTCTGTGTGTGTCTCTATGTCTCTCCGTGTTTCTGTATGCATATGTGTCTCTATGTGTGCGTCTCTGTGTGTGTTTCTGTATGCGTGCACGTGTCTCTGGGTGTGCCTCTGTGTGTGTCTGTATGTGTATGTGTGTCTGTGTGTCTCTGTGTTTCTGTATGCATGTGTGTGTTTCTATGTGTGTGTGTCTCTGTGTGTGTGTCTCTGCATGTATATGTCTCTGTGTGTTTCTGTATGCATGTGTGTATCTCTATGCATGTGTCTGTGTTTCTGTATGCATGTGTGTGTCTGTGTCTCTGCATGTGTTTCTGTGTGCATGTGTGTCTCTGTCTCCATATGCATGTGTGTGTCTGTATCTCTATGCATGTGTGTGTCTCTGTATGCATGTGTGTCTGTGTGTCTCTATGCATGTGTGCGTCTGTGTGTCTGTATCATGTGTGCGTCTGTGTGTCCCTGTGTGCATGTGTCTCTGTGTCTGTATGCATATGTGTTCTGTGTGTCTCTGTATGCGTGTGTGTCTGTCTCTGTGTGTGTTTCTGTATGCGTGTGTGTGTGGGCCTCTGTGTATGTTTCCATGTGCATGTGTGTCTGTGTGTCTCTGTATGCATGTGTGTATCTTTGTGTCTATGCGTGTGTGTGTGTCTGTGTGTTTCTGTATGCATGTGTGTGTCTGTGTGTCTATGCATGTGTGTGTCTCTGTCTCTGTATGCATGTGTGTGTCTGTGTTTCTGTATGCATGTGTGTGTATCTGTGTTTCTGTATGCATATGTGTGACTGTGTGTCTCTGTCTCTGTGCATATGTGTGTCTGTGTGTTTCTGTATGCATATGTGTGTCTGTGTTTCTGTATGCATGTGTGTGACTGTGTCTCTGTGTCTCTGTGTGCATATGTGTGTCTGTGTGTTTCTGTGTGCATGTGTGTGTTTCTGTGTGTGTCTGTGTGTGTCTCTGTAGGGTGTGCGTGTCGAGGTCCCCTGGGAGTCCACCCCAGTGGCTCCCAAGCATGCACTGGCCTCCCCTGGAGGGTGTGTTAAACCCAAGCGTCAGCCTCTCCCCTGGAGGTCCTGTGGTCCGGGGGCTTTGGGAGACTCTGCACCTTCTGGGAGTTCCCTGGGGGCACTGTGGGTGCAGGAATCCCCCACCCCTGGCGGTGCTGGGGCAAGGCTGAGCCTCAGGGTGGGCTTTGGGGTGGGGAGGCGCTCGCCCTGGCTGAGGGGCAGGGTGGCAGCGGGGGCACTTCCCAGCAGCCCTGAGTGACGAGGGTGGCAGGGGCCCAGGAGCTGGGCAGTGGCTCCAGGATGGCTCTAGGGCCTTGGTGATCGGCAAGGGGCAAGGCAGCCTCACCTGGGGCCTGGGGCTTGGGGTGTGGTAATCTCGACAGCAGGATTAATTGAGCCCTTCCTGTATGTGGTCACTGTGCTGGGTGCCTTGAGTGTGTCAGTCCATTAGGGCCACACAGAGGCCTCCATTGTCACCTCATCCGACTTTGGAGATGTAGAAACTGAGGCATAGGCAGGCCAGGTGGATGTGCCCAGGTCACAGCTGTGCATGGCTGCCCACAGCCTGGGCATCGGGTGGGAGCAGCTTTCACTGTCCGACCCCCGGCAGCGGCTGCAGGTGGGGGATGAGGGCACACCCCTTGGTGGGGGGATGGCATTCAGTGCAGAGCACAGGGAGGGGCGCTCAGCCTGTGTGGGTCTGGACCCTGTCACAAGCTTGGTGTGAATGCTGGGCAGAGTCCCTGGGGCAGGGACGCCATGGAGGCCCCAGCCTGAACCGTCCACTGTAGAAATGAAGTGCAGGCCTCCCAGCCACATTTTGGACTGGGTTTCCTGGGATGGTGGCTGATGAAGTCCCAGGGTGGGATCGCCTGGTGACTCGCAGGCGGGTGACAGGAACAGCTGCTGTCACCCACCACTGATCCTGCCTCTGCCTCTCCTCCCCAGGGCTATGCAGAAGCTCAGCCTGGCCTCCAAGAGGAAGAAGCCCCACCCGCCACCGCCTCCAGCCACCCGCGGCACCTCCACCTACCCCACCGACTTCAGCGGGGTCCTGCAGCTGTGGCCGCCCCCGGCGCCCCCCTGCCTGCTCAGGGCCGCCTCCAAGACCAAGGACAACCCTGGCAGCATCGGGAAGGTAGACGCAGCCCCGAGTTCGGGGCCCTGGGTGGGGAGGCCAGAGGCGTCTGAGAAGACGCAGGAGGGGTGAGGGAGTGGAGGGGCTGCCACTTCCTTCTCTGGGTTGGATAAGGGTGGTCAGTGGGGTGCCATGGGGAGACTGAGGCCCAGGTGGCAGCAGGGAGCCTGGGAGCCTGTGCTGGGCTGGGACTGCCGGGATGGGAGGGGAGTGGCGTGTCCTAGGGGTCCCAGGGGCATGTACTAGGTTCAGCGTGGGGCGGGACAGCCAGGTCACGGGGCTCCCAGGGACTAAGGTTGGGTTTGATCCAGGGAAGCCCCTTGCGTAGGCTCCACTGAGACGCAGCCCTGAGGGGGCTGGGGGCAGGAGGGGACTCTCTGCTCTCCAGAGTCACCGTGTGCAGGCGGGCCCCTGCCATGGGAAAGCGGGATGCGTGATGGGTTGATTCTGGCGCCGCGCTCCACATGGGAAGACTGCCGCCTGTGGAGGGCACAGGGCCTCCATCAGTGATGGGACAGGCTGGCTCCTGGCTGTCCCTGGAGCTCTGAGCCTGGGGCCTGTGGCTTGCTGGTTGTGCCATCCGAGTCTCGGAGAAATACCTGCCCTGGCTGGACGTGGCCCTGCCTTGTGCTGGGAGCTGGCAGTGCCTGGTTCGTGGGCCCATTGAGTCAGGTGGGCTCTTTGTGCCCATGGAGGGTGGGAAGCCAGTCACACAGCTCTGTGTGTGCCCCCGGTGGCTTTTTCCTGCCCCTCGGCCTGCTCTGCAGCCAGCCCCCTCCCGCCCAGCACCCCGAAAGCACTGCCTGGTGCCTCCAGGCCCGGGAGGCTCTGTGCCCCACATGGGCCATCAGGCTCCGTGCCCCTCTGGACTTGGACCACGATTCCCAGGGGTTCAGCTCTCCAGGGGACAAGGTCTGGAGGGGACGCTGTGCCCACGTTGGAGACCCCCTGGCAGAAGGCCCCTGTCCCTGGGCCTGGGGGTGCCACAGGCCTCTCCCACTGCCCTAGCTGTACTGGGTCTAGGGTGCCAGGAGCACCCCTCGCAGTCCTGGTGAGAGCCTGCTTGACCTTTACAGCTCTGTAGTCCTGGAGGGGCCTCCTGGGCAGCCACACCTTGGGATTTTGTTAGAGCTCGGGAGGTGCCAGGCTCGTGGGAGGGTTTGGAACATGCTGGCTACGGGGAAGGGCTGTAAGTGACTGTGTGTCTGGCCACGCCCTCAGTGGTGCAGTTGCTGGGGGCTGTGCCCCCTGCCCGCCCGGTGATGTAGCGAGCATTGTACTTGCAGCCCCTGGAACGCTAATTTCGTGACTTGAGCCCTCCAACCTCTCCAGGGCAGCCCTGGCCTGAATTGACGGTGGCTACTGGTCTGGGGCAGTGGTGGGTCCCTAGGGAGGGCCGCCGTGGGGCATAGGGGCTCTGGGGCGGCCTGTGGGGCAGACCTGACAGCTCTTACCATCTTCATAGGCCATGGCGGGTCCGGGTGGGGGCATCAGGCAGTTGGCACCTTGGAGCTGCATGGGTGTCCAGAGGGGAGTGTGTGGTGAGACCACCAGGAGCCTCCCGATCTCCCTGACTCTGGGTCTCCACCCCGAGCACCCCACCAGTTGCCAGGGTTTGAATGGATCGCTTGTCCCTCTGGGCACTGGTTTCCGTTTGTGGTAAGGAGGGCTTGGCGGGCATCTGGCATCTCTGTCCTCCGGAGGCGACATTCTGCATCCAAGGCCCGGGGGCAGGGGAAGCTGTGTGGCCTGGATCAGGGACTTGTCATTGCTCCGCTGGGGTTGGGGCAAGGCCCCTGCCTGGGGTGAGGCGGGGGTGGTGGGTGAAGCAGAGTTGGGGGACTAGGCCGGGGGTCACTGCCTCCCTGGAAATCTCTTTGCCTAGCACTGCTGGGGGTCTGCGGGGAACAAGGGGGCTCCTGATCTCTGTGCGTGTGCCCGGCACGGGCTGTTTCTCCACAGTCCCCTGGGATGCGAGGCCAGTGGCATCAGCCTGTGTTTTGGGCCCAGGCCTGGCTGGCTGGGGCACCCTGGGTCCTCCCCACCCTCAACAGTCTCCTTGAGACAGGGCAGGTGGGTGCTGGGGCCAGGCTGCCGCTGCCCTGGCCACGTGGGCTGCAGAGCTGTGCCGAGAGCTCAGGAGGACGCCGAGGTCAGGTGTGGGCGGTGGTGGGCAGGCAGCATCCAGGTTCCCCGCCCAGCCTGGGATCGGGGCCCTGGCTCTGGCCTGGGCCTGGCACTCAGCCTGTTTGTGCCATCCAGTTGGGGCGGGGGGCAGAGGAGTCAGCAGCTCCTTCAGGAGCCCGCAACACTTTTCCCAGCGCCCCGCGTTTCTTAGGGGACAGCTTCTGCCCCACTTCCTCCTGGGGGCAGCCTTGGCCGGGCTTCTCCCTTCTCTCCATGGCAGTCACACCCCCACCCTGCTCCGGAGTGCTCAGTGCTTCCCCAGCAACAAGGAGCCCTGGGTCACCAGCCTTCCAGCCCCTCCACCCTGCACACCCCCCAGCTCCCCGGGTGTTATTAGCACTAATGTCACATAGTCAGAAATGCCGCCTGAAAGGCGTTTAATATTGTCACAGAAAAGAAGTTAGATTACGTTCAATTTCTGACATTAATGTGCTACTTAAGATAATTCATCACAGTGTGGTATAAAAAAGACATCCCTGTCTGGGTGGGTGCTGAGCAGCGCCCTTCCCCCTCCCTGCCTGGGCTACCTCTTCAGAGCTGGAAGCCCTTTTTTAATGCAAAATGTGTTTTTTCTCTCCCAGGCAGCTATTCCGTGGGGCTTTGTAATATCTGAACATTTAGGGGAGAGGCTTGCTGTGCCTTTTCCTGCAAAGACCCTGTCATTTCCCTGCAGTAATGACAGGGTTCTCTTTCGGCAGACAATGGCCTGCGCTGGGACCAGGGCAGTGTGGGGCAGGCTAGATGGGCGGTGCCCCCACTGTGGGCTGCTCCATCCCCTCCCTGGGGAGGCCCACACCCCCCTTCCTCCTGGTTGTGAGCCCGCTCTGCGATTAATGCCGCTGGTGGAAAGGGTGGCCGGCAGACGTAGAGAGCCAAACCGTGAGCCTCTCCACGCCACTCCTTCCCGCTAGGAAGTCTCTCAAATCTGCAGAGCCCATTTGGCTCCTGAAGTGGTGAGGAGTTCACACTGGAAAAAAAATTGCCAAAAATTACCGGGAAGTGCACGTTTTCGTCTGCTTTGTGGTGGCGTCTGGAAATGAAATAGTTTTGATCACGTCGTCGGGGGAATAAAAGAATCGATTCTTGCCTAATGGAGCCCAGGTTCTGAGTAGTACAATAGAAAAGTGTTTCTTCATGCTGCTCCCCGGAGAGCGGGCACTCCCGACTCCAGCGGCTTGCATATCAATGTGCCCCATGCCCAGGGGGAGTAGGTGCCGCCTGGTGCGAACTACCCATGGTAAACCAATTTTGCCGGCGTTATGTATCTGTCACTTACAATTAAATCCGTGAAAAATATTGGCTCTGAAATGAGTCTCGGGTAATTTGATTTACGCTGTAGTGGAGAAATCAGAGATTTCAGCGCAGAGTGGACTGTGGTGTCCTCCAGCAGGAAATGGGGCCTGTCTCTGGCTCTGCGTTGGAGCCCTGGTTCAGGGTGGCCCTCGTGTGCGCAGCCTCTGCCGGGTCAGAGCCGCCGCCTCCTGGCATCGACGCACCAGACCCACCTGTGTGGGGTGTCCCTGCTGTGGATGGGTTTCGGAGTGTTTGCAGTGATTGCTCTGGGCTCCGGCATCCTGGGTCCTGCCCCTCCCCGGCGTCTGCCCCCTCTCAGGGTACTGGGGCTGGTGTCAGGGTCTTCCCGAGTCCGGTGCCTGTATGTGGCCCAGTTTGAGATCTGTGTGTGTGCTTTGGAGACGCCATTGCTTCTGCCCAGCACCAGGGCTGCCTGGTTCCCTGCTGGCTCGGGAGGTCAGTCTGGAAGCCCAACCCACCCTCAGCCTGCCCCCCAGCCTCAGTCTCCCCAAGCCTGCAGTGGGGCCGGTGAGGCCGAGGCGTCAGAATTTGTATCTTCCCCTGGATGGGATCCTTCTTATCTTGCCCGTCCCCGTTTGCATTCGAATGGGCTTCCCCCTGCTTTCTGCTGACTCTAGTCCGGCAGGCCACAGGGTGCCAGGGTTCGGTTCCCTCAGCTGGCCAGGGTCGGAGGCAGCCATGCCCCTGGATGGCTCCCCTGACAGCGCCAGCCCTCTGCGGCTCTCACACCTCTGTGGGGCAGTTCATTCCCTTATCTTGCAAGTGCTCCCCCTCAGCCTGGGGAGCAGCCTGCGAGGGCTGGGCCAGGGGGCCATGCTCCTCCCTCCTGCCCTCTCCTGGACTGAGCTGCTCTGCAGGACCTGAGCGGCTGTCCTCTTCTCACGGAGGCGCCCGGAGCCCGCCGCCCCCTCATTCTCTGTGCCGCACATTCGGTGCTGACAGGCTGTGCACCGGCCTTGCCTCTCCCTGGCCCTCACCTTCTCCCTGCTCTGCTGACCTCATATGGGATCTGCTCTCGCCTGGAGCAGGGGCGCGGTGTCCACATTCCTGCGGTGGGGGTGCCAGTGTGAGGCCTGGCCCGCTGTCCCCACCTGAGCTGGGCCCCTCCTGCCCTGTAATTAGTGGCCGGCTGGGCGGAGGCAGCTTCTCAGGTGCCGCCCACCTCTGCCCCAGGTGAAGGTTATGCTGCGGATCTGGCCCGCACAGGGGGCCCAGCGCTCGGCCGAGGCCATGTCCTTCCTGAAGGTGGACCCTCGGAAGAAGCAGGTGATCCTCTACGATCCCGCCGCCGGTCCCCCAGGCAGCGCAGGCCCCCGGCGAGCCGCCACTGCTGCAGTTCCCAAGATGTTTGCCTTCGATGCCGTCTTCCCCCAGGACTCCGAGCAGGTACGGGCAGGCGGACTGGGCGTCCTCCCGGAGACCCGGAGCCGGGCTGCTGGCTCAGCACATGGGTCCGATCTGCGCCCGCTTCTCCGTGCAGGGCGCAGAGGAAGCGTGAGCGAGGGGCCCGCTGCCTGCGGCGCCTGCCTGCTTACCTCCCTCATCGTCCTGGCCAGCGTCCTTGGGTGTCTCCATCCGCCCCTGCCGAGGCTCTGGGCCAAGTCCACAGGGAAAGGCCTGGTTTTCCGGAGCCCGCCCTCCCGGGAAGCTTTCCGAGCAGCTGTTGGGCTCTGGGCTCTGGGGGCGCCCGGTGCTCCCTGCCCATGCTGAGCCGTGCACCGTGTGGCTGCGTGTGCGTCTCTCTGCGCGTGGTGGTCTGCCCCTGCGCCCGGCGGCTGGACTTCTGGGCTTTGCGGGTGTGTGTCTGCACGTGTCTGGCCAGTCCCTCCTACGTGTGTCCTGGGTCCTGTTCATGTGTGTTCTGTGCTTTCCGTGTGCACATGGGATCTGTCCTTGGTCCCAGGTGTGCAGCCCAATCTCCTTGTGGGTCGACTGCCTGCATGTGCCAGGACAGACCGGCCTCAGGCCCACAGACGTGGCAGAAGGAAGGGGCCACAGCCCTGCCTGATTCTCTTGCCCCCCTAGGCCGAAGTCTGCTCGGGGACCGTGGCCGACGTGCTCCAGTCGGTGGTCAGTGGGGCTGATGGCTGCATTTTTTCCTTTGGCCACATGAGCCTGGGTAAGCACCCTTGCCCCACCCTAGATGGGTCCTGCTGGCCACCCCCTCCCATCCTCATCACGGTGGTTGCTGGCAGCTTCTGATGGGAAAGGAGGCTGGTCCTACACATGGGCCGTGGTGGGCATATGGGGTGAGGGGCTTGTGGAGAGGAAGCTGAACCCCTGCCGAACTGAAAGGCAGAGGGCTTAGGATGGATCCAAAGAGGCCCCTGAGATCTCGGTGCCCCTGGTTGGCCCCCGGGGACGCCAGTAGCCATAAAGGCTCCTTGCGTGGTGTGTGGTGGGGCCTGACGCCTGCGTGGCCCCCAGGCAAGTCGTACACCATGATCGGGAAGGACAGCTCACCCCAGAGCCTGGGCATCGTGCCCTGCGCCATCTCCTGGCTCTTCAGGCTCATCGAGGAGCGCAGGGAGAGGACGGGCACCCGCTTCTCCGTCCGGGTCTCAGCCGTGGAGGTGTGCGGGCGCGACCAGAGCCTGCGGGACCTGCTGGCCGAGGTGGCCCCTGGCAGCCTCCAGGACACCCAGTCTCCGGGAGTGTACCTGCGGGAGGACCCCGTGTGTGGGGCGCAGGTGCGCCTGCCTACTGTCCCACCTTGGGGGAGGGGGGCTGCACTTGGCCCTGAGCCACTGAAGACGCCGCTGCCTCTGCCTTTCCTGCAGCTCCAGAACCAAAGCGAGCTGCGGGCACCCACGGCCGAGAAGGCGGCTTTCTACCTGGATGCGGCCCTGGCGGCCCGCAGCACCAGCCGAGCGGGCTGTGGCGAGGACGCCCGACGCAGCTCCCACATGTTGTTCACGCTGCACGTCTACCAGTACCGCATGGAGAAGTGCGGCCGGGGAGGAAGTAGGTGCCACACCCGCACTCCCGGGCCCCTGTGGGATGCGTGTCAGCAGAGACCCAGGCACAGGGGCCTGTCATCCAGTGGCTCCTGGGGATGTCCCTGGGGTTGTCCCCAGCTTGGGCCTGGGGTGGGGATGTGGAGCAGGATCTGGGGGCCCCTGGCTACACCATCATTTGCTTGCCTTGTGGTTCCAGTGTCCGGAGGCCGCAGCCGCCTGCACCTCATCGACCTGGGCAGCTGTGAGGCGGCGGCTGGCAGGGCCGGGGAGGCTGCTGGGGGTCCCCTGTGTCTGTCCCTGTCGGCCCTGGGCAGCGTCATCTTGGCCCTGGTCAACGGAGCCAAGCATGTGCCGTATCGGTGAGTGTAGGGCCTGGGCAGGTGCCGACCAGGGTGGCCCCTTGGTGACCTGGTAAATCCGTGTCTGGTGTGCCCGGTGCTGCTGTGGCCCCCAGCTCCTCAGGGCTTTGCTCCTCCACCACCTGACAGGCCTCGCTGCCCGTGGGCTGCCTGGGGCCCCACGCTGGGCTGGTGCCGGAGCTGGGTGGGAACCAGACTGATCCCAGGGCTGCCCTTGGCCAGCCTGTCCCCGAAGCTCCCTTCCCAAGGCCTTGGCATCTGAACCGCCTCGACCCGCAGGGACCACAGGCTCACCATGCTGCTGCGTGAATCCCTGGCCACCGCTGGCTGCCGCACCACCATGATCGCCCACGTGTCGGATGCGCCAGCCCAGCACGCAGAGACACTCAGCACCGTGCAGCTCGCCGCCCGCATCCACCGCCTGCGCAGGAAGAAGGCCAAGGTGCTCCCCACCTCCTGCCCGCCCCATCTCGGGGCCGTCTCGGCTCCTGTGTCCACTGCAGGCCTCTGCTGGCCTGGTTGGGGTGGGGGTCAGCAGGTGGCCTGGAGCCTGGGTAGATGTCCTATGTGTTCTGATGTCATGAGGCTATGCCCATGTGGCCCTCCCTGGGGGGTGGGGAGCCCAGCCTGAGGTCCCTGGCTGCAGTGGGCAGAATCGGGGCTTGCTGTATGTGGCTTGTGGTGGCCTCACTCCAGCCTGCTGCCCCCGCACAGGCCCTGGGGTGCTCAGGAGAGCCGCACCACCTCTGCAGGGGCTTCCTAGGGACCCCTCTCTGGGGCTGGAGGGTGGAGTTTGGGGCACTCTGGGGTTACACGGCCCTTGGTGTGAGTCCTGGCCACTGGCCTGGGCACACATGCTTGTCTTTTGAGCTTCCCGTTCCCTCCCAGCGCGGGGTGACACCGTTTTCCTTGTAAAGTTGCTAAGAATGGTCACTTAAGTTCTTCCCCTGAGACTCAGTTCCGCTCCCAGCGTTTGGTGGGACATGGTTGGTGGTGCCTGCTGTAGTTTTCATCACAGTGACCGCAGCATTGGCCCTGTGCTCTGGGGAGGGTCGGGGAAGCGGGGGCGTGTAGGGGAGACTGGGCTCGGCAGCTCCACTTTTCTTCCCCCAGTACGCCTCCAGCTCCTCTGGCGGGGAGAGCTCCTGTGAGGAAGGCCGGGCCCGTCGGCCCCCGCACCTGCGGCCCTTCCACCCACGCACTGTGGCCCTGGACCCCGACCGCACGCCTCCCTGCCTGCCCGGTGACCCCGATTACTCCTCCAGCAGCGAGCAGTCCTGTGACACGGTCATCTACGTGGGGCCCGGTGGGGCGGCGCTGTCAGACCGGGAGCTCACCGACAACGAAGGTCCGCCTGACTTCGTGCCCATCATCCCTGCCCTGAGCCGCCACCGGCCCTCCAAGGGTCCCCGAGACGCAGACCACTTCCGCTGCAGCACCTTCGCGGAGCTGCAGGAGCGGCTGGAATGCATGGACGGCAACGAGGGTCCCTCAGGAGGTCCAGGTGGCACCGACGGAGCTCAGGCCAGCCCCGCCCGAGGGGGCCGGAAGCCCTCGCCACCAGAGGCTGCATCCCCCAGGAAGGCCGTGGGCACCCCGATGGCTGCCAGCACCCCTCGAGGCAGTTCTGGTCCAGACACCCACCAGGGTACCCCTGAGCCCTGCAAGGCCATTGTCTGGGGTGACCAGAGAGAGGACAGCAGCGCTTGGCCTGAGCTGCTGGTCCCGGAAAAGGCTGCAGTGAGTGGAGGCAGGAGGCCACTGCCCAGCCCGGCTCCCCCACCTCCTCAGTTGCTGGAAGCCTGCAGAGCCCCAGAAGAGCCTGGGGGAGGGGGCACTGATGGAGTGGCACGGACCCCTCCCGTGGGCATGAGTGGGCAGGTGGCTGGGTCCCCGATGCTTCCTGGGGCCACCTGCCCCCGCCTGGCTGCTGGCAGTCGCTGTCCGGAGCGGGGCCTGCTCACCACCACAGTGACCCTGCAGCGGCCAGTGGAGCTCAACGGCGAGGACGAGCTGGTGTTCACGGTGGTGGAGGAGCTGTCCCTGGGGGCGCTTGCCGGAGCTGGGCGGCCCACCAGCCTGGCTAGCTTCGACAGTGACTGCTCCCTGCGGGCCCTGGCCTCGGGGTCCCGGCCAGTCAGCATCATCAGCAGCATCAATGATGAGTTTGACGCCTACACCTCTCAGGCCCCTGAGGGGGGGCCCCTGGAGGGGGCAGCCTGGGCCGGCAGCAGTCACGGCTCCTCCATCAGCTCCTGGCTCAGCGAGGTCAGCGTCTGCACTGCCGACAGCCGTGACCCCACGCCGCAGCCCCGCTTCAGCCCCGACTCGCTGGCAGGGCTTGACCCTGGGGGCCCCCCTGCCCTGGATGGTTCCCTGGGGGATGGAAGCTCTGGGTTCCTGGGGCCAGACAGACCTGACAGTCCTGGGCCAACCTGGGGTCCGTGCCCTGGGGAAGTGGCTGCAGTGGCCCCATCCCGACCCGGCAGGGAGCCCCAGGCCGGGCCCTCGCGGTGGGCATCCGCAGCCCAGACCATCCACTCCAGCCTCCCCCGGAAACCGAGGACTGCCTCTGCCACCACCCGTGTGGGCTGTGCTCGCCTGGGCCAGAGCCCACCTGGCCGTGGAGGCCTGTTTGAGGACCCATGGCTGCTCCGGGTAGGGGAGTGTGATACCCAGGCAGCTTCTGCTGGCAGGGCCCCCAGCCCCACACTTGGCTCCCCCCGGCTGCCTGAGGCCCAGGTGATGCTAGCCTGTGCCCAGAGAGTGGTGGACGGGTGTGAGGTGGCAGCCAGGGCGGCCCGCAGGCCAGAGGCTGTGGCTCGGATCCCACCGCTGCGGAGGGGTGCCACCACGCTGGGTGTGACAACGCCAGCTGTGTCCTGGGGAGATGCTCCCACGGAGGTGGTGGCCTGCTCGGGGAGCCTGAAGGCCTCCCCCACCAGCAAGAAGGGTCTGGCTCCCAAGGCGGGCTTCCTCCCGAGGCCCAGTGGGGCGGCCCCCCCGGCCCCACCCACGCGGAAGTCCAGCCTGGAGCAGAGGAGCAGCCCGGCCTCGGCCCCTCCGCATGCTGTGAACCCGGCGCGGGTCGGGGCTGCTGCTGTCCTTCGAGGGGAGGAGGAGCCCAGACCCAGCAGCCGGGCTGACCACTCTGTCCCCAGGGCCACGTCCAGCCTGAAGGCCCGGGCCAGCAAGGTAGAAGCAGCACACCGTCTTGCCGGACACGCGTCTCTGGAGCGGTACGAAGGCCTGGCGCACAGCAGCAGCAAGGGCCGGGAAGCCCCTGGGCGGCCTCCCCGGGCTGTACCCAAGCTGGGTGTGCCACCCTCCAGCCCCACACACGGTCCAGCTCCCGCCTGTAGGAGCGGCGCAGCCAAGGCTGTGGGGGCCCCCAAGCCCCCTGTTGGTGGAGGCAAGGGCCGTGGCCTAGTGGCTGGTGGGTCGCGGGCTCTGGGGCCTTCGGTGAAGCTGTCTACGGCCTCTGTGACGGGCAGGAGCCCTGGCGGCCCTGTGGCCGGTCCCAGAGCAGCCCCACGGGCCGGGCCCAGTGTCGGGGCGAAGGCTGGCCGGGGTACCGTCATGGGCACAAAGCAGGCGCTCCGGGCTGCTCACAGCCGCGTCCATGAGCTGTCAGCCAGTGGAGCCCCGGGCCGAGGTGGCTCCTCGTGGGGCTCGGCGGACTCAGACAGCGGCCATGACAGCGGCGTGAACGTGGGGGAGGAGCGGCCACCCACGGGCCCGGCCCTGCCCTCCCCCTACAGCAAGGTGACCGCCCCACGGCGGCCCCAGCGCTACAGCAGCGGCCATGGCAGCGACAACAGCAGCGTGCTGAGTGGAGAGCTGCCGCCCGCCATGGGCCGCACCGCCCTTTTCCACCACAGCGGTGGCAGCAGTGGCTATGAGAGCCTGCGGCGCGACAGCGAGGCCACCGGCAGCGCCTCCTCCGCCCCTGACTCCATGAGCGAGAGTGGGGCTGCCTCCCCAGGCGCCCGCACCCGCAGCCTCAAGTCCCCCAAGAAGAGGGCCACAGGTGGGTGCAGAGGTGCACAGCCCTCTACAGTTTACGGGCTTTCTGTGTGTAGATGTGCACAGCCCTCTACAGTTTACAGGGCCAGGAGATGCTGGACAGATGGGCACAGCCTTCAAGGTCCCAGACCCACACAGCCGTGGACGGTTTACAGACTCGCCTGGGGCTTTTTGTGTGTGGAGGTGCACGGCCCTCTGCAGTTTATAAACCCCCTGTACTTGCCCTTCTCTGGCCCCACCCTGCCCTGGGGGGCTGATCCTGGTCTGTGTCTGGGTGAGCACAAGGGCAGCCCTGCACAGGTCGCCAGGCTGGGGCACTGGACTCGGGTTTGGGTCCCGGGCCTCGTGCCTCCCTGGCGAGTGTCGAGCTGCCTGGAAGGCCCCCGCCAGGGCTGCCCCAAGGGACAGAACTGCTCAGGTCATGGCAGGGAAAGTGGGAGGCCCTGGTGGTGGTGGGGGCGCCCTTGAGAGCTGTGGGCCTGGCTTGGGGTCGGCTTCCTCCCTGCCCTGGGCAGAGCGCCAGCCTGAGGATTCCTGGACTGGATCCCGAAGGCCTCCCTGTCAGGACTCGGGCCGGCTCCGCAGCGTCCCCGCAGGGGCTGTGCTTGGGCTGGGCCCCGCCTCTGTTCACCCTGTGCCCGGCTCTCCGTTCCAGGTCTGCAGCGGCGGCGCCTGATTCCCGCCCCACTGCCCGACACCACTGCCCTGGGCCGTAAGCCCAGCCTCCCCGGGCAGTGGGTGGACCTGCCCCCGCCCCTGGCTGGCTCCCTGAAGGAGCCGTTCGAGATCAAGGTGTACGAGATCGATGACGTGGAGCGCCTTCAGCGGCCCCGCCCCACCCCGAGGGAGGCCCCCACCCAGGTAGGGCCTTTGGTGGGCTGGGGTCTATGACCCCTGGTGGGGAGCCTGCCGCGGATGGCAGAGTGAGCCATTTGATGGGCTCGCCAGGCCTCTGGGGGTGTGGCTGGGCAGCCCCTGACCTCACTTTCTGTCCACGTTCCTCCCAGGACGCAAAGGTAGGAGCGGCCCTGCCCAGCCCAAGCCTGTTGCAGCTCCGACACTCCCCTTGGGCAGTGGGTGGGTGGCTGGGGGGTCCTGAGGCCACTGCTGCTGTCCGCTGGAATTCTCCCCTGTCGTGGGGAGGGTGGTCCTAGAGCCGAGCCAGGACCCAGACGGGCATGGGTGGGCTGCCCCAGGTCCGCCCCCTGCCCGCCCTTGGAGCCCCACTGTGTGCCTGCCAAGGCCTGGCAGGTGAAGGGAGGCGGGGGCCACATCAGGGCTGCTTGGGGGTCTCTGGGGAGAGGGTCCCATGCCTGAGCCCCCGCCCGCCCTGCCTCCCAGGGTCTGGCGTGCGTCAGTACAAGGCTGCGGCTGGCGGAGCGCAGGCAGCAGCGGCTGCGGGAGGTGCAGGCCAAGCACAAGCACCTGTGTGAGGAGCTGGCCGAGACCCAGGGCCGGCTGATGCTGGAGCCTGGCCGCTGGCTGGAGCAGTGTGAGTCCCGCCCGCCCACGGACCCAGCCCGGCCCACCGTGTGCCCTGACAGCTGCCCTCCCCTCCCAGAGCCCTGTTGCTCTCCTGTACCTCGTGGTGGGAAGGCTGGAAGGCAGGGTCGGCCGGGCCAAGATGCCTTTCCTGGGGCCTCTGGGGGGCCAGGTGGCTGCCCCCAGCCTCGGGCCTGACGCAGGTGCCCCTCCCCTCTCCTCCCCTCCCCAGTTGAGGTGGACCCGGAGCTGGAGCCCGAGTCGGCCGAGTACCTGGCGGCCCTGGAGCGAGCCACGGCGGCCCTGGAGCAGTGCGTGAACCTGTGCAAGGCGCACGTCATGATGGTCACCTGCTTCGACATCAGCGTTGCAGCCAGTGCTGCCATCCCGGGGCCGCAGGAGGTGGACGTCTGAGGCTGGGCGCCGGACAAGAGGAGGGGGCGTGCAGCGGGCTGGAGGACGGGACGTGGGACGGAGCGAGGATGTGGTGGGGGCTGCGGGGGGAGGATGCGGAGGGGTTTCTGTGCAGGACGGGAGTCTCAGAGAGGAGACGGAGTGTGGGGGAGGGAGGGCCGGCCACGCGGTGGACAGAGCGAGGGTGCCAGGGTGACCAGAAGACCGTCACCACCCGACAGCAACGCAAGTGCCTTTGACCTTGATTTGGACTTTTCTCCCTTTTGCATTTGGTGCTACAGACTTGAGACACCAGCAGAAGTTGTGTTCAGCCCGGCCCCGCTGCGCCTGTCCGGGCCGGGGCTGGCGCCGGTTGTGTTTGTGTCCACCTTGCCTTCTTTGCAGCCAAGCAGTTTTTGTGGAGTGGAGTGGGACTTACCTGCACGCCCCAGGGGTCTTTCAGGATTCAGGATGACTTTTCTTTTACAATGGTTTCCTCTCGGCAGAGCCCGGGTTGTGGGGGATCTGTGTGGGGTTCTCAACGCAGATCCATCCTGGGGTCTCCCGGGCAGGGATGGCTGACCTCGAGTCCCCTCCCTTCCCGAGAACCCGCTCTGTCCCGAGGGCAGCTAACAAGGGCTGAGCCCCAGGTACAGGTTGCCTCTTCCACGGCAGGAATTTTTACCAAAACCACAAGCAAAAAACAAAACAGACCACCACGACCAACAACAAAGATGGGGGGTAGGGTTTTGTAAAGGTTCTGTTAGGTTCATATTTTTATATCATTTTGCCCATAAATGCGGAATTTGCCGTGGGAATTTGAAGACAAATGATCTATGTTTTTATGGTTTTCTAGGGAAGGTGTTCTGGGGGCCGGGCTCTCTCCAGCTGTGGGAGGCCTGCTCCCTCTGGGGGGCACCCTGGGCAGGGTGGGGGGGCCTTGGGAGGCGCTTCTTGCCAAATGCAGACGAGGGGTGAGCCTGCCAGCGTTTGCGACGTCCCCGCACGACAGGCTCATACTTTCTGAGGATCGTGCATAGCATAGGACGTCTGAACCTTTGTACAAATGTGTAGATGACATCTTGCTACAGCTTTTATTTGTGAATTAAAGATGCATCGATGGTTCCCACGGCTGCCGAGTTCACTGGGCGTCGGCAGACTCCTCACGCCCTGGTGTGCCGCCCTCTGAGGGTCCCTGGGGTGACGGGCAGTAAGCGTGGGAAGGACACATCCACGGGGACCCAGGGCTTCGGGTGCTGTGCCAGGGCCTGCCTTGCAGCCCCTGTGGGGCCCACGGTGCCATGAGGGCCCTTCAGAGAAGGTGGAACACGACAGAGCTGGGATTCAAGCCCACGCTTCCTTTCTGATCTGCTTTCTTGTTGACTCTGCTGAGATCTTAGGGTCCCGAGGCTGGGGCAGGGAGCCAGGCTTGGGGGCTGGGCTGGCGGGAAACAGCCCTGTGTAAGCGGCCCCTGGCTCCCTTGTCTCTGGGTTATGCTGTGTGGGGAAGTCGAGGCAGGAGTGATGGCAGCATTTCCCTCCCAGAGTCTTCTTGCCATCCTCTGCCCTCTGCCTACCTTTGCTCATGGGCTCAGGACCCCCGAACCACAAGAGCCCCCTCCCGGGGCAGCCTGGATGGAGGCTCTTCCCTGGAGGACTCAGGCCTGGGTCTGTCTTGACCCCAGTTTGCTGGGCTTTCCCGTGGTCAGAGGCCCCAGACCCTTTGGGGGATCCCCAGCCCTTTGACTGCTGTGAGCTCATGGCCTCACCTGACCTGTACATGTGCCCTCTGGGGCCACCTTAGCTGTTGCTCTGGTTGCCTCCTGGCCTCTTCGGAGTCCTATCTGCTTCTCATTTGGTAGGTCCCCAGCGGAACTAGTTTGCTTCCTTAAGCCTGTTACTCTGTCCCCATGCCAGTACCCCCCGCCTGCCTGGCCTGCGAAGGTTGTGTCTGGGCACCTGCCCCTTTCTGCGGCTTTGCACTGGCTTCCAGCTGCTCCACTCCACCTTCAACCCGAGGTCCTGGCCATGAGGCCCCACCATCCCCCGTGCTGTGATCCCCTGCCCAGAGGCTGGCTGTGCAGCCCCTCCCTCCCTTGGGGACTCCCCCTGTCCCCGGCTAGGTGCCCCTCCCTGGCTCCAGGCGGGGGATGGTGGGGCCCCTCCTTGGTGGAGGCTCCTAGGCCTCTCTGCCATGGCACGTCACACCTTGTGCGGTCTCTGCCTGTCTCCCGGCCTGGCGGGGTCTGAGTCATCACCTTCCCCGATCCTGGGCACAGGGATAGGCCCAGCAGGGCTGAGGAGACACTGGCTGAAGAAGGAATAAAAGAATACGTGAATGACAGCATCCCCTTAAAGAGGCTCCGGCTGCGGTGGAAGCAGGTCCAGGACAGCTCTGAGCCGTCTGCAGAGAGCCTCCCGCCGGCCCTGCACTGTGGTCCCACACAGACACAGTCCTTCGTGTGGCCACAGGGCCCCCCAGGTCAGGCCACAGGGTCACCCGCACCCAGGCCCCTAGTGTCCATCGCAGGTGGCCCTTGGGACTCCAGCCTCTGGGATTGGGGTTGCAGGCCAGCCTGGGAGGCTGCTGGGGCCCCTGATCCTCCAGCCCCAGCCCTGCTTTTGTTGGAGGCCAGCGCTGCGTCCCAGCAGAAACTCAGACTAATGTGGAGGGCAGGGTTGTTCCCGAGAAGCCGAGGGCCACGCATGCCGGCTCTGTGCTGGGTTTGGAGAACTTGGCGAGGGGGTCGGGTCCGGGTGGGGTGTGATGGAGCTTGGGGTGTGGAGGGGTGATCCTCTCAGGACCCTGCTCTCAGGAGAGCCTGAGAAGCCCACCAGGCCTGTGTCCTGGAAACCTGGTGCAGCTGGCTGTGACCCCTGACCTGCACAGAGGCACTGGCCAGGCACTCTGTCCATGGGATCCAGGACAGTGCTGGGGTCTGAGTGGGGTTGGGTGGGTCAGGGTACCTCATTCTCAGGGACCGGGGTGATGCTGGTCCCAGGAGGGAGGCTGGGGAGCTGCCCTAGAGCCCAGACCACTGCGGGGTGCCGGCTCTTGCTCCCTTCTTGCCCTGTACCTGCTCACCTGCAGGGGATGGGTGGGTGCTGAGGCGTGTCTGGGTGGGTCCCTTTCTTTCATAGAGCACACCCTGCCCCCTCCCCATCCCTCTGTCATTGGAGGGGTCCAGAGCCTGCTTCTTGCTGGGGAGCCTGGTCCTCCCTCCCTGGACCTGGGTCCTCCCTGCCTGGACCCCGGTCCTCGCTGCCTGGACCCCGGTCCTCCCTGCCTGGACCCCCGTCCTCCCTGTCTGGACCCCGGTCCTCCTGCCTGCCGGGCTGGCGTGGCTGGGGCCTTGGGGATGGTGGCCTTTGGGCAGGCCAGGCCGGGCCCATTTCCCACAGTTCAGGCCTGGCTCTCAGAGGGCAGTGCCTGTTTTACAGGACGTGGAATCCACTGTCTTGGGGCCAGCCCAGGAGCTGGGGCGGCCTTTCATCTGGGACATCAAAGCCCTCAGCCCTGTCATTAGGGGCTGGAAAGCTGGCTGGGGAGCGGCCCAAGTAGGAGTCACCCATTTTATGGATGGGAAAGCGGCAGCCGCCCCGGACCCAGCTCTTTGACTGAAACTGAAGCTAAGGCAGCGGCACCAATGCAGCCTGCAGGGAGCCTCCACCTCCTGCTTCCGGGACATTTGGGGAAACTGAGGCCCTGAGAGGGCAAAGGAGCCTCCACCTCCTGCTTCCGGGACACTTGGGGAAACTGAGGCCCTGAGAGGGCAAGGGAGCCTCTGCCTCCTGCTTCCGGGACATTTGGGGAAACTGCGGCCCTGAGAGGGCAAGGGCTGCTTGAGCCTCCAGCAGGTGTTCCTTGAGGATTAGGGGGGCGGATTTGGAGTGTGCAGGGGCAGGATGGGAGGGGCTCACAGGGGAGGGTCAGGGTCAGCTGAGGTGGGGAGAAATGGCAGCCTACGGGGAGCCACGCAGCTGCTGATGGTGGATGGCCAGGGCTGAGGCGGGTTTGGGGTTAGGGGAGTGGGCGCAGGAAAGGATCTTGCTGGGCTGTGCCGGGCACTGGCAAGGTCCTCCCAGGTGGTGTCTCTTGTAGCCTCTGAGGCTGGCCTGGCACCTGGCCAGCCTGCCCCTGCCATGGAGTGAGGTGCCCACCTGACTCACCCAGTAAGTCCAGGCCTGCCCTGACGGCCCTGCCCACACCAGCCCTAGCACGGGAGGCCACGTTGTGGGGTGGGGTGACCAGGGGCAGGGGGTCATGAGGTGGCTAAGAGGAGGCCAGAGCTGGGTGGGCTGGGCAGGCCAGTGGGACAGGAGCTGAGCTACATGGCCTGGGGGGCCCGCAGAGCCGCTCCACAGTCCGCCCTGCTCGCAGAGTGGCGGAGGGTCCGTGAGCCACGGTCTGATTTCCCGGGGCCCCGCCAGGCTGTCTGCCCCGCTCCTTGCTGGAGGGCGGGGGGGTTCCCTATTCCAAGGACTGGGATCCGCAGGAGGCGGAAGAGCAGAGGCCCCTCATCCCTGGACTCTAGGGTCCTCCTATCTGGCTGGGCGTGGTAGGCGTCTGGGAAACTGACTGCAGCTTCAGTAGCAGGCGCTGGGCTCAGAGGTTCCCTGTGAGCCTCCTCCTGT
Source organism: Homo sapiens (assembly GCF_000001405.40). Taxonomy (NCBI): domain Eukaryota; kingdom Metazoa; phylum Chordata; class Mammalia; order Primates; family Hominidae; genus Homo; species Homo sapiens. Next base: position 104,184,405 of record NC_000014.9, read on the forward strand.
TCACCATCCCAGGGACCACAAGTGCAACCCATAGCGATGGCCATGGGGATGTGACACTAGGGTGGGATGGGAACAGTGGCAGCAATGACAGTGGGAGTGCTGGCAGAGGAGCGTTGGTGGCAGGGAGGCTGGTGGCTGTGGCTGGGGTGGGGCCATTGGCAGAGCAGCAGCAGTACTAGGGATGGTGGCAGCAGAGATCCAACCAGCCTGGCTGATGGGGCAGTGTCGCCCCTCCTGGCCTGCTGGTCGCTTGGCTGCCCTCGGGCCTGTGTGTTCCTCATGAGGCCAGCAGGACGTGGCCCGAGCCTGGTCCTTTCCTGACACCCTTTTCCCTGGGAACTGGGAGTGAGGTCACAGCAGCCTCCACAGGGTTCTCACTGGGTCCTGAGCCCCAGCAGCTGAAGGGGGGAATGGGGGCCGCCTGGAGTGCCCAAGATGGGGGCCCTAAATAACCAGCAGCGGGGTCATTGCCGGATGATGCCACGTTCTCCCGGGGTCCCGGGCCGGGAGGGGAGGCTCTGCCAGTCCCCCTGTGTCTCGAGCCTCAGTCTCCCTCTCTGCCGAGGTTCCTGTTCACGTGTGCGGTCATGTGTGTGAACATGGCTCAGCACCTGTCCTCATCTGCTTCCCCCCACCAGGGCCGCCCCCGGCTACCGTGAAATGGACGGTGCTCTGGGCTCTCCAGAAGGGGACCAGTCTCGGCCCCCACACCCTGGTTCCCTGGGAATCCGAGGAGGCCCCTGCCCTGTGACTGCGCCCCACGCCCCAGGGCCTGTCTGCAGCCCTGGCGGGAGGGTGATTCCTGGGGTGGAGGCCCCCTGTCTGCTCCTCTCCTGGGAACGAGCCCCGCCCCACGGTGCCTGGGGGCTGGGATGTGCTCCCAGCAAACAGGAAGCCCAGGGTGACTTCTCCCTCCTGACATTGTGTTTACCAAGGCGGGATCCAGGCCCGTTTCCACACAGGAAACCCAGGAGGCTGGAAGAGGCTGGGAAGGAATTCCCTGGGCCAGCTAAGACGCTCCGGCTTCCTGTAGGACAGGCAGGCAGTGTGGGGTGGGGGTGGAGTGGGGTGGGGGTAGAGGTGTGGGGTGGGTGGGTTTGGGGTTGAGGGATGGGTAGAGGTGGGAGTGGGGGTAGAGGTGTGGGGTGGGTGTGGGTGGTATGAATAGAGAGATGGGGTGGGGATAGGAGTGGGGTGGGGGTAGGGGTGGGTTGGGGGAGTAAAGGGATGGGGTGGGGTGAGGGTAGGTGTGGGGGGATGGGGTTGGGGTACGGATGGGGTGGGAGGGTAGAGAGATGGGGTGGGGTGAGGGTGGGTGTGGGGAGATTGGGTGGGGGTAGAGATGGGGGTAGATGGATGGGGTGGGGTAGAGGGATGGGGTGGGTGTGGAGGATGGGGTGGGGTGGGGTGGGTGTTGGGGGTACAGGTGAAGGGATGGGGTGGGGTGGGGTGGGTGTGGAGGATGGGGTTGGGTGGGGTGGGTGTTGGGGGTACAGGTGATAAGCAGCTAGGAGTCCAGGGAGGCTCCTGGGGCTCCGGGTGGCCGTGGTGGAACCCCCTTCAGAGCTCTGGATTTGGTGGCAGCCTTGAACGTCCCTGTGTCCCCATGTTGTCACCGGGACCTGCAGGCCCAGGCCCAGGTCTGTCTCCCTTCAGACAGGCCAAGGCTGAGGGGCACAGTGTCTCCCTCTGCAGAGTCCCTGTGGCCGGCACAGGGGACGCGTGAGCCTGGACATTTGTGATTTCAGGGCAGAGGCTTCCAGGAGGGCTGGGAGCAGAGTGGGGCCCTGAAGGTGCTCGCTCCACACCTGGGCCTGGGGCAGCCAGAAGGTCCCCCCTAAACTCCCTCCTGGCCACCTTGTCAGGAGGAGGTGTCATGTCCCAAATGTGGGTCCCCCCCACCTTCCCCCGTCTGCCTGCGCCCAGCTGCACCAGACCTTGGCCTTCGGGGGTGCTGTTTGTTTCAGAATCATCTTTTAAAACTCAGCCTTCTTTTGGGTTTGCAGAAAAACCCTGAGGCTCACACAGAGCCCCCACACCCGACCGCAGGCTCCAGTGCCCCCTCCCACGGGCATGCAGCGAGGCGGTGGCGACGGCCCCAACTCAGGTCGCCCGAGTTCCTGTCCGCTGCCCCTTCCGGGCTCCGCCTCTGGAGGCAGAGACGTAAAGCACCTGGAATTCTGCACGGGAGATTTGTCTCCTCTCTCATTTATTAATTTATCCAAATACTTTCGGCAGCGTGGACTTAGAGATGTTTGTTTTGTACTTTGGGTTACATTCAATACTGTTAGTTTCATGACTAAAGCTGTTCCAGCTCTGGCCAGTGGGAGCCTTTCAGCTGGGTGGCGTCGGTTTTGAGTCCTCAACCATTGCCCCCAGGTCCCCATGGCCCCCAGACGTGAGCTGGTGCTGCCTGGTTCCTAGGCCTGCGGGCATGTGCGTCCCCTTCCCCCGCCCCCCACACGCGTGGCTGACATGTCCCTGCCAGGATGTGTGATTATATATATATAGAAATTAGAAATTACTAGAAAGGGTCTCACTGTCTTCCAGGCTGGAGTGCAGTGGTGCGATCATAGCTCACTGCAGTCTCAAGCTCCCAGGTTCAAATGATCCTCCAGCCTCAGCCTCCCACGTAGCTGGGACCACAGGTGTGCCACCATGCTTGGCTAGTTTTGTATTTTTTTGCAAAGAGGGGGTCTCATTTTGTTTCCCAGGCTGGTCTGGAACTCTTGGGCTCAAGCAATCCTCCTGCCTCGGCCTCCCGAAGTGCTGAGAATACAGGCATGAGCCATTGCCCCGGCCCTTGGATAACGCTTCACACCAGTTGCTTCGCACAGTCCTTAGCTCTCTGCTTGACAGCCCCCGAGCCCACAGGCCTGGGAGTCTCCACCCCTCTGAAGCCGCAGAAGTGAGGGGATGTAATGGCTGAGGCCCGGGCGTGGTGGGGGGTCGAGGTCTCCAAGCACCCGGGTGGAAGGAAGTGTATCTGGGCCCCGTGAGCAGACGGGAGCTCCTGCTGGGAGGAACTGTACCTGGGAAGAGGGACCCCACCCCTGCCCAGGCCCCTGAGCAGCCCAGGACCCTCCCCCAAGGAGGTCTGAGGTGAGATGAGGCCCCTGGAGATGCCCCAGGAGGGTGCTGTCCAGGGTCACAGCCCCGTGCCAGGCTGGGGCCTCCCTGGTGAACTCGGTGGCCCGGAGTGGATGAATGGCATGCGGGAGGCGCCTGCTGGCTGCCAGGGCGGGCGATGCTGGGCTAGTTGCCACTGTGGCACAGCCTGGCCCTGGGGTAATGACATTCCTGAGAACCCTCAGGGTGACATCACTGCGTAGCTGCCTTCACACTGTTGTCACCATCACGGGAGTGTGAGGTCAGATGGACGTGCTGTCCCTGGGGTGTCAGGCCCCCTGCCAGTGCTGGCCAGTCTGCCCTGCCTGCCATACGGGGCTTCAGCCGGCTTTCTGAAGCATCCCGTGGACCTGGCGGGGGCGGCCTGGGGGTGGGGAGGGCTGAGACTGCTGCCACTTCCTTGCCATTCCTGGGGGGCCGCAGGGTCACCATTTGCTCCCACTGCTGACCTGGAGGAAGGCAGCCTCTCTCCTCGGTGGGCTCCTGGTTATCTCAGCCCTTTGGGGAAACACTTGGTCCAGGTTCGGGAAACGGCTCTGCTGCCCTCAAGGGGAAGCCCATGTGCCTCACCGAGGAAACTCCCAGGCGGGGCCGTTGGTAACACTGGAACCCTGAAGGGACCTTGCATAGCTGGGCAGGAAGGGACCAGGGGCTTGAGGGGCGCAGGGGTGGGGCCTGGCCGGCCACTGCACTTCAGGTCCTGGGCAGGCGCCTCCTTTCTGTGCCTTGATTTCCCCTCCTGTAGCAGGAGCAGCTGTCTGCTGCGTCTGAGCTGGCTGATTTGGAATAAATCTCTGCCGTTTCTCCAGCCCCAGGGGCGGCGGGCCATATTTCTCGCAGCCTCAGCGGCTGTCCCGCAAAGCTAATCTGCCTGGCAGAGGGGTGACACTCTAAATCCTGTGCCCAGGCTGATTTGTGGGCCTGCCTGTGCTGGTGCAGGGCTCGCTGGCATCTTTATGAGGCAGGATGAGCCTCGCTGAGAGCCAGGGCAGGCTGGGTGTGATCTACAGCCTGGGCGGCCCCCGCCTGCCAGCAGCCGCCGCTCACGCCCACTGGGCAGGGTGCTCTGGCCCAGGCTGAGGGCAGCCAGGTGTCTGACTCCTGTTGTTCCTGCTCCGGGAGCCTTGGAATTCACCTGCAGGAAGGAGGTTTCACAGCACACAGCTATCCAGGGGGCGCTTCCTGAGCATCGTGGCCTGGGCTCTGGGCCGGGCTGAGCTGAGAGGGCCAGATGAGGGAGACCCAGGTCCTGCCTGTAGGGAACCCAGGCTTCCTGGGCCATGGGCAGGCGACACCTCTCTGCCAAGGCAGGAGGGATCAGTCCATTCTGGCCTGGAGGTGGCTGAGCCAGGAGGGCATCTGCCTCTGAGACAGCCTGCAAAGCATCGGTGCTGGAAATCGCCTGGGTTCCAACCCCAGCTCTGCCACTTCCCACCTGGGCTGCCGGAGGAGTTCCCTGAGATGGGCAGGGATGGGGCCTGGCTGGCCTGGCGGGGGCCTGGAGAGCAAGGGGGCCATGCACTCTGTCTCAGGGGGGACCCCAGTGAGGCCCCCCTGCACCTGTGTTCGTTGTTTCCTCCTCAGCAGCGCAGAAGGCTCCTGTTAGCTTTACCCAACGGGCTGGCTGAGCACCTGGGAGGGCAGTTCCTCAGGGCTGGCTGCTGTGTGAGGGGAGCCAGGGTCCCTGGGACAGTACAGGGGGTGAGGAGGCAGGTAGCAGGCCCCCTACAGCCTCACAGTGCCACGGGGCTGGCGGCATGGCCAGGGCTCTGAGCCGTTGGTGCAGGAGGGCGCCCAGGCCCAGTTAGTCCGAGGTGGGACCTGGAGGCTGGTGCAGGCCACTGTTTACTTACTTCCCGTTATGCTGATCTGCCTGAGAGATTCAGTCCCCGGCTGCGCGTGTCAGGCCATGCAGTTTGTTAATAAGGCACAGAGGAGAGTAAAACACCTCCTCTAGGTGGCCAGATTTATCACTTGGTGTGTGCACACATGAGCAGGTGCACACATACATGAGCACACACATACATGAGCACACACACACACACATGGGCACATGCACGTAGGGACACATGTACACACATGCACACATGGGCACACATGCACGTAGAGGCACACCCGTACACATACATGCACACACGGGCGCACATGCACCTAGGGACACACACGTGCACACACGTGCACACACGGGTGCACATGCACATAGGGGCGCACATGCACACACGGGCACACATGCACCTAGGGACACACATGTACACACATACATGCACACGGGCACACAGGCACGTAGGGGCACACCCGCACACACGCATGCACACGGGCACACATGCACTTAGGGACACACATGTACACACACATGCGCACATGGGCGCATGCATGCACACACACACACGTGCACTCAGGAGTCATGGGACCCGATGCCCTGCTCTTATGTCCATCTTCTTGGAGCCCTGGCATGGGGGCTCCCCCACCAGTCCCCACCTCCAGCTCTTCCTGGCAAGCCCGTGGGGAGGGGAGGAACTTGGCCTGCGTTCCCACAGACTGGCACAGGGAGCAAATCTGCCCAGCAAAGGTTGGGTGGCCTGCAGACCCAAGCCCACTCTGCTGGACACCTGGGCTCAGGTGCTAGACCGGGGGCTGCTCTTGCGGGCAGAGGAGGCCTCTGAGCTGCTGCCGGGAGAAGGAGGCTGGGCTCCAGGGTCGGGGGTTCAGGGCTGTGGGTTTGGGGATCTGGGGGTCCTGGGTCTGAGGATCTGAGGTGGGAGGACCTGGGAATCTGTGAGTTTGGGGATTGAAGCTTCAGCTCAGAGCCCAGTGCTGCTTTGGAGTGTCCCCTGAAGGAACCTGGAGTAGAGCACCAGCATTTTCTTCCAGAAGCTTCTTTTGGGCCACTATTGTCTCAGACTGGTACCCGGCCAGGACATGCATGGGAAGGTGGCCTCTGGTGGCCTGTGGCCAGCTGTGCTTGGTGACTTCCAGGCCAGAGCCTAGGTAGACTGGCCCAAACCCTCAGAGGGTCCCCCCAGGGCAGATGGGCTTCCCGGTGTAGGCTGTATCTGTGGAGCCCAGGGAAGGGGGCGTGCGGGAGGGCAAGGGGGCTGCTGAGGGTGGGATGTGGGTGGAGGAGGCAGGATGGAAGGCAGGGGCAGGGCTGAGACCTGGCAGTAATGGGGCCACACTCAGAAGGACCCACACTGTTATGCCCAGTCGTCGCCACCTTGAAGTTCATAACGACTCTTGGATAAGGTGCCCAGGGTTTCTGTTACGCTGTGGGCCCCACCCAAAATTATGTGGCTGGTTCTGAAGAGGGGACTCTGGGAGCGGGAAAGGCAGGCACAGAGGCTGAGGTGGGAGTGCTGGGGAGGCCGGGGGTCCACGCTAGCTGTCTCCATTCCTGATTCCTGCCCTGGGGGCAGAGGGTGGGGCTGGTCGGGCCTGCAGCTCACTGTCCTGAACCCCAGTTGCCTCCATCCCGTGCCTCCTCCCTGCTCCCCGCCATGAGCCAGGCTGCAGAGGTGGGCTGTACTCCCAGACTCAGCATCAAAAACTGCCCTGTGACCTAGGAAAGCCCCTTGGCCTCGCACTGGTGAAATGACACTGACCTTTGATTTTTGCACTTTAAAGGGTGGAGGTTGGAAAGGTCTGGCGAGAGCCACAGCCTGGCCTTGCAGGAGCCAGCTCCGACCTGTGACCTCAGCCCCCTGGGCCTCAGTTTCCCCATTATGGAAATGGGAACTTGGAGGCTTAGGGCTCCCTGCACAGTGGAGGTGGGTGGGTCCCTGAATGGGGAGAGCAGAGGCTTTGGGGCAAGAAGTTTTGGTGGGTGAGAGGCAGAGGTGGGGAATGCAGGCAGGGGCCTCCCCTTGCACCTGCATTCAGGGGAACAGAGGACGTGTGGGCCAAGACCCTAGGAGGTCTGAGGACTGGTCCCAGGTTGGGGTGGGCATGGTGGCTCGGCCACCGTGGGGAGGCAGAGGGCTGCTCGTAAATCCACGCTGCTGTCAGCTGAACGGCAATTGCGGATTGAGGCGGCCATCGGGGCTGACCTCCTGGGTCTGACGGGTCCATCACAGAGCAGCACCGCAGGGAGAGGCGGCTCTGCCTGGGAACCCACCTGCACGGACCACACGGCCCAGGGCCTGCCAGTTCCTGCCTCCCGTTCCTGGGTGGGGCTCACCTAGTGTCACAGAGACACGGAGTGTCGGGCAGTGACTGGCCTCAGTGCCCAGACCAGCTGGGCTATCTGAGTGCAAATTCTGCCTGCTGTGTGACCCCAGGTGTGCTACTGAACCTCTCTGTGCTCCTCTGAAACTGGAGATCCGTATTCACCCCTACCTCACTGGGGCTCAGTTAGATGATTTGACCCGGAGTATGCAGCTTAGTGGTGCCTGGCACATAAGGAACGCCAATGGATTTGGCTCCAATGGGGATGGCACGGACAGGGGTAGGATGATGTGTGCACAGTGCAGCCTCCCGTCGGGTCCACGGCCAGGCTCTGCTCCCACCAGCTGTGTGGACTCAACATGGAGCCTGGGAAATAGAAAAAGGCCTGTGAAGTGCCCGGAGCCAGCGGCACAGGGTGGGGGCACCAGGAGCTGCTGCCTGGTCCTCTCTAGGGCAGTGACTATTTGCTGCCATTGCCACGGGGATTTATCGGGGCCCCTCCATGTCCAGGCGTGGGCAGGTATCCGTGTCACCCCGTGTTACAGACCAGGAAGGCCAGGTCCAGGGCAGGCCGGCCTGTGCAAGGCTGACGGGAGGAAGGAGAGCCAGGCCTCTCCCTGCCTCGCCTCGCAGCAGAGCCCTGGGTCTGGGCAGGAGGACGGGCGGCCACAAGGAGGGCCAGACCCACCCTGGGGCCACACTGGGTTGCGTCTGCCCCTGGGGTGAGCCTGGTGGAGCCGGAGGGGCACTGCAGAGGGGCAGAGGGGTCTCCTCGCACTCGGCATGGACTCTGCCCCTGCTCCTGAGACTGGTTGGCCTTGAGGGCTCCTCCGGGAGCCTGGTGCCCTCACTCTTCAGAACAGCTCAGCACCCACAGCCTGGCCAGCTGGAGCAGCTGGGTGGTGGTTCAGATGGGATGGTGGGGTCAGTGGGACAGGCTCTGGCTTCTGGGGGCAAGGAATGAGCTGGAGGCAGGGGAAAAGGAAGGGGCTGGGCGTTGGGCGGGCTGGCACATGGGATGTGCCTGCTGAGGCCTGTGGGCAGGTCTTGGTCTGGGGACAGCCCTGCCCCTGTGTGTACCTGGCTCCCTGCTCCAGGCAGCTCCCCAATCTCAGGCTCAGCTACCCGGGGCCCTCTGCCCTCGTCTTTCTGCCCAGCTCTTGGGGGCTGTCCTGCTTCTGTCTCCCAAGGGCCTCACCCAGAGCTGAGGCAGGGGTGGGGATGCCCCCTGCCTGTGGCTGGTTGGCCTGCTCTCTCTCCTGCTCCCTTTGCTGTGAGTTGGGTGAGGAGGGGGCTCCGCCGCACTTGAGAGCTTCTAGCAGCAGCGCACCAGGCACAGGCATCGTGGCGTCGGGTGGCAATACATGGGGTGTGAACATAGAGCCGGGGCAGGTTGAGCAGACTCGCAAATGAGCTCCCAGCCCCCAGGGAGGCCTTGTGGGAGACCCCAGCCCACTCCCAGGGACCTACCCCAGTGCACCCCTGGGGAAATCAAGGCTGGGGTGGTCTCCTCTCGCAAGGCTGCTCAGCCCTCTCCTCCCCAACCACCGAGGCCTCTGCTGGGCGAGATCTCACAGCCTTCAAAGGCAGAGCCCTGGTGCCCTTCTCTTGGCATCTGTGCCCACTTCTCGGCCCCCACCCCGGCCACTCCCCCCCACCCTGTGGATGTGTCTTTCATCTGTCCCTTTGTGGCCCTCAGCCCTGTCCTCCTCCCTGCACTCTCCCTGGGCCACCTGCCCCTGCCCTGGGGCTTCACGTCCCCCTGGGCCACCTTGGCCCCCAGACCCCATCCCTGTGCCCCACATCTGCAGTTCCATCGTTTCTCTGGTATCTGCCCCATGTCCCTCCGGCCCCCAGATCTCTCAGACTTGTTCTCCCCTGTGCACCCCTCCTGGGGGCCCTGTTTCATCCTCTTCCGGAACCGGGGCATCAACTTGGGTTCCCTCCTCACCCTCAGTGCCTCCACCCAGCCCCAGTGCCATGGCAGGGTCGGGACCCTCAAGCTCTCAGGGCTGGTCCAGGAAGAGCCTCTGTCCAGGTGACCTGGGCACAGGGGGAGCATGGCAGTGGCGGGGGCAGGTGGGAAGGGATTGGCTTAAAATGCAGCATTCACTTAAAAACACAAAGAACATTTGTTCACCATGAAGTCAGGTCCTGCTCTGGTTGGTCTGTTTTTGGTTTTTACCTGGTTTTTTGGTAATTACCTGGTTTGCTTTGAGCTGCTTCCAGGCATCAGCCAGCCCCATATCCTGGTGGGGTTTCCTGGGGCCCCATTTATGCTCCCTTGGAAGTACCAGAGGGTCTTCTTTTCTCTTAAAGAAACAAATATTTGCACAGTTCAGCGCTGGGAAGGCCTCTGGCCGAGGTGGCCCGCGCACCCTGAGCCATGAGGGGTCAGGGCTGGGCAGAGGGGAGGGGGTGGATGAACGGCTTCTGCAGAGACAGTCTTGGCTCCACAATCTCCTCAGCTCAGGAGTGTGGATGTGCCATCCTGGAGCAGGTGCCTGTCTCTCCATGGTCCTGGCTGGGTGCCGTGGGTTCCGGACGGCAGGGCACCTGCCCATCCAGGGCTCCGGAGCAGCGAGGCTAGGCTGGGCCTTCAGCTCTGTCCTTGCTGGGCAGCGATTTCCTCTTCTGGACAATGGGGAGAGCTGTCCCTCGTCCTGGAGGGTGAAGTGGGTGGTGTGCGTGATGATCCCCGGTGCCCAGCACATGGTGGGCTCAGTGAAGCCAGACTTTTCTAGTTCTTCTTTAGTTCCCTAGACCTAAGCTCTCAGCTCGTGCTGTGTCAGGGCTGTGTTGAGGGAGGGAAGTCAGGTGTAGACTGAAGCTCTTAAGACTCTTAAGAGCTTCTACGGTCCAGGGTGTCACCTACGGTCCAGCAGGTGACTGATGGTCTAGCAGACGATTAGGCCAGTAGAGAGGCAGAGAAAGTGCGGGGGACTCAGAGGAAGGGAAGTGCTTCCATCTGGGCCAGGGGTGGTTAGGGAAGACTTCCCGGAAGAGGAGGTGCTTAGGGGAACCTGGAAGGGCAGAGAGAACCAGAGATGCAGGGGTGAGGGTCCTTCTGGCAGGTGTCTGTTTCAGGGGATGTCTGTGTTCGGTGAGGCCAGGGCTGAGCTCTACTGTTGGCTGAGCTGTGGGGGCGGCCAGGCAGGGCCCAGCATGCCAGGCTGAGGATGGGGCCAAGGGGGGCACGGCATGCTGGCCCCCCTGCTTGGTGTTCACTCTTGGGGACTGGACAGTGGTCCTTTCAACGAGCCCCCTCGCAGTCCCTGCCCTGGGGTCTCTCCATAGACCACTCTGCACACGCAGACCCTCCTGCTAGCGGACCGGGCCACAGCGAGGAGTGAAGACCCTGTGCAGAGTTCTCGTGCGGCCAAGGACAGCAGCCCACCTGAGACAGGTGCCCTGTAGTAGTGGCGGGAGTCAGAGACACCCCAGGGACAGCAGCAGGGGCTGCTTGCGGTTTGGAAGTCCCACCTGTGCCCAGACCACCAGCAGGGTCTCTCCTTCCCAAACCACCCCCTTTCCAATTCTGGGGGCGTCAGAGACTGCTGGGGGCATGGGGTGAGGCAGGGAAGGGTGGTGCGGGAGGCTGAGTGGGAGGGAGAGGGTGGGATGAGGCCCTGCATGCTGGACAGGACTCTGATGCATCACCCATCCCAGGGAATCTGAGTCTGAAACACAGAAAGGACCCACAGCCATTGGGTGTCCCCGGGCCTTAGCTTGCTGGGCCCAGGGCAGGCCGGGCTGCTTCTTGCCCGGGGAACTCAGCAGACCCCTGGATCGCTCCGGGGTGGGTGAGAGGCTGTGGAGGGAACCCTGTCCTGGCCGGCTGACCTCACAGCCCTCTCCTGCAGACGGGGCAGTCGAGGAGTAAAAGAATGAAAAGCAGTCAAACAGCCCCAGGAGACGCAGGTGAGGCTGGGCGACGAGCGGAAGCTGGAGATGGGGCCGCATGGTGGGCAGCAGCAGGGCAGGCTTGTGGGGTGAAGGAGGCTGGGGCATCCGGCATGGCAGAGGCAGCTTGAGTTTGGCGGAAGGGTGAGGCGTGGGGCCTGGGCCCACAGGAGGCCAGCGTGGTTTGGGGGCCTGGTTGGGTCTGAGATGCTTTGGGTGGTCCGGGGGACGTGTCCCATAGGCAGCTCCAGGTGGAAGCTTTGGGCTGAGGCAGAGGCTGCCTATGCACTCACCAGCTCGTTAATTCATCCTTCATTCTTGCCGGGAGCTGTTGGGGAGGCCATGCTGGGGGCCGGCTCCTGCTGGCTGACAGGAGCCAGTTGTTCCACAGATTTGTCATTCAATAGTGTAGAATCAGATCATGTCCTCGTTCTCGCCACGGCGCGGAAAGCTAACAAGAGTCAGCCCGGCTGCAATCTGCAGTGCTGGCGGTTCCCGTTGAATGAGTGAAATTGGTGTGAGGGTGAGATAGGCGGTCGTTGAACAGAGAGCACACATCAGACCTCACGACAATGAGCTTCTTGGGAAAAGAGACCTGGCTTCCTTTGTTGACTCGCGGGAGTGGCAGCTGCGGGGCTGGCTGGAAATGAGAGCAGAGCCAAGGAGCCTTCAGGGCTCAGACTTCACCAGGGAGAGTTGTGTATCTGTTTGTGTTATTTCTAAACTGTGTGTACAGGTCTTTCATGGCGGTAACATGTATAATCAACGTGCATTCGCATACACAAGCATCTGTTCTTTTCTCTGAGCCAGTTGTTAAAACATTTACCAGCACCGCTGTGGGGGCTGGGGAGAAGGTGCTTTGGAGGGGGGTGGGTGGGACACCTTAGGGTGGGGAGAGGGTGTGTAGGATGAGCCCAGGTAGAGAAAGAGAAGGCAAGGGCAGGGGAGGTGGTGTCTAAATTAGGGCAGAGCTTACCAAGGACAGGCCAAGGCAAGGAAGGGGGAAGGTGGCCGTGGTCATGGCTGGGCGGGAAGGAGGGTGCAGGAGGCGGGGCCGTGGTGCCGGGCTAGAAGGAGGCAGCCACGGGGTTCTGGTCTACTGACTTTCATTTCCTTTTCTTTCTTGAAGCGTGTTCCGGGCAGTCCATCCACCCCCCATTTCTGCCTTTGCTTGTCCCGTGCCCACAGGTGCCCCTGACAAGAACCTGGTGTGAGTGGGGTGTCTGCAGTTAGCTTGCAGCCAGGACGAAACATGAATGCACTTGTGGGTCTGCGAGCGAAGCTGGTGATGTTCTCTGCCAGGCAGCGGCTCCCTGGTCTCCTTCCAAGGTTGGGCAGACATCGCCTGCCTGGAGCTGGGCCAGAGGCTGAGAAAGGCAAGGGAGGGTCTCAGCCCCCAGCTCACTGCAGGAACTTGTTGCACCCATGGGGACTGAGAGGCAGGGCTGGGTCAAGGACCAGGGCCTGGTGGAGAGGTGGGGGCCTGGCTGCCCCAGCCCTGCTCAGACATGCTGTTAGGCCTTGGGAGAGCCCCTTCCCCTCTCTGGGCCTCACCATCCCCACTGGATGAAGTGGGGGCTGGGATGCTGGCCTTGAGGTTGATCCCAGTGGTGAGATGGGGTGGAATTGCTGTCCTCACGACTCCACCAACCCACCATTCCCTGTCCACTGTTTTATTATTCACTTGATAAATATCTATTCAGTGCCCACTTGATGACAGGAAGTAGTACAAGTATAGTCCTTGCTGTCCTGGGGCCAACCCCCTCTCCCATATGCCCATCTATCTACCTATCTCTCTGTTCATCCTTTCTCTCAGTCTGTCAGTCATTCGCCAATCTATTTTTCATACTCCCATCTATTGCCTCAGCCCTTCTCTCATCTACCCATCCATCCATCCATCCATCATCTATCCATATATCCACTCATTATCCATCCATCCACCCATCATCCATCATCCAGGCATCATCCATCATCCATTCATTCATCATCCATTCATTTATCATCATTCATTCATCCATCTATTATCCATTCATCCATGATTCATCCATCTATCATCCATCTAGCATCCCTCCATCATTCATCCATTCATCATCCATCTTTCATCTATCCATCCATCTATTCATCGTCTAGCTATTATCTTTCTATCCATCATCCATCCTCTATTCATCAGTTCATCCCATCGTCTACCCATCCTTCTATCCATATGTCGTCCATCTATCCGCCATCCATCCACCTATTCATCCATTCATCCATCTATCCATCATCTGTCCATCCATCTACCCATCCATCAACCAGCTATCCTCTATTCCTTCATCCACTCACCCATTCATACACTCACCCTTCCTCTCTCCCTCCATTCACCCACCCAGTTACCCATTCCTTCCTTTCTTTCTCTCTCCTTCTACCCATCCATCTATCCACCCACTTATCCACCTACCTGCTCATCCATCCATCCATCTATCTGTCCATCCATCCATCCATCCATCCCTCTTTCCATTCATCCTTCCATTTCTCCCTCCCTTTCTCTCTCCATCCATCCATTTACTCACCCACCTATCCACCCACTTATCCAATGGCAATCAAGACTTGCTTCGTGCTGGACTCAGGGCTGGGAATGGGGGTGATAGAAATGAGGTAGACCTGGTTCCTGCCCTTGTAGACCTTTTAGCCTTTGGGAGAGGCATCTGTGGACTTCCTTACTGCTTACAGCATGGGAGATATGCTTGTGATGTCTGCACAGGTTTGGAGGCATTCAGGCCACTTGGGTCTCAACGGAGCCTGAGCTGGGCTGGGCTTGGCCAGGCTGCTCTGCAGGGGAGGATACCCTGATGGACAGGGCTCCCCTCAGTGGCAGTGACTCTCTAGTTTGCTGTATTGTCTGTTGGGGCTGCATTTGAGAAGGTGTGTCCTGGAACGTGACCCATCTCCCCGGAGCCCAGCCTAGGTTAGGCTTAGGTGACCCCGAGGGCTTGGAGAGGCCCTGAGAAATGACTCCGTGGGTCAGGTGAGTATGGAGAGAACTGTACCCAAGGTTGCCCAGGGAGTCCAGCCACTGGCCCCATCCTCTCCCCTGGGAGGCCGATAGCTGCCTGCTGCTTTCCATTTGGGGCAGATGGACTCTGTCCCCAAAGGACCCTTTGCCAGGTCACCAGAGCTATGGCGGCATCTGCCTCCTGCCTGCTGCAGAGCCCTGCGTAGAGCTGTCCCCATAAGTGGCATCTGGAGGGCCATGTCTGTTGAGAGGGTGGGATATTGGCATCTGGCAGATCCGAGTCTGGCTCTGACATCTTTGCCGGCAAGGCCCTCAGCCTTCCTTAGCCTCATTTTTCACATCCATAAAGTGGGAATGGCTGTGCTGGAGTCTGTGTTTAAGCAGCCCCAGGCGGCCTGGAGCACATGGCGCATGTGTGCGTCAGAAGGGCTGCCTGGGGGGCTCAGGGAGGCTCTGGTGCTGGGGTGCAGGAAGCTTGGGGACTTGGGCTTAGCAAGTCACTCTTGGGGGTGCCTCAGGCAACTCTGTTGCTCTCCTAGACCTGTGGGATGGATCCGTGGTGTCTGCACCTGCACCTACATACAAGGATGGCATAGTCCTCCGGACCAAACACATTCGATGAGGACACGCTTTTCAGTGAGAGAACAGCAGCAGCAGGAACAAGCATCCGTTATGCAGACCTGCCTGTCCCCGATTCTCCCAGACACGGAGCGGCAGAGGTGTCCTTCTCTTTCTGGCAAGGTTTCAGGGTAGAGGCACGGTGCTCGGGGTCCCACGGCTGGTGGGTGGCCCCTGTGCTTCTCGCTTTGGGATTTGCTGTCCCCGAGCTGCCCATCATCGTTTTCTGGGTACCTGAGATGCAGTGTGGTGAGTTGGGCGTGGCCTGGACACAGGCTGAGCAGGTCAGGGCACTGGGAGCTGGCCTGGCACCGGCTGCTGGGCTGGTGACCAACCAACGCAGAACCCTCAGGAAAGAGGTGGGGAGCTGTGCACCAGCTGTCTCGGGGTGATTTGTGGGGAAGCCGATGTGTGGCTGCGTCCTGAATCACACTGGGGGTGTTGCACACGCCCACCAACAGCCTTGTTCCTAAATTATCTTTTATGATCGCCAGCAAATCTGCGGGTAGGGGGCATTTGTACCCAAACGAAGCCGTTATTTGTGGTGGCAGACATGGCATTAATTATTGACGCGCCCGGCCACCTCCAGTTAAAATTCATGGTCCAGCCACTCTGCAAATATTGATTCTGTCCCAAGTTGATGTTTTCCCCTTAACATTATTATAATGAGGGATAAAAATCAAATTGCCTTCACTGAAACTCAATCATTCTTCCGTGCCATTCCTCATTGATCTTTCTTTCCCCAGGTTTTACCATAAATTATTCTATTCAATTAAGTAAACTCACACATAATGGCATTCTGCAAACTGAATAATTTATTGACTATGTTTGGCAAAAGGCTGGTTTGGAGTGGGCTGGGGAAGGGAGGGGGCTTGGTCCTCCATGTTCCCAGGGCTGGTGGGGCTGGGCAGGAGCTGCGGTGGGGGTGAGGGTAGGGGTGGGGGTGGGGCTGGAGGCCGTGGGGGTGTCTGGGCCTGGGGTCCTGGCGGCCACAGTCAGGAGCTAAGTGTCGTCCCCCTGCCCATCTGCCTACTGTGCAGCCTGGGCCTTGGCCTCATGCCTGATACCAAAATCTGCCTTCGTCTGCTTGGGCCTTCGTAACAAATGCGCAGACGGGGCAGCTGAAACAGCGGACCTTTGTGGCTCACAGTTCTGGAAACTGGAAGTCTGAGCTCAAAGTGCTGGCGGGTTGCTGTCTGCTGAGGCCTGTCTTCTGGGTGTGCCGACGGTTCCTCCGTGCTGTGTCCTCACGGGGCCTTCCCTCTGTGCACTCATGTGACCCTGGTGTCCAAATATCTTCTTCGAAGGACACCAGCCAGATTTGATTGGGGCCCATGAACAGCCTCATTTTAATTTAGTCACCTTTTTTTTTGAGATGGAGTCTTGCTCTGTCGCCCAGGCTGGAGTGCAGTGGTGTGATCTCGGCTCACAGATGCCGGTGCCCCCACTTCTGGGACAACAGGAAGGCTTTGAGGGTCTGAAGGTCACAGGTGCAGGCTCCAGAGCAGGGGCGATGGGCCCCACCCGTAATGCACCCTTCCCCCACCTGCTCTGGGCCCTCCACACCCTTGGGAGAGACCCCTGGGCCTGCCCGGTTCTGGACGTGCCAATTAGAGCCTCTTAGCAGAGGCCTGGCCAGGCTCGGGCACCTGGGCACCCTCTGTGGATGGGGACGTGGATTAGGGCCTGTGTCCAGCCTGATCTTGGTGGGGGCATCAGCCGGGAGGTGTTCTGTGTCCTGGCAGCAGGGCCTGTCTGTGCCTGGGGCCTCCAAGTACAGACCCCTCAGGAAGGAGGCAGAGGGAGTGTGGGGCGCCCCAGGCCTTTGTCTCAGAAAAGCGCCCCAGCTCCGCGGCTGCATTCCAGTTGAGTCTGAGCCTGAGTCCCACTCCGGCAGCCACAGTGCACCCAGTGGGTGGGAGGCGTGGCCGGGGCTCGGTGCGGCCCCGTGTGTGACTGGCCGTGGTGGCTGTGGCTTCCTTGCTGCCACAAGGCCTGGGCTAGAGCTGGCCCCTCCTGGCTGGTGCTGCCGAGGAGCTGCGCTGGGTGCTTCATGGATGGTTACCTCCAGCTGGTCATGCCAGGCAGGGTGTCCCTCATGGGGTTCCGGCACGTGAGTGGCACCCTGGGGGACTGCTGCAACCAAGGCTGTTGGCACTGCAGGCAGCTGGGCCTGTCTGTGCGCTGGCCAGGCCCTCCCTGGAAGACCCAGGAGCGGGTTCATCTCAGCCTTCACCTTGGGCTGCAGAGATGAGCACTCCAGGGAGGGGAAACTGAGGCCAAGGGGCCCAGCAAGTGCAGAGAGGGGGCCTTCTCCAGCCATGGGCCCTGCCACCCCCCACAGGTGCTGCCAGAGACAAGGTGTGGAGCACCCCCGCCACACCCCTTTTCTGCCTCAGTCCACGTGCCGCCGATACAGGACTCTGCAGGACAGGCCCCAACTGAGGCCCCGGCTGGTCTGTGGTTCCTGCCTGGCCTTGGGTGTCACTGAGCTTCAGGGGTGCATCTGTCCTCAGAGAAGCAGGAGGGGAGCCACAGGAGGTGAAGGTGGAGAAAGGGTGCCGAGGCGGTGGAGACTGTGGATGGTCCGTCTCCTGCCCTGGACAGAGGGTTCTGGGGGCCTCGCTGACACCAGCCCTGCAGCCCCCAGCCCCACCTGGCCCACCACCTCTTTGCACTAGGGATCTCTGAGTGATTTTTCTCCCCAGTGAAGAGTGGAAACCAGCTGCTGTTCAGATTTCTTCTCTGAACCGATTCCGTCACTGCTTCCTCCCAGAGCCCAGGCCCTCTCCCTGGCTGTTACATATTTAGTTTGGACAGAGTCTGGGATGTGTGTAGCTGGTAGAGGGGACACGGATGCAGCTTCCTCTGAGCTGGCTTTGAGGCTTCCTGGGTGAGTTCAGCGGGCTTCTGGGGTCCCCAAGGCAGAGACGCCTGCCTGCCTTCTGCCAGGCTGGTGGCACAGCTGGCCCTCACCCAGCGGGCAGCACGTGCGTGGTTTCAGACAGAAGCATGGCAGGTGTGGGGTTTTATGGGGAGCACTTCCGTATCCTCTTCCTGCTGTGCTTGAGCTGTGGGGAGCTGCTGCTGGCCCTTCACGAGTCTCTGGGCTAAGCCGGGCAGTTCCTCCGCCAGCATGGAGCCGTGCTGGCGACAGCCTGGTGAATGCCAAGCAGCTTGGCGCCCAGCCCAACTGTTAAGGGTCTCATTTGCATCAGGCAGCCCAGCGCCGGCTTGTCCAGCCCTCCCGATGGCCGTCCTGGGGGTGCTTGGCGTCACCCGCGTGGAGGCAGATTGTCACGCTCGGCAGCTCCCCAGCTCCGGGGGCTTTTACGACTGGCATCAGGTCCTGCTAATTACAGGGACACATGTGTGCCGGGTGTGCGTGGGAGTGTGTGTGGGAGCATGCGTGGGATCGTTTATTTGAGCTGGATGAGGACTGACCGACAGCTGATGGTTAGAGGGGGCAGATGGGTCACCTTCCAGCTTAGGGTACTCCTCTCTGTAGGACACGCCTGGAGACAGAGATGGGCAAGGTGCTTGCGGGCTGCTCCCTGGGTGAGTGTTAGCAAGACAGGAAACCGGGGATGCCCGGGCTTCAGGGAGCACATGGGGTGGGGATGGGGTTACAAGATGCTGCACAGATGATGCTGGCAAAAAGGCAAGAGTAACACATGGCATGAGAGAGGGCAGAGAAAGTTCTAGAAAGAGAAAGCAGAGGTTACTTTCAGCTAGGAGAACCAGAGAAAGCCTGGAAGAGACGTGCTATGGCTTTGCAAACCCACCCTTGGCCCCTTTGTGCCCAGGAGGCTGTAGGAGGCAGAGGTGCTAACAGGGTCAGAGGCCAGAGGAGGACAGGGGTGTGTTCCTGTCTCCGCCTCCTTGGCTCCCTCCCTGGCCTCCACGGTCCTGGCTCTCCAGCCCTCCCGACTCCTGCAGGCTCATCCATGGGGTGCGGGCCCCTTTCCCGTCTGTGCCTGGGTCACAGCCCACCAGAGAGCTCCCATGTCTAAAGCCAGCAGCAGGAGTTTGGGGCTGCAGGAAGCGCAGCTGTTTTTAGGGATTAGCGAGCATTGCCAGCACCTGCTTGGGTTGTGCTTCCTGGCCATGCCACACCTGGTGGTGGCAGTGGGTGCTGGGGCCTTTCCATGGGCCCCTTTGTTCTATCCCACAGGGCTGTGGGCAGGAGAGTAGCCAGGACGATGCAGTTTGGTGCATTGAAGCTGCCATCAGAGGAGAGCTCCTGATGGAAAGTGCTGGGGATGCCTCGCAGGCTGGCCTCACGGGGCCGCAGCAGGGAGATCATGAGGGAGAAGCTCTCTGTCGTAGTGGGGAGTTCTCTGGTTAGTCTCTTTCCTCCTTTCATGCCCATCCTTTCTCCCTCCCTTCCTTGCTGCCTTCCTTTATTCCACTGAGCTATCCTATCTTACATTATTCATCTACCCATCCATCCATTCATCCATTCATCCATGCATCCATCCATCCATCCATGCATCCATCCATCTATCCATCCATCCATCCATCCATCCATCCATCCATCCATCCATGCATCCACCCACCTATCTGTTCATCCATCCATCCATCCATCCATCCATCCATCCATCCATCCATGCATCCATCCACTTATCTCTTCATCCATCTATCCATGCATCCATCCATCCATGCATCCATCCACCTGTCTGTTCATCCATCCTTCCATGCAACCATCCATCCATGCATCCATCCATCCATGCATCATCCATCCATCCATCCATCCATCCATCCATCCATGCATCCACCCACCTATCTGTTCATCCATCCATCCATCCATACATACATACATACATCCACCTATCTCTTCATCCATCTGTCCATGCATCTATCCATCCATGCATCCTCCATCCATCCACCCATGCATCCACCCATCCATCCATCCATCCATCCATCCATCCATCCATCCATCTGTCTATCCATCCATCCATCCATCTATCCATTCATCCATCCATCTATCCATTCATCCATCCATGCATCCATCCACCTATCTGTTCATCCATCCATCCATCCATCCATCCATCCATCCATCCATCCATCCATCTATCCATCCATCCATGCATCCACCCACCTATCTGTTCATCCATCCATCCATCCATCCATCCATCCACTTATCTCTTCATCCATCTATCCATGCATCCATCCATCCATGCATCCATCCACCTGTCTGTTCATCCATCCTTCCATGCAACCATCCATCCATGCATCCATCCATCCATGCATCCTCCATCCATCCATGCATCATCCATCCATCCATCCATCCGTCCATCCATCCATCCATCCATCCATCCATACATACATACATGCATACATCCACCTATCTCTTCATCCATCTGTCCATGCATCCATCCATCCATGCATCCTCCATCCATCCACCCATGCATCCACCTATCCATCCATCCATCCATCCATCCATCCATCCATCCATCTGTCCATCCATCCATCCATCTATCCATTCATCCATCCATGCATCCATCCACCTATCTGTTCATCCATCCTTTCATGCATCCATCCATCCATGCATCCATCCATCCATGCATCCATCCACCTATCTGTTCATCCATCCTTCCATGCATCCATCCATCCATGCATCCATCCATCCACCTATCTGTTCATCCATCTTTCCATGCACCCATCCATCCATGCATCCATCCACCCATCTGTTCATCCATCCATCCTTGTATCCATCCATCCATGCATCCATCCACCTATCTGTTCATCCATCCATCCATCCATCCATCCATCCATCCATCCATCCATCTTTCCTTCCTTTCGTATCCATCCACCTAGTCATCCTTCTTTTCACCCGTTACCTCTTTCAACAGAACCATGCCCAGTTTAGGGCCTAGCCCACTGGTCACTAGCCCATGTAGGCCATTATGGTCCAGAGTGCTGTGGGCCCTTAGGGAGAACAGGAACTGGAAAGGTCCAGAGGGTGCCCCAATGCAGCTCGGAACCCGGGTGTCTGCCCTGGGAGGACACAGGAAGGACTGGGTCTGGTGTTTTGAGGGTTGACAGGCAGTGAGCCAGGCAGGGGCAGGGCATCCTGGGGTGAGGGCTTCGGGGGAGGAGAGTGGCAGTGTAGGGGGCAAGGGACAGGTGACCTGAGGGACGTTGCCCCATGCTGAGATGTCCTCTGCTTACGGGGAAGGCCAAGCCACGGACGCAGCACCTTGGTCCAAGCACACACCTTAGATCCTGGAGGGTCCTGGATGCATCTGGTCATGGACTCACCTTGCTGCTTGCTGGCACCCTCCCCAGGTGTCATGTCGCATCTGCCCTATGTTTGTGGGTGATTGTGACCCTTTCATGGGTGGGGCAGCATGATCGGGGCAGATCTCTCAGCTCCCTTCCCCGGCGTGACCCTCCGTCTTTCTCTTTGTCAGTTCTGACATTTACTCATTTTTTGTCTACAGAGAGTGGATGAGAGCTCTCTGCCACTGTCCGGGAGGGCTGGGGCTGGGTGAGGTCTGGGGGCTGGGTGAGGTCTGAGGGCTGGCTGGCAGCTAGGAGGAGGGAGACATGACGCTGACGGCCCTGCATTGCTGCTTCCTCCAGCTGAATCTACCACCCTGACTTGTGAGTGTCGAGGGCTTTCTGGGGAGCTGCTGGGACTAGAGAGGCGAGATCAGCAGGTGGGTGGGCCTGGCCTCTCAGCTGGCCCAGGCCCTTCCTCTGCTCAAGCCCCCGGTGAGTGGAGTCCCTGAGCTGGGTGACCATGAGCTTGCCTGCCCGGCATGGTGTGTGTGCAGGGCTGGGAGCTGGGGGTAGAAACTTGAGCTCTGTGCCTTGGTCTGCAGTGGCCTGCAAGGCCTGGTGCCTCCAGGCCCCGACTGCGACTGCACAGCCTGAGCCTGGGACACCATCTGGGGCCTTGCAGGGCTGGGCCACTGCTGGTCACCACACACTGTCCTGGTCAGAGTGACCCCCAGGTGATCTCTGTCCTCTTCACAGAAGGGTCTCCTGGAGAAAGCCCTGGAGCAGACACCAGCCCTGGCTCGCTGCAGCCTTCGAGCCCCACTCTCTCCTCTGGACCTCAGTTTCGCCATCCATCCAATGGTGACCACTCAGTCACTGCCAGATCCTGAGCAGATCCGTCCTGGCCCTGGGGAGTGGACCATCAGGGGGCAGGGCTGGCCAGTGAGCAGAGAGCTGGCGGTGACATGGGCTCAGCACAGAGCACCACGTGGGGCCTGGGAGGAGCCATGAGAGCCGGCAGCCCTGCCTGTCCTCCAGATGAAAGCGAGGCCCGCAGCCTGAGAGGGAGGGAGGAGACGCTAATTACGCCCAGCGCGGGGCTCCCCAGGCAGCCTCAGCCACAGGATCAAACACCGCCTTCCTCAGCCACGCGCCCGGTAGTGCCAAGTCCAATTACAAGTCTAACCAGGGCTGGTGTGGGCCTCATGGAAATTCAGCAATTAGACCCACCTCCAGCAGCTCCTGATGGGCCTGCTGTGTGTGCATGTGTGTGCCCCTGTGCCTGTGTGCAAGTGTGCATGCACATGCCCATGGATGGACACACACAGTGTGTGTGTGTGTGTGTGTGTGAAGGGAAGCAGGGTGAGGGGACTGCTCATTTAGGAGGAGAGGCCAAAGGAGGCCAGGCCCCAGTCAGGCCAGGAGAAGGGGTCCACATGCTTGGGAGATGGTGAGCCAGCAGGGCTGCTGCCTGCTGTACTGGATGGAACACGAGGCCCTTTGCAGGGGAGGAGACTGCAGCTCAGGAACAGAGAAACCCCCTTCCCCAGCTCTAGTGGCTGAGCTGCTGGCTCAGGCCCTTGGGGCTTCCTGGTGGACCCTCAGAAGAGGGGCGCCTGGGTGCTGGCCTTGGGTGCAGTGTCAGCCTGGATCAGGGAGGGAAGATGGCTCTGGGCATGGATGGGGATGGCTGGGCCTGGCAGGGGCTCTTTCATGGGTGCATCCCAGGCTCCCAGCCTGTACCCTATCCTTTCTAGATGGTAGTCTCAGCCCTGCCCAAGCCTGCCCCTGAGATCCATCTTCTCCCAGCCCTGAGACAACCCCTTGTGGGCCTCCGTGTCTGCCCGACTGGCCATATCACAGTGGTAATGAGGGCAGGTAACGAGGGCCCACAGCGTCCTGCGCCATCCACGTGGTACAGCTGGTCTGCCTCCCTGCTGCCTCGGCACCCCGGAAGCCAGGGCGAGCAGCTTGGGTGTCTGTGGGTGTGGGGTTCGGTTAGAGAAGCTCCTAAGTTCTCAGGAGTTCTGCTGGCCACTGTGGCACCTGGGGAGTCCGCAGGACAGCCCAGCCCTCAGCACACAGCCCCAGCCATTTGGGGGGATGCTGTGAGGGTGGACCTTCCCCTCCTTTCCCGCCTGCCCACCCTTCACCTGGCCAGGCCTCCTCCCCATGTGCGATGTCCTCCCAGCAGTCGCCCCTCCTGCTCCTCGGTCCTCACGTCCCCAGGCTCCCCTGCACCCCTGACACCCTCTCCCCTCCCCCTACCTCCGCAGGGAGGAGGTGAGACTCCACTCCAGGGGAGGGGCTCGGACACTGGACCAGATTGAGGACTAGCTAAAACAGGGCCGAGGTGAAAGCAGCTTTCAGTCAGACCTGCCCACCAGTGTGCCATGTCAGTTTACCATTGCCATGGCAACACCCTGGAGTTACCACCCCTTTCCGTGGCAACGACCCAATGACTATTACCCCATCCCTAGAAATTCCTGCACAAACCACCCCTTAATCTGCATGCCATTAAAAATGGGTAAAAACATGACGGCAGAACTGTCCTGAGCTGCTGTTCCCTGCCTATGGGGAAGCCCTGCCCTGCAGGAGCAGTCACGGAGCTGCGACACCACCAGAGCTGGGACACCACCAGAGCTGCGAGACCACCAGAGCTGTGACACCACCAGAGCCGGGACACCACCAGAGCCGGGACACCACCAGAGCCGGGACACCACCAGAGCTCCGAGACCACCAGAGCTGCCACACCACCAGAGCTGTGACACCACCAGAGCCGTGACACCACCAGAGCCGGGACACCACCAGAGCCGGGACACCACCAGAGCCGCGAGACCACCAGAGCCGTGACACCACCAGAGCCGGGACACCACCAGAGCTGGGACACCACCAGAGCTGCGAGACCACCAGAGCTGGGACACCACCAGAGCTGCCACACCACCAGAGCTGCGACAGCACCAGAGCCGGGACACCAGCAGAGCCGGGACACCACCAGAGCCGCAACACCACCAGAGCTGCGACACCAGCAGAGCCGCGACACCAGCAGAGCCGGGACACCACCAGAGCCGTGACACCAGCAGAGCCGGGACACCACCAGAGCTGCGAGACCACCAGGGCCGGGACACCACCAGGGCCGGGACACCACCAGAGCTGCGAGACCACCAGGGCCGGGACACCACCAGAGCCGGGACACCACCAGAGCTGCGAGACCACCAGGGCCGTGACACCACCAGAGCCGGGACACCACCAGAGCTGGGACACCACCAGAGCTGCGAGACCACCAGAGCTGGGACACCACCAGAGCTGCCACACCACCAGAGCTGCGACACCAGCAGAGCCGCGACACCAGCAGAGCCGGGACACCAGCAGAGCCGGGACACCACCAGAGCCGTGACACCAGCAGAGCCGGGACACCACCAGGGCCGGGACACCAGCAGAGCCGGGACACCACCAGAGCCGTGACACCAGCAGAGCCGGGACACCACCAGGGCCGGGACACCACCAGAGCTGCGAGACCACCAGGGCCGGGACACCACCAGAGCCGGGACACCACCAGAGCTGGGACACCACCAGAGCTGCGAGACCACCAGAGCCGTGACACCACCAGAGCCGTGACACCAGCAGAGCTGGGACACCACCAGAGCTGTGAGACCACCAGAGCCGGGACACCACCAGAGCCGGGACACCACCAGAGCTGCGAGACCACCAGAGCCGTGACACCAGCAGAGCCGGGACACCACCAGAGCCGGGACACCACCAGAGCCGGGACACCACCAGAGCTCCGAGACCACCAGAGCTGCCACACCACCAGAGCTGTGACACCACCAGAGCTGTGACACCACCAGAGCCGGGACACCACCAGAGCCGGGACACCACCAGAGCTGCGAGACCACCAGAGCTGGGACACCACCAGAGCTGGGACACCACCAGAGCCGGGACACCACCAGAGCTCCGAGACCACCAGAGCTGCCACACCACCAGAGCTGTGACACCACCAGAGCCGGGACACCACCAGAGCCGGGACACCACCAGAGCCGGGACACCACCAGAGCTGTGACACTGTGGCTTCAGTAAAGCTGTTTCTTCTACCACTGGCTTGCCCTTGCATTCTTTCCTGGGTGAAGCCAAAAACCCAGAGGGCTAAACTCCACTTTCGGGCTCGCCTGCCTGCATCATAACCATCAGGCCTGGAGAGCCGGGTCTCTTGAGAGTAAACTGCCGTGAGATTCTACAGGAACTCTGCCTCTCCTCTGGGCTGAGCTGTTCTGCCTCAGTTTCCTCACTAACAAAATGGGGTGACATCTTGAGGTGGCCCCTCTCGGTGCTGCCAGCCTCTCTGCTCCCCACTCTTTTTGGGCAGCCCTCAAGGCCCTCGTACAGCATCTGGGGGGCGGGTCACACTGCATACGGCAGGGGTGGGGGGGGTCACAGACAGAGGTGCTAAATCGATGCAGGACGTCCGCCCCAAAGACACGCTTGTGCTCCCTTTGGAGAGTCCTGCATCCTTCGCCCTCTGTTCATCTGTCTGTTTGGGTCCTGGGGATGAGTCTAGGTGGCGGCCATCTCCGGATGTCCCCAGGTTGCTCTGTGTGGGGAAGGGTGGGGAGGCTGCTGGGAACTGGACTCTCCTGGAGAGAGGCAGGGCCAGTGGGCTGTGGGTGCTGGGGCTTGGCACGGTGCTCCCCAGCCTGGTGGCCCCCTCTGCAGTGGATGGAGTCGGGATCCTGGGGGCAGTGAGTCTGGGACCCCGTCTTGGGAAGTCAGCCAGCCCCAGGAGCTGATTTGGCCAACCTGGCCTCAATTGAGCACCAAGGGGGCCTGAGGGAGCACCGAGGGGGCCTCCTGGGAGTTTGTCACATGATGGAGGCCTCGAGCCGTGGCCCGGCTCTGTCTGCTCGCGCCCCCTCACCCACGGCTGGCTATTGTGGATGGTGATGTTCCTGTTACAACTGAGGGATCTCCATAGAAACCCAACAAGGTCTAATTAGACACAAGTAAGTGCTTCCCAAATGCATTTTAATTACAGCTCTGCTGAAATGAACGTCAAACTGAGGTTTCAGTTGCTGCGTGTGTGAACCGAATTGGCGCCTTCTCCTTTTCCAGCCATCAGTATGCCTTTTGTGCGATTTTGTGTTAGCACCCAGCAGGATGGGGTGTCAGAGCCTCAGAGTCCCCAGGGAGTGTCCCCGTCCCAGCCCAGAGGGGAAGCGGCACTGGGGCCCAGGGGCAGTGGTGGGGACCCTGGGATGCAGAGGGAAGAACCTGGGGTTCCGGGGGGCAGGGCTGGGGGAGGGATTGAGG
Source organism: Homo sapiens (assembly GCF_000001405.40). Lineage (NCBI taxonomy): Eukaryota > Metazoa > Chordata > Mammalia > Primates > Hominidae > Homo > Homo sapiens. Next base: position 104,210,740 of record NC_000014.9, read on the forward strand.
GAGTGCCCGGCATTGCTGCTGGCACCAGGGGGGTGTCTGTGCATGAGGAGGGGCTGAGAAGAGTCAGCTGGTCCTTGCAGAAGGGGGCCCCTGGGAGGGGCCCACCCAGACAGGCCAGGTGCCAAGTAGCATGGGGAGTCCTTGTGGCGTGGGTCTTGGGGGGCGAGGCCTGGGCCACATTGCTGGGTGGGCCTTCAGCAGGGAGGAGCTCAGGGGGTCTCCTGAGGGGATTTCCTTCCTCCCTTACAAGAGACCTGGGGCCAGGGTATGACTGGCCACCCAAATTCGCACCCAGGGTCCCTTCAGCGCGGGCTGGGCGGGCAGCCGAGAGCTGGGCTCAATCTCTCCGTCACACCTGCCTCTCAGACGCGCATCATGGGATTCTGATCCCCACCAGAAGCTCAGAATGTGACAAATGAGCAGAAAGAAGATCCCGGGGTGTTGAAGGCAGAATTTATTGTGGAGAAATTGCTCTGCAACTCTACTATTGTAGGCTTTAGAAATAGACTTTTCAGTACATAAATCCCGTGGCTCCAGCCTCACAGATAAGCCCGGCCCATCCGTCTGGAAGAATTCACAGATGACAAATGGAGGGTGGTGGCTGGTGTGCATTTGTGCCGTAGGCGGGAGCTCAGGACAGGCCGAGAGCCCACAGCCCCACCTACGGTCTCAAGCCAGCTGGGTCTTCCACTCGCTGCCCAGCAGCACCTGAGCCCATCCAGCGCTCTGCTGCTTCTAAGGAAATGGACATCTGGGGTCAGCCCAGGCCTCACCAGGGAGGAGGCAGAGCCCAGGGAGGAGGAAGGATGCAAAGCAGGAGGAAGAGGCCGGATGCGGTGGCTCACGCCTGTAATCCCAGCACTGTGGGAGGCCGAGGTGGGTGGATCACCTGAGGTCAGGAGTTCAAGAGCAGCCTGGCCAACATGGAGAAACCCTGTCTCTACTATGTCTCTACTAAAAATAGAAAAATTAGCCAGGCGTGGTGGTGGATGCCTGTAATCCCAGCTACTCTGGAGGCTGAGGCAGGAGAATTGCTTGAACCAGGAGACAGAGCAGAGGTTGTGGTGAGCCAAGCTCCTGCCACTGCACTCCAGCCTGGGCCACAAGAGCAAGACTCCATCTCAAAAATCAAACAAACAAAACAAAACAAAATCATAAAAACCCAAGGTGGGAGGAAGAGCCGGCTGGCCGGGGTGGCCCTGGAGGCTGAGCCGGAGCCGCACTGCTCTCGCAGGTGACTAGTTCTGTGATCGTGGGCGGGATATTTTGCTTCTCTTTGCCCTGGTTTCTTCATCTGTAAAGGGGCTGCATCTCTCCCTGTCCAAGTTCAACGTTAGGTAGCGTTCTCCTAGAAGTGCACCCTGGGACCAGGATTCAAGGGCAAGCAGTTAATTTGGAGGGTGATTTGGGGTCACCGGCAGATAGAAGGGTGCAGGATGTGGAAGGGGCCAGCGATGATGGGGGCTTAGCCAGCAGGTCCCTGGGCAGGCAATAGCGCAGCCCCTTTGGGGGCCTCTGGGAGAGACCGAGAAACATGGCGGAGTCGTCCCACCCGAGGGAGGGAGTGAGTGACATCCTTTATCCCTGCCCTCATGGGCTGGGGGCTGCCCCTGGAGGGCGAGTGCCTGAGGCAGGGCAAGGTCATCACAGCACATGGGAAAGGCAGGGCTGAGAGATTAGCATCGGCACCACCTGTGTTGGCCACTGAAGCTGCTCCACACCACGGCGGCTGGAGAGCGCAGGTCCATGCACCCTGGGGTACCTGAGGGCAGGCCTGGCACACACAGCCCCTGGCACAGCGGGCGCTCCCCCAGCCAGCCAGACCCAGCTGGGACAGATCTAGGCCCTCAGGTTTCCAGGCCTCACCTGTGGCCAGACGTTTAGCTCAGGCTCAGGGTGGCCCTGGGACTGGGCTGAGAAGGGAATGGTGAGAGGTAGGACTGGAGGCCCAGAGAGGACCCGGGGTGGGGACGGCGCAGCTGTGTGCATGCAGCTGTGTGTTGTGAGAGGTAGGGTTGGAGACCGAGAGAGGACCCAGGAGTGGGGATGGCACAGCTGCGTGTTCAGGGCAGCAAGGTGGCTGCAGGGACGCGGCCCCATCCACAGGCGGCCAAGGGGATGCTTCTCATGAAGTTCCAAGGTGGGCAAAAGGCATGAGGCTGGAACCCCTCCCAGGGAACCCCCTCCAGAGGCCCAGGCAGGTGAGGAGATGGCACCCCATGCCGGCACCTAGGCTCCCAGGGCCACCCCATCCCGCCCGCCTGGCTCTGCTCTGGGCCAGCTCGGGTTGGGCACAGAATGGGAGGCCCCGGTGTTCTGAGAGATTCGACTCTGTTTCTATGAATATTGTCATCAGCACCATGCTGCCAAGGGTAGGCGGAGTCCCCAGATGGCCCCACAGTCTCCATCATGAACTCCTGAAGGGATGCTCTGCTCTGTGGGACAAGGACATTTGCAGATGTGGTAAAGGGAGATGGTCTGGGCGGCCCGACCTCGTCACACCAGCCTGTTGAAGCCAGTGTTTTCTCTGGCTGGTGGGAGAGCAGAAGTCAGAGATTTGAAGCAGAAGGATTCCAGGTACCATTGCTGGCTGCAGTTGTGTGTGTAGGGGGATGCGACAGGCAGTCCCCAGCTGCTGAGCCCCTAATAGCCAGTGAGAAAGCAGGACCTCCCCGATCCCCCCGCAGCTCAAGAAACGGAACTCTACCAATCACCTGGAGGATCCTGGATCAAGTGGAGCCCCATGGAGCCTCCGGTGAGAACTCACCGCAGCTGACACCCGATTCTGGGCTACGCAGAGAACCCGGCCGTGCGGGAAGTCCGGCCTGCAGGTGGGGAGCTCATCCATGCCCTGGTTTAAGACGCTAAGTGTATGGCTTAAGACGCTAAGTGTATGACAGTTGTCACACAGCACAGGAAATGAATACATGTCCCCGATGTGTTTTTCTGGAAAACACGCCTTGCATTTGGCGTCCTGTGGCCGCTGCAACCAGTGATCGCAAACGATGAGCAGGGGGCATCCTCTCAACGCCCCAGGGTCCAGAGGTCTGAAATCCGTGTCCCTGGGCCACAGCCAAGGTGCCTGCAGGCATTGCCCCCTCTGGGTGCTGCTGCCGGGACCCTTCCCTGCCTCTCCCGGCCCGTGGTGGCCCCAGGCGTCCTTGGCGTGTGGCCCCATCCCCCCATCTCTGCCTCTGTCTTCTCACAGCCTCCTCCTCTATGTGCATGAAACCTCCCTCTGCCTCCTTTGCATACGATACACACAGTTGCGTTTCGGGTTCACCAGGATCACCCAGGCTAATCCAGAATAACCGCCCCATCCCAGGATCCTTAGCATTATGCAAACCCTCTTTACCAAATAAGGCCACACTCACAGGTCCTAAGGATAAGATCTGGTACCTTTGGGATTACCATTCAGCCTCAAAAATGATGGAATTCCTGCTGGGTGCAGTGGCTTATGCCTGTCATCCCATCACTTTGGGAGGCCAATGTGGGTGGACCACCTAAGGTTAGAAGTTTAAGACCAGCCTGGCCAACATGGTGAAATCCCGTCTCTACTAAAAACACAAAAATTAGCTGGGCGTGATAGCGGGTACCTATAGTCCCAGCTACTAGGGAGGCTGAGGCAGGAGAATCACTTGAACCTGAGAGGCAGAGGTTGCAGTGAGCTGAGATTGTGCCACTGCACTCCTGCCTGGGCAACAAAGTGACACTCCATCTCAAAAAAAAAAAAAAGAAAAAATGGAATTCCTTCAATGATTTTCTTTGCAGAATAGTTAAATCTCTTCTAGTTTTCTTTTTAAACATTCACTTCCCGCCACAGCCTTCCTCAAGTATGATTTTCCCAGCATGCTCTGCAGTGAGTGATTGGTGGACACGCCCGCCCATTCTGCAGGAGCTAGACTTTCGCCTGTGAACCTGAACCGCTCAAGAAGACACCCGTCAGGTTGTATTCAGGAGCAGCTTTTTCCAGGAAAGTTTCCATTGCTGTCAGTTTTATTTTGTGTTAATTATTTCCACCATAAGAGTCACTGTGATTGGGATGAAGGCTGGGCGTGTGGTTCTTAGTTCTGGCACAGAGACATAGATGCTGCCTGGGTCAGCTGGGTGAGTAGGGAGGTGAGTGTGTAGGGAGGTGAGTGTGCAGGGAGGTGAGTGTGTAGGAAGGTCAGTGTGTAGGGAGGTGTGTGTGTAGGGAGGTCAGCATGTAGGGAGGTGAGTGTGTGGGGAGGTGTGTGTAGGGAGATGAGTGTGTAGGGAGGTGAGTGTGTAGGAAGGTCAGTGTGTAGGGAGGTGAGTGTGTAGGAAGGTCAGCATGTAGGGAGGTGATTGTGTAGGGAGGTGAGTGTGTGGGGAGGTGAGTGTGTAGGGAGGTGTGTAGGGAGGTGAGTGTGTAGGGAGGTGTGTGTGTAGGAGGTGTTTTGGGAGTTGTGTGTGTGGGGAGGTGAGTGTGTAGGGAGGTGAGTGTGTAGGGAGGTGAGTGTGTAGGGGAGGTTAGTGTATAGGGAGGTGAGTGTGTAGGGGAGGTGAGTGTGTAGGGGAGGTCAGTGTATAGGGAGGTCAGTGTGTAGGGAAGTGAGTGTGTAGGGGGGTGTGTGGGGAGATGAATGTGTAGGGAGGTGAGTGTGTAGGGGAGGTTAGTGTATAGGGAGGTCAGTGTGTAGGGAGGTGAGTGTGTAGGGAGGTCAGTGTGTAGGGAAGTGTGTAGGGGGTGAGTGTGTGGGGAGATGAATGTGTGGGAGGTGAGTGTGTAGGGAGGTGAGTGTGTGGGGAGATGAATGTGTGGGGAGGTGAGTGTAGGGAGGTGAGCGTGTAGGGGGTGAGTGTGTGGGGGGATGAATGTGTGGGGAGGTGAGTGTGTAGGGAGGCGAGTGTGTAGGGAGGTGAGTGTGTAGGGAAGTGTGTGGGGAGATGAATGTGTGGGGAGGTGAGTGTGTAGGGAGGTGAGTGTGTAGGGAGGTGAGTGTGTGGGAAGGTTAATGTGGAGCGGAAGTTAGTGGGAATTGCTGTGTTTTATGCCCCTCACACCTCATGCCTGCCTGCTGTCTGCCTCTTAACACCTTCGAATGAACTGGAAAGAATGGCTGGCAAGGCCTGCAGGACACTGACCCTACCGGCCACATGCTCCGGTGCACAGTGGATGGCGGGTATGGCAGATGGTGGGCGGTCCTCTTGGTAGCCCCTGCTCTCCTACCTCCTCATGTGGCTCCAGCCCCTCCCCAGCAAGTCCCCCAACCCCTCCGACTGTGGGTATCATAGGAAGGGGCCGTGCTGGGCTGAGGATCTGCTGGGTCTGTAATGACTTGGGAGAGACACTGACATCAGCTGGCAGGACCCAAGTCCACAGGCCAGGAGGGGTGAGAGGGGGGCATGGGTCATCCACAGATGCTGCAGGCCGTCACACAGGCACTGGAGCCTCAGGTCGGGGTGGACACGAAGGGCTTCCGTGGACTCAAGTCGCTGCCCCTTGGGGTGCCTGGGGCTCGGAGCCCTGCCGTGAGCACGCACACTATGCCCCAGTGAATTTCTGATTGCAAAAGACATCGGGCATCGGGCGGGGGCACTCGGCTCCCATCTGCAGCCGCCCCTTTTGTCAGGGGCGATCAGGGAGGGGCTGGGCTTTCCTTCCCCCAGGACTTGGAAGAAAGACGGAGCTTTAGTCCTTTCAGCCACAAAATCCCCCTCCTCAACAGATGTGGAGGAGAGGAAAATGCTAGTAGCCCTGGGGAGTTGGCAGGGGTGGAGAGGACACGGGGGAGCGGGCCTTTCCCAGGTCACCTCACCCTGGCTGGAGGCAGCTTCTCGCTTTAGAGCCTCCCTCGTGTGGGGCAGTCGTGGCCCACGAGCCAATTCCCCCGGCTGCCCTCTCCCCGCTTAACTACTCTCTGGCTCTGGAGGACCCCGGGAGGTGCGGGATGCCCACTGGGGACAACTGTACATGGAAGGTGACAGATTCCACCCCAAGGCCTCTCCCAGTCTAGGCTGCCCCCATCACAACAGCGGCCCCAGCCGGGCAGTGTCTGCATCCCGGCCTCTTCCTAAGCCTTTTACAAACATCAACTCTTTTGAGCCTCGTTGAGAAATAGATACTAATATTATCCCCATTTTGTATTAGAGAAACAGGCACGGGAGACTGAATAGCTCAGTATCTTGACTAAATATCTGAAGCTTCTGGAAGCTGGGATTTGAGCAAAGACTTGAGGCTGCAGAGCCGCTCCCTGCCTGGCATGTGCGGCACCGGCACGGTGAGGTGGCCCTGGTCCGGGTGGCACTGCAGCAGCGTGGTGAGGTGGCCCTGGTCCGGGTGGCACTGCAGCAGCGTGGTGAGGTGGCCCTGGTCCGGGTGGCACTGCAGCAGCGTGGTGAGGTGGCCCTGGTCCGGGTGGCACTGCAGCAGCGTGGTGAGGTGGCCCTGGTCCGGGTGGCACTGCAGCAGCGTGGTGAGGTGGCCCTGGTCCGGGTGGCACTGCAGCAGCGTGGTGAGGTGGCCCTGGTCCGGGTGGCACTGCAGCAGCGTGGTGAGGTGGCCCTGGTCCGGGTGGCACTGCAGCAGCGTGGTGAGGTGGCCCTGGTCCGGGTGGCACTGCAGCAGCGTGGTGAGGTGGCCCTGGTCCGGGTGGCACTGCAGCAGTGTGGTGAGGTGGCCCTGGTCCGGGTGGCACTGCAGCAGTGTGGTGAGGTGATTCCGGTCCGGGTGGCACTGCAGCAGTGTGGTGAGGTGGCCCTGGTCCGGGTGGCACTGCAGCAGCGTGGTGAGGTGGCCCTGGTCCGGGTGGCACTGCAGCAGTGTGGTGAGGTGGCCCTGGTCCGGGTGGCACTGCAGCAGTGTGGTGAGGTGATTCCGGTCCGGGTGGCACTGCAGCAGTGTGGTGAGGTGATTCCGGTCCGGGTGGCACTGCAGCAGTGTGGCGAGGTGGCCCTGGTCCGGGTGGCACTGTGCTGGCACAGTGAGGCAGCCCTCGTCCAGGTGGTTGCAGGCTGCCCGCCCCAAGGTGGACGAGGGAATGTGACAGGAGCTGCCCAGGGCTCCCAGTGCCCCCAGGCTGTGTATACAGTGACCTCACTGGTCTGAGGCATCATCCAGGCCGGGGTTGCATATTATTTGCATATTATTTGCATCTCCGTTGGTTTCTTGGGGAAGCCAAGTCTGCTGCTGGTCTGGTGCCTGCACCTCATGACAGGTTGGGTCTGGAACCCAGGCCTTTGGCTCCAAGTTCTCTGTGATCTGCCAGGATGTGGGTGGCACTGAGCGGTCCCTGGGGAGGGAGTCAGGAGGCAGGAGCAGAAGCCAGACCAGGTACAGATGAGGCAGAGACAGTCCCCTCTGTGGGGCTGGGGTGAGCAGCTGACAGAGGTGTCTGCTGGCCTGAACTCTCATCCTCCAGACTGGGTGAGGGAGTGGAGAGTGCTCTCGGGGCCCACTGAGGACGACAGCCTGAACTCCCAGCCCTGGGCCCCCTGAAGTGAAGTGGCGGCTGGTATGCTCCCATGTCGGGGGCTCTTCCCAAGTAGGGAGTGGTCATGAAGGGGCCCCCCTGGGTCCTGGGGGCTGTGGATGGACAGACCAGAGCCCACATGGTGGCAGCGGTGATGATTTTGCTCAGCCGTTCCTCCTCACCTTGGGCTCTCTTGGGGGATTAGCCTCGTAAACAAGCAGTTCTCACCCTCTCAGGGCTCAGGGCCCTTCCCTGTCGTTCCTGATTTCCGCTCAGCCCCGGGGAGGCCTGTCTGGGCCAGTGGCAGGTCCCCTGGAGCCCGCGCCTTGGAGGGCAGTGCAGAGGCCTGGACTGCGCCTGTGGGGAGGGGAGTGCAGGGAACCGCGCCTTCGGCTGAGGGTTGGAGGCCCCGCGTTGTCCTGCTGGCTGGGGGACCTGGGGCACGTCCTGGCTCCTCCCTGGGCCTCAGTTTTCACATTTTGTTCAATGCAGGGCTGGGTGGTGAAGTCCTGGCTGAGGGAATGTGACAGGTGCCTACCCGGGCCCCTCATCTCCCAGGACTTGGGGGACTGAGGAGCAAGCATCCTCCGTGTAGACACGTGAGGCCAGGAGACACCCGCAAGGTCAGGTCTGGAATATGGAGGTTTCTGGATGACCAAGCAGCTGCTTCTTAAAAACTCTACTTTTGAAAGGGACTGCTTTGCATCAGAATCTCTCCAGAGTGAAGGGTGGACCCGCTGGTTTCTGAAGCCGCTGCAGACGTGGGTTTGCAGATTGGCCCAATCTCAGCCCCGCTGGTGAGTTGGGGCTAACAGGGCCTGGTACAGGCTGCAAGGCTAATTTAGGATCCAATGAGATGAGACGTGTAGGGTGCCCAGTGCCACCTGTGAGGCATTGCTGTTGGGAGAGCAGAATGTTCTGGAGCCATTAGGCTCCACCAGGCAGGGAGGACACCTCCTGGAAGCCTCTGACCTGCCTCATGGGTCCAGCCTGGTCTTTCACAGCTGGAAGCAGGGGCTGGCTGTGCCTTTTCACTGAAAAGGGCGGCATTTTTGTTCTTTCTTGAAAATATAAGCATTACTGTTCTTTAAAGTAGATGTAGAATTCAGGTCTTCGAGATTTTTTACAGAGGGATTTTCATAATATACATGTGACCACCAATTCTTAAACATTTACTATGCAAACTGTTTTAAAGTTAAAAAAAAAAAAAAAAAGCAAATGGTTCTGTTAAAAAAAAAAAAAGGTACCAAAAACCCGTAAGCAGCAAAGCTGGAATTCGGGCCCAGGTGTGTGGGACACTGCCTCTCTGTCTGCTCCGGTCCTTCCATGAGTCCCTGCTGAGCTGGCACCAAGAGTCCCTTCCCAGCCCCCCAACCCCCCAGGCCCCCAGCCCCTCACTGTCCTCTGGCCTCTCATTATCTCAGTTCCGCACATGGAAAATCAATAAATAGTTTGCATAGTGTTCTCCCCTCCTGCCTTTTATCAATATTTAATGACAGGCTGCGGGATGCTTTTGGTGTGCATCCTTCTGGGGCCCCTCCTAATGGGATAGCGACAGAGGTCTCTGCAGGTGCCCGGGCTCACAGATCGCCTCCTGGATGAGGCCCGGGTGGCCGCGATTGGCTGCGCGGGCAGCAGGCTTGGAGTCGGGGGAACTCGGTGATGAATTTTAACAACCTGGGAAGACTCTGGCACCGGCCGCTGTGCAATTAGCGGCCTGCGGATGTCAGGGTGGGTTCCAGATGGGAGGCGCGGGGGAGGGGGCTCCTCTTTGCCAGCTTGGCTGGGAGGGTGCACGTGGGGTAGGCTGGAGTCAGACATGGTGCGGGGCGGGGGGCTCTTCCCAGCCGTGTGTCCTCTCTCACAGACTCAGAGGGAGGTGGTATTTAATTTGGCTCAGCAGCTGCCCAGAAACCCTGACCCCTTCAGGGCTGCACATCCTATGTGAAGCGGGGTCCACCCGGCCCCCTCCCCCAATGACGTAGAAGCTGATCATCCCCTTTCAGAGTTCAAGCCTCTCTGAGAGAAGCTGACCCTGATCCGCATCCATTAGGGCGGTGGCTTTGGGCTGAAGTCCACATTGGCTGGTAACAGGGTCAGTAAATAAGGCGGCTCGGTGACAGTTCCGGAGGTACAGATGAATACATAACGTCAGCTTCCTGCCTGTCCCCATAACCAGGAGGGGTGGCAAGGCTAGCCGTGTGTGGGGGGCTCACTCAATGCTGCTGTGAGTCTCTGGGTCTGGATTCCACATCTATACGTATTTCGCCCCCGCCCCGCAGGAGGCCCAGCCTGCGGCGGTGGCTGCTTCCCCGAGACTTGAGCACGAGTGTGTGTGGGGCCAACACTGGCCAGGAAGGAGGTGGCTACTGAACTGATGACAGCTGGTCCCTCTGATATACGGAGGCTCTGGGCTTGGGGATTATTCCGCCTGTGGATTTATCGCCCTTCCGGAAGGCAGCCCAATGGGCCTGTGGGCTTGGCCTCAAGGAATGTTTGGCTTTGGGGTGAGAGGGCTTGGAGGGGGATGGGCTTGCTCCTTTGGGGGCCAGGCTCATTCCCTCGGAAGCAGGACAGCCCCGAGGCCTCCCCAGGGTCCTCTTCTGGGACAAGCTCCCTTTGTCTTTGAGGACATGGGAAGACCCCGAGAGGGAGCTGTCGTGGGCCGCCGACAAAAGCCCACTTTACACTCACCAGCTTGGCGGGAGCTCTGCGTGTGGTCCAAAGCCGTGTCCCCTCTGTGGCGGGCGGCATGGCGGGGGCAGCTGGGGCCCCTCTATCCTCCCGCGGCTGCACGTGCTTCCCTGCGAAAAGCAGGGTGAAGCGACGTCTCGGGGCCAGGACCCTGCTCTGTAGCGGGGCGGGGGGTCCTCCAGAGGGAGAGGAGGAAGGAAAGGGCGTTGGGCTGAGGGGATTGGAATCTGGGGTCACAGGGCTCTGCCAGGGCTCCTTTGCCAGCCACCTGCCCCGGCTGGGAACTCAGCCACCCTGTGTCTCTGTTCCCATCTGTATCTGGGGACTGCAGAAACTGCCTCCTAGGAAGTCAGGAACATGGGGCACACTGGGGGCCCTTTGAGTTCCCCTCTGCCCTGCTGGCTCTCGGCCCATCCTGACTCTCCCCACCGGAGCTCCTGGAGCCGACCCTGCATGGGCCCCACCCAACTCTCTCAGGCTCGGACCTGCTGGTGACTCTCCACGCTCAGGACCCACTGTCTCCGCAGGCCATCTGTGTACCCTGCATCCGCACAGGTGCCCTCCCCAGGTCCCCAGAACTCCTGCCTCTCAGGCCGGGCTGCCCCAGGGAAGGGAGCACAGCCAGGAACCCGGTCTGCAAATGAAACGCTGGTCAGAGCCTCCCCACCAGGCCACGTGGTGGGTGGCATGCAGGCTCCCTGGGCTCTTAGGCACCCCCGGTGGCATTGACAGCTGGGGAGAGAGGTGGTCTCAAGGACTATGGAGTCCTTCCTGAAAGTCTCTGCTCCTACGCAGCGGAAACGAGTGAGACTGGGAGTCAGCCCATGGCGAGGAGCTGGGGTGGGGGAACATGGGGACCCGAGACCCAGGCAAAGGCCACCAGTGCTCCCCAGGCGTGTAGCCTGAGCCTTTGGCCCCCAGAAGGGGGTGCGGTGGGGGCACCCCCTGGGCAAACCTGCAGCATAGAACAGCACAGAGGGCCGGGGCCCGGGTAGGTGGATGTGGAGAGGTGTTCCGGAGGGTCTCGGATGCTATGAAGAGATGAGAGGTGTTCAGACGCCATGAAGAGGGGGGATGCCGCCCTGTGGGTGGAGGGTGGTCTGGAAGGCCCCAGGCTGAGGGGCAGCCCTGGTGGGTGTGGGCTGGGGAAGCCTCCGGGCAGTGGCTGGCCTGGTGCCCTTGAGCTGCTCTACCCCTCATGGTACCAGGACCCTTGGCGCCCAGATGTGCTGGGAGCCTGCACCCTGCGGAGGGGGGCCAGGCCCCTCCTCCCCGCTTTGTCCTCTGCAGCCACCTTGGGCCGCCACCCTCTGACCTGCTGGGGGGTTGTCTCTGTGCGTCATCTGGGTGGCCTGAGCCCGGCTCTGATGACTTCACATGGAGCCACCTGCCAACAGAGACGCTGGCAAAGCAGCTGCTCTGGGACCTGACAGAAAAGATAAAAATGATGGAATGTTTGTTCTCTGACATGGAAAACCAGGCTCCCACATTTAGGGCAATTGGAGAAAGATCTTCCTGCTCACCTCGGAGCACAGGTGAAAGACCTGCTCTCTTGCACACCTGCTGCTCCCTGGGCCAGGCACAGCCGCCTCCCGTCTTCTGATGGTGCTGTGGCTGTGGCCTGGCTCTGCCTGCATGGAGCGTTGTGCCAGTTAGGGGGTCTCTATGGTGTCAGGGAGCTTCGGGCTCCCCTGGGCTCTGTGCACAGGCCTCTTGGTGGGGCTGGCAGGACAAAAGGAGAGGAAGAAATCGAAGTTAGTCTCAAACTGCTAGACCACAGATCCCATGGGCGGGTCATTCAATGTGGTGGGGGACAGTAGGTGGTGTGACCAAGGCCATCACACAGGGGCACCTGAGGGTGGGAACATGCGGCCAGCCTGTCCCTCAGGCCTGCCTGGGGTCCTCAACCCAGCATGGGTCAGGGAGTGCTGGCCTGCAGCCCAAGAGACGGGGACTCCACTCCTGGCCTTCTGCGTCTTTGCTTGGAAGGCTCTTATGGCTTTGTGGCCCATCCCCAAGTGCCAGCTCCTTGGGTACAGCCTCCTGTGTCAGGGTCAGTGCGGGGTCATGGCACAGGGCTGCCCTGAAGGGTGCAGAGGAGACCAAAGCCACAAGCTAGGTCTCTTGAGGGCAGCTGCCTCTCGGACCCTTCAAAATGGGTTGGGCCCTGACCCTGGTCTCGGACCAACCCTGCCCCTCCCTGCTGAGGTATAGATGGAGCTGTCAGGGACTTGGAGGCCAGCGTCTTCTCCCCCACTCCCCACTGTTGGAGGCCCCCAGCAGACTCCCTCAGTTTTCTTGCTAAGGCCTCTGCCACGCGGGGTGGTGGCTGTGCACCCTACGGCACGTGCCCTGTACAAGCCCCTCTGGGCCCCTGCTGTGGCCTTCACCGTTGGCCAAGTTCCCGCTCTGGGTCACTCTGCTGATGGCTGAGGGGGCAGGGTGTGAGGGCGTGGTCCACTCCCAGACTCCTACTCTCCCCAAAGCCCCTCCCCGACCCTGCCCTCCCGCCTCTGCAGGCAGCCTGCCGCCCCCGCCCCCACCCCAGCTGCCTCCTCCTTTCTCTGACAACCTCCTGCCTGGGGTGTCCTGGAACTGCGCCAGGGGGACCAGGTGACCTTGGACACGGCGTAGCTGCCTGGGCCACCCCCTTTCCTTGGTAATTTGCGCAGACTCCGGAGGGAGCATGAGCAGCTGAGTGCTGGGGGAGGGGCTTTCCTCTTCCTGTCTGTCATGTCCAGCCTGTGAAGAGCACGCTGGCTGAGCTGGCGAGAGGGGTGGGGGCGTCCTGGGGCTGCTTCTGCTCTGATGAAGGCACCCACTGTCACTGTCCCGGCCCTCGCTGAGTGTTCCCGGACCCGTGGGCCCGCGTCTGTGCCAGGCCTTGGGGAGCTCCAGCCTCGGAGCCTCTTCCCGTTCTCAGACCTCAGTGCGAGGAGGAAATCGGGTGAGTTGAGGTTAATGTTTCCATTAAACCTGGATGGATTTTCCCTGCGTGGAAGGAGCTGTTACGCGCCAGGGCTCTGAGCAGCATGGACGGGGCCCCAGCGCAGCCACGCTCCCGAACGAATGCCCTCCTGGGAGGGCCCGGCTGCCTGCCTGCCCCCTGTGCCTCTGCCGCCAGGCCTCGCCCTCCCTCCTCTCCTCTCTTGTGAATAAAGGGCCTCAACCCCACCTACCCGGTGTGCTGAGGGTCCTGCTATACTTAAACTGTAGTTAAAGCAAAAACAAACAAACAAAAACAAAAAAAACATGCAAAACCCCTGTGGCAACAGCTTGTCCCGTGGATATCATCTCCACTAATCCATGTCTCCTGCTCGGGGTCCTGCGGTTTCCAGGCCTGTATCTGCGGGTACTTATTTTCCATTTCCTCCCGAGAGTTTAGCCTGCTAATGAGATTTTGGTGTCTGGTATCTTGGCACATGTCTCCAAAGAGATTTATGGGGCTTCCCTCTCCTGGCCCCTCACTTGTCCTTGGCAGGAAGCTCAAGGGGTTCGATGTAATCTGCTCCAGGGCCCTGGGGAGGGGGCAGAATGTGCTGGAAGGCAGATCTGGGTGGGGTCTGCGGCCAGAAGCTGGATGTCTGCTCTGGAGGAGCCAGGCTGGTGGCGTGTAGTCTGTGGTGGCCCTGGGATAACCAGAGAGGGGTGTGGGTGGGGGGTCCCCTAGACCACCGGCCACCTCGGAGCCAGTCTACAGACTTGGTGTCTCCGCCAGCGCCAGTGATCTGAGCCGAGCGCCCCCTGCTGGTGTTTGGGCTTCCCAGTCCCACTTCACAGTGGGGGCTCCCGGCTCAGACCCACCCATCCATGCCACAGCACTCAGCCTCTGCTCAGGGGCTGGATCTGGCCGGGACCTTGGGTGCTCGGGGGCCCCATGCTCTCCAGGGACAGGGACCTTCGGCTCCACCTGCTGCCTCAGGTGGTCTCATCCATGTGGCTTCAGCCCATTTTCCAGGCAGGGGACAGAGCAGCAGTGACCACAGGGCTGTACAGACACCTGGGGCAGAAGGAGCTGTGGGCCCCTGCCTGGTCCAGAGGTTTCCAGGCCGCAAGCCTGTCCCTGGCTGCTGAACGCCGGCTGGGCTCGGCCTGGGTGGAGGAGAGGCCACAAGGCTTGGGTCAGGGAGGGCCTGACCTTGCTGTGACCTTGGGCACGTCTCCCTACTCTCAACAGAGTGGGGCTAAGAGCAGTGCTGTCGTTGGTGGGATGGAGGGAAGATGCCTCCCAGGGGGCGTTGCTGACCCATGGTGGGTAGATGCCCACCATCACCCCAGCTGCATTTCCTCCTGGGATCTGGAGACTGCTCAGAGTGAAGGTGGGTGTGACTCCCCGGGGCTGCTCGGAGTGAAGGTGGGTGTGGCTCCCTGGGGCTGCTCTGAGTGAAGGCAGGTGTGGCTCCCTGGGGCTGCTCTGAGTGAAGGCAGGTGTGGCTCCCTGGGGCAGCTCAGAGTGAAGGCGGTTGTGACTCCCCGGGGCTGCTCGGAGTGAAGGCGGTTGTGACTCCCGGGGGCAGCTCAGAGTGAAGGTGGGTGTGGCTCCCTGGGGCTGCTCTGAGTGAAAGCAGGTGTGGCTCCCTGGGGCTGCTCGGAGTGAAGGCAGGTGTGGCTCCCCGGGGCTGCTCTGAGTGAAGGCAGGTGTGACTCCCCGGGGCTGCTCTGAGTGAAGGCAGGTGTGGCTCCCTGGGGCTGCTCTGAGTGAAGGCAGGTGTGGCTCCCTGGGGCAGCTCAGAGTGAAGGCGGTTGTGACTCCCCGGGGCTGCTCGGAGTGAAGGCGGTTGTGACTCCCGGGGGCAGCTCAGAGTGAAGGCGGGTGTGGCTCCCTGGGGCTGCTCTGAGTGAAAGCAGGTGTGGCTCCCTGGGGCTGCTCGGAGTGAAGGCAGGTGTGGCTCCCCGGGGCTGCTCGGAGTGAAGGCAGGTGTGACTCCCCGGGGCAGCTCAGAGTGAAGGCAGGTGTGGCTCCCTGGGGCTGCTCTGAGTGAAGGCAGGTGTGGCTCCCGCGGGCTGCTCAGAGTGAAGGTGGGTGTGGCTCCCAGGGGCAGCTCAGAGTGAAGGCAGGTGTGGCTCCCGAGGGCTGCTCAGAGTGAAGGCGGGTGTGGCTCCCGCGGGCTGCTCAGAGTGAAGGTGGGTGTGGCTCCCAGGGGCAGCTCAGAGTGAAGGCAGGTGTGGCTCCCGCGGGCTGCTTAGAGTGAAGGCAGGTGTGGCTCCCTGGGGCTGCTCTGAGTGAAGGCAGGTGTGGCTCCCGGGGCTGCTCTGAGTGAAGGTGGGTGTGACTTGCTTCAGATCTCATTGACGTGGATCTTGGGCAAGTGGTTTTCACTCTCTGGAGCCAGTTTTCTTACCTGGGAATTGGGTTAAATCCCGGTGGCCTTGGGCTGTGGTGGAAGTTAGACAGGACAGCCACATGCCACACACCTGACAGCCTGACAGATGTGTCACTGATGGTCACTGGTGGGTTATGTGGGGCTACTCCTCTGCCTCTGACTCTAGGATCCCATTAGTTGTTTACCAAAGTAGCATGTCCACCAGGGTCCTTCTGGGTATACGGCTTGCTTCCAACTCTCTCACTGATATTTTAGGTCCGCTAACACTTGGAGAAATCTTTTGGTGTGAATTATTCTCAGCAGCTGCAGGGCACCCTGGTTCACTTTCCCGTTTCTCAAGCTCCAATGGTGCCCGACACTGTTTCCTGGGGAGGAAGCTGATGTGCCTTTAGGTGGACGCCTGTGTGAGGCTAGCCCGGGCCGAGCTGGAGCTACCAGCCTTCTGCGGGCATGCATGCCTGGCCTGCCTCAGCAAACACACGATAAATCCATTTCCCCAGGCCGCCTGCTCCCACTTCCCAGATAGCCGGGCTCATACTCACATTTATGTTTCATTTTGTCTGGCTAATATTGTCTTAGATAAATTAGGGGGAGCAGATTAGTGTTTGATTTAGTGGTAGGAACTCCGATGAGCCTAACGTTTCGTTTTAGTGGTGCCGGGGATGGGATGAGGGTCCCTGGTTCCTCATAGCCCTTGTGGTGGTGGCTCCTGAACCAGGAGGGGTCATTTGCATGGGCCCAGGCTCTCAGTGCAGACCCAGCAGGTCTCTCTGGCCGCTGGGACAGTGGTCAGATGAGGTGGCCCCTGTGGGGCCTGGGGGCACAGAGGTGCCACAGTGAGCCAGCCTGGCCCCTTGCTAGCAATAGGCTTGTGCTAGAAGAAAGACAGAACTGACCTGCAGGTGTCAGCAGCTGAGCCTCCTTGTCCTCCCTCCTCTGCACGCTTTCCTGTGCCTGTGTTATTAAGGGGGCCAGGCCAGGAAGTGCTAAATTAGTTATGAGATGCAGGGCTCCAGGGATTCAATGGGGTTGTGTCCTCGCTTCCTGTGCATTTCCTGTGTGCTGGGCATGGCCCAGAGAGACTCACAGACAGAGGCCTGCCCTGGAGACTCCCAGGCTGCAGTGGCCAGAGAAGGATCCCAGGGGTCTTATGCTTGTGCAACTTTGGGGGGTCTTCTTTAAGAAAGAAAATTTAAAAGTAGAAATATCTAATTGGTTCTAGGCCTTGCAAGAACCCGTGTCAGTGGGGGCTTTGCGGCTGAGCTTTCATTAGGGGCTGAATGAATTGCCCCATGTAGGGCCGTCAGCCTGATGAGACCATCACTGTCTCCAGGGATGGGGACTCACAGGTTAACAGTGACAGAAACTCTCACAGTAGCTGGGGCTGAAGGATTTGCTGGATGAGACCTGGGCATCCTGTGGAATCTAAGGATGGTTGAATCCCCAGGATGGGAGGCAGCTGGGATTTAGGGGCCACCAGGGCCAAGGCCCAGAGGTCTCCTTCCCAGGTCAGGCCTCAGCTCTCTCACTGGTTTGTTCCACGTGTGGCAAATGTGTGGCTGGAGGCTCCCCAATTTTGCACCTTACACCTCTGGCCACCAGAGATAAATTGACTTTTGTTTCCTAGTTCAAGTTCCAGTAACCCTGGAAAAGTGCTCTGATTGGCCCAGCCTGAATCAGGTGGCTCCCTTAGGATCACTCAGCTGGGGCCAGGGCAGTGGGGTCACAGTGCACTAACCTAGCAGGTTTGCAATAGCTGTGGGGTGGAGAACAGGAAGTAGTTCCTGGAAAGGGGTAAGTCATACTGATCTCCTTTCTGACTAAGCCAAGGCTACTGTGGGGGCTCAGAGGAAGGTGTGACTTAACTCTGCTTTGAGAACAATGGACAGTTTCGTAGAGGTTGGGCCATTTGGGCTGAGTCTTGCAGTATCAATAGGAATTCACTAGGCAGAGCTGGAGACTAAGGTGACTCTAGGGGGAGGCATGGAGAGGTAGAATTGCTTGGGAAGAGTAACTTGTTCAAGGTGATTGGAGCGTAGACTTTGGTGGTGGCAGGAGGGTGGAGTGAATGGGCAGGAAGCTGGGTACGAGGTGGAAAGGCCTTGGACTTGACTCTAGAAATACTAGGAAGCCACCAGAGGGCTTGAGCAGAGGTGACGTGACCAGATCCTTCCTGTGTTCCTGTGAGGATGGGTAGACAGGGCCCCCTGGGAGCTCACAGAGGTGGAGTACTTTGCCCAAGGTGGCGAGAGGGGACGCCCGCAGCCTGGGTCCCAGTGCAGCCCTTGTTCCCATGGGTCCAGATTCCTGAGCCTCACCCACCCCTCCCTCACCACTGCCACCTGGCCAGTAGCCACAGGTGGCTTCCAGAGCACTCTCTTACCGTCCCCCAGGGTTTTCTGGGTACTGACCTTCTCTCTCTCACTTGGGATACCCACCCCTATCAGGGAAATCAGGGGAGGCACTATTGTCTCCTTTACAGAGGAGTAAACTGAGGCTGGGTTAACATTACTTGTTCAAGTCACTCAGCTAAGACGGGCAGTGCTGGGATTTGAACCCAGCTCTGCCTGGCTTCTGAGCCTGAGCTGACTTCAGTGCCCGGCCCCCAGATCTGCACACCAGTGTGCCCCAACTGCCTGGTGAGTGGCCAGGCCAGAGGGAAGCAGGGAGCAGGGTGGGCCCAAGGCGAGGCTCAGCGAGAAGGCAGGAGCAGTAGCCGTGGGGCAGCACTTGGGGTATGTGGGCCATGGGGAAATGGGCACCAGGGGTAGAGCCCCTTTGGGGGGCTGTGGAGGGGGAGCAGCGGGGAGTGCAAGGGGATGTGACACAAGCCCCTTCTGAGGGAGGACTTGGTGGCCGGTTGCTCTTGAGTGGTGCCTGCCTCAAGGCCTGGGCTGTGTCCTGCCCTCCTGCTGCCCCGGCCACCTCTGACAGACCCTGCTAACTGTGGTCAGCCTGGCAGGGCTGGCATGGCAGAGCAGGCCTGTGGTGCCACCCTGACCTGGCCACTGTGGTCCTTATCCTGGGTCAGGAGCCGTCCCCGCCCCAGGCCCATGTTTTCCATCTGCCGGGGACCCTGCCCAGGAGGGGCACATGTAATGCTAGCCTCGTTGTGCAGGGCGGCTCCTGGCTGAGGCCTTGACTGAACTTGCATCTACATTTAGACTGAAATGCACCGAGAGGCTGGGCCTGCTGTGTCCCAGGGGCTGCGGACGGGGTGTCCATCCTGCCTGGGTAGGATGCATCTGCAGGGTGCCTCCCACCACACGCTAAAGTGGGGTCATCACCCCTGGGTGGCCTGGGTCACCAAGATGCTACCCCACCCAGCCTGATGGGATGCCTGAGCTCCAAGCCTGCCCCCTCACAGGGGAGATGATGGCCCCACGAAGGCCCCCCTGGGTGCTTGTGGTGGCCGCTCACTCAGTCTCTCTCTCTCCAAAGCGGCCTGCCCGTCCGCGAAGTCACTTAGCTGGGATCTAATCGGGTTTCACAGGGGCATAAATTACTTGGCTAGAGGTTGTTCCCGGGTGTTTCCACCCCGGGCCTGTTATTTACACACCGTGCGGTAATGTAGTCACGGCCTTGGGTGCGCAGTATTTATGGTGTTTGATCGGCTTCCAGCCCAGGCCGCCTGTCCAGGAACATTTGTTGAGATGTTGTGCAGAGCCGCTGGGGACCTCTGCCACAGGCGGGCATCAATCTACCTGGAGCTCCTGCGGCAGCCCTGCAGAGCCTCAAAAGGGCAGGGCGGGCCTGTGGTGCCACCCTGAGCTGGTCACTGTCTGCAGATGGCAGCTCTAGGAGTGATGGCTGAGGACGAACAAGGGTGCGAACTGTCACTGACATTTCCGTGGGGCGTGGACGTGACACATCCCGAATGCCATACCTGGCTGTGGACAGTCGCACCGTTAAAGGCAGCAGCGCTAACTGCCGTTCACGGAGCACCCACTGTCTGCTAAGCTCAGTGGAAGATCCTTTGTTTTATTCTCTCCGTGAGTGCTTGTCGCAGCCCTGCAAGGTAGGTGTCCCTGATGGGAAACTGAGGCTCAGTCACTGCAGGTGACTTCCCAAAGGAACACAGCCTGGGAGCTCCATGTGGCAGCTTCCTCTGGCTCTTACAAGGGGAAGGATGAGCTCCCGTTGGTTGCTGGGGTCCCGCCCCTTTGCCTTCATGTCTGTGATGGTGGAAATGCTTCATAAGGAGTGTAAAGTGGTTTTTGTTCCCGACCCAGAGAGATCTGGTCACGGTAATTCTGTATCTGCTTGCCTATATTTATCCCCCAAGTCCGGCTGGTGACAGGGAAGCAGATGATCAGTGCCAGGCCTGATAAATTGGACCCAGGGCTGAGGCGGGAGAGAAACCCTGTTTTATTGTTGAAGACAAAGCCGTCGGGCAGGAGGCATATGTTGTGTTGGAGCCCTCGCTGCGACGGAGGCCCTGGGCCTCAGAGCAATCAGGGCTTTCACGAGCACCCCCCACCCACTACCTACGTGGGAGGCAAGGACCCCCATTAGCCCGGCTGGCTGTGGGGGAGGGGCTGACAGAATGTCAGTGGGGTGGAGGGGAGAGGAGGTGATCAATGAGGACTTATTGACTTGCATCTTTCCCCACGACTTGATTAAGACCACTATGGAGATGAGGCCTGAGGAGGGGGCTAGGGCCAGAGCCCCGGGCCAGTGTGGCTTAGGGGATCTTTTATGTTTGGAGGGCAGGAAGGGAACAGAGAGCTGCCGGCTTTGTCAGATGCCTGAAGAGTATTGATCCATATTAGAAATGATAATGAGCCAATTCTGCTGGGCTGGGAGGCCTTAACCATTTCATTGCTTACAAGGCTGTCCTGGTGGGGATGTTGGAGGAGGCTCAGCCTCTAGCTGCTCCTCACCATGTTTCTCCTCGCTCAGGTCTGCAGCTTCCCAGGCCACGACCTGAGTCCACTGATGGTCCTGGAGGTCTGGCCAGAGGGGCAAGGGCAGCAAAGGAGAGGAGCACAGGACTGGGAGCTGGAGCCTGGTTCTGGGATTGGCTAGACCCTGCGGGGTTTGCCAAGCACCTGGTGGGTGCCTGACATTCTGTGCATCTCCTCGGGCACCTCTAAGGTGGTCAGGATGACCCTTACTGCTATAATGACAGATGAGATGAAGGCATGGAGGCTCATAGTTGCCAAGAGGCCAGGCCTCTGCCTGCCCCTCCAGCACTCTGGGACGTGATGCTGCCCCTCAGACCTGCCACTTGCTGATGGAGCTTTGACTTTTGTTGAGTCATTTACCCCATCTGGGACCCACTTTCCTCATCTGTAAAATGACAACCACAGCAGGCTTGCTGAGATAATTCAGAGAACAATGACAAGGGCTCATACAGTCCAGCCCTGCACCAGCACTTGGTGGTGGGGCCTGGCCTGAGCCTAAAGCTTGACTCTAGCTCTGTGTCCACTTTAGTGAACATTTAAAGTTGAGGAGTCTGAGTTTGCTCCTCCATGGAGGGAGGACATGCCATTCATCTTTCTAAATGGTTGTGAGAATCAAATGAGTCTATGCATGGGGAGTACCTAACATGTAGTTGGTGGTTAACAGAAGATGGCTGTCATCATTGTCATTGTCACCATCACCATAATCATCATATCACCATCACAACACCCTCACCACCATCATCATTACCATCATGATCATCACTGTCACATCATCACCATCATTACCATCATCATTACCATCACCATAACACTCCATCAACATCACCACCATCATCACCATCGCCATTACACTCCATCATCAACATCACCACCATCACCATCACCACCACCATCATCACCATCACCATTACACTCCATCAACATCATCAACACCATCATCATCACCATGACCATCACCCCATCATCATCATCACCATCATCACCGTCACCGTCATCATCACCATCACCATTACACTCCGTCATCACCACCACCATCATCATCACCATCACCATTACACTCCATCATCACCACCATCATTACCATCACCATCATCACCATCATCATCATAATCAATATTATCACCATCACATCACTCTCACCACCATCATCACCATTACCATCATCACCACCATCACCATCATCATCACTATTGCATCATCGTCACCACCACCATCCTTACCATTACACACCACCATGAGCATATCACCACCATCATTACCATCATCTTCATCACCATTATCATCACCATCACATCATCATCATTATAGCTATACCATCACTGTCATCAGCATTACTATCACATCATCATCACCATCATTGCCATCATCATCACCATCATCATTGCCATCATTATCATCACCATCATCACCATCACTATCATATCACCATCATTATAATCACTATCACTGTCATCATCATCGTTATCACCATCACATCATTACCATCACATCACCATCATCACCATCATCATCATGGTCATTGTCATCATTATTATCATCCCTGTCATTGTCATCATCTCTTCATTATCATCAACTTGGCAGAGATTGTGGTTTTGTTCCCATCCCAGAGAGATCTGAAGATGCTAATTCCATCCTTGCCTCTATTTATCCCCCAAGTCCGGCCTGCAAGGGAGGCTGCTAATCTGGCTGCTGAGTATGCCAGATCCATGGGATCCAGGGATCAAGTGGCTCAACCCCCTGGGATCCATGCACTGGCATTTGTCTGTGGAGTCCAGTGGTAGGTCTTCCCACTACCAGGACACCAGGCTGGGTAGGCAGGCAGCATGGGGAAAGCTTGAGGGTCAAGGCTGTGAAGCTGTGGTGACTGATGTGGGGTCTGCTGATGGGGAGGGGGTGCTTGTGCAGGTGGTATGGGGCTTACTCTACTGCTGCTCCCCAGGAGTAGGAGGAGGGGCTCCAGCTTAGGATGACATATTTGGCTGCTTTCTACACAAAGAAGATGCCTTTGTTCAAGCTCAGGCTGGTGCTGGAGAGAGCATCATCCTGACCTGGGCACAGCTAGGGAACATCTCTTCTGGGGTATCATCTTATGAACCATTAGAGGCTTTGGCTTGGGCAGAACTGGGTTTTAGTTCCATCCTGACCCTGACTTGCTGATATGGTTTGGCTGTGTCCCCACCCAAGTCTCATCTTGAATTGTAGTTCCCATAATCCCCACACGGGAGGTAATTGAATCATAGGGGTGATGATTTTATAAGGGTCTTCCCCCCTTTTCTTGGCTCTCATTATCTCTCCTGCTGCCCTATGAAGAGGTGCCTTTTGCCATAATTATAAGTTTCCTGAGGGCTCCCCAGCCCTGCAGAACTGTGAGTCCATTAAACCTCTTTCTTTTATAAGTTACCCAGTCTTGGGCAGTTCTTTATAGCAGTATGAGAATGGACTAATACAATAAATTTGTAGCAAGAGTGGGGTGCTGCTATAAAGATATCCAAAAATGTGGTAACAGGCAGAACTGGGTAACAGGCAGAGGTTGGAACAGTTTGGAGGTCTCAGAAGAAGACAGGAAGATGTGGGAAAGTTTAGAACTTCCTAGAGACTTGTTGAATGGCTTTGACCAAGTTGCTAATAGTGATATGGACAATAAAGTCCAGATGATGGTCTCAGATGGAGACGAGAAACTTGTTGGTAACTGGAGTAAAAGTCACTCTTGCTATGTTTTAGCAAAGAAACTGGAAGCTTTTTGCTCCTGCCCTAGAGATCTGTGGAACTTTGAACTTGAGAGAGATGATTTAGGGTATCTGACAGAAGAAATTTCTAAGCAACAAAGCATTCGAGAGGTGACAGAGCATAAAAGTTTGGAAAATTTGCAGCCTGATGATGCAGCAGAAAAGAAAAACCCATGTTCTGGGGAGAAATTCAAGCTGCAGAAATTTACATAAGTAATGAGGAGCCAAATGTTAATCACAAAGACAATGGGGAAAATGTCTCCAGGTCATGTCAGAAGTCTTCACAGCAGCCCCTCCCATCACAGGCCTGGAGGCTTTGGAGGAAAAAATGGTCTTTTTGGCCAGGTGCAGGGCCTTGCTGCTTCATGTAGTTTTGGGACTTGATGCCCTGCATTCCAGCCATGGCTAAAAGGGGACAACATACAGCTCAGGCTGTTGCTTCAGAGGGTGCAAGCTCCAAGCCTTGGCAGCTTCCGTGTGGTGTTGAGCCTGCAGGTGCACAAAAGTCAATAATTGAGGTTTGGGAACCTCTGCCTAGATTTCAGAGGATGTATGGAAATGCCTGAATGTCCAGACATAAGTCTGTTGCAGGGGTGGAGCCCTTGCAGAGAACCTCTGCTAGGGCAGTGTGGAAGGGAAATGTGGGGTTGGAGCCCTCACACAGAGTCCCCACTGGGGCACTGCCCAGTGGAGCTGTGAGAAGAGGACCACTGTCCTCCAGACCCCAGAATGGTAGATCCACCAACAGCTCAGCTTGCACTGTGCCTGGAAAAGCTGCACAGCCCATGAAAGCAGCCAGTATGGGGGCTGTACCCTGCAAAGCAGCAGAGGTGGAGCTGCTCAAGGCTGTGGGAGCCCACTTCTTGCATCAGCGTGACCTGGATGTGAGACGTAGAGTCAAAGGAGACTGTTTTGGAACTTTAAGATTTAATGACTGCCCTATTGGATTTCAGACTTCATGGGGCCTGTAGTCCCTTCCTTTTGGCCAATTTCTCCCATTTGGAATGGGTGTATTTACCCAATGCCTGTAGCCCCATTGTATTTAGGAAGTAACTAACTTGCTTTTCATTTTACAGGCTAACAGGTAGAAGGGACTTGCCTTGTCTCAGATGAGACTTTGGACTTGGACTTTTGGGTTAATGCTGGAATGAGCTAAGACTTTGGGGGACTGTTGAGAAGGCATGATTGCTTTTTAAATGTGAGGACATGAGTTTTGGAAGGGGCCAGGGCAGAATGATATGGTTTGGCTGTGTCCCCACCCAAATCTCACCTTGAATTATATTTCCCATAATCCCCACATGTTGTGAGAAGGACCTGGTGGGAGGTAATTGAATCATGGGGGTGATGGTTTTATAAGGGGAT
Organism: Homo sapiens; assembly: GCF_000001405.40. Classification (NCBI taxonomy): domain Eukaryota; kingdom Metazoa; phylum Chordata; class Mammalia; order Primates; family Hominidae; genus Homo; species Homo sapiens. The sequence goes on from NC_000014.9 coordinate 104,235,189, forward strand.
TTTCCCCCCTTTGCTCAGCATTCATTCTCTCTCCTTCCACCCTGTGAAGAGGTGCCTTCCACCATGATTGTAAATTTCCTGAGGCCTCCCCAGCCCTGTGGAACTGCAAGTCAATTAAACCTCTATAAATTACCCAGTCTTGGGTATTTCTTAATAGCAACGTGAGAGTGGACTAATACACTTGCCCTCACTCCACATCTTGCCATTCAGCAAGTCCCTAGGATGTCGACACAGCACTGCACCTTCTCTGTTGCAGGGCCTGCCCTCCCTTCCTGCCTGCCTGCCTGCCTGCCTGCCTGCCTGCCTGCCTTCCTTCCTTCCTTCCTTCCTTCCTTCCTTCCTTCCTTCCTTCCTTCCTTCCTTCCTTCCTTCCTTCTTTCCTCTTTCTGTGTTAGGTTTGCAGCTCCTGTTAGCCCTTAAGTGGAGACATTGAATGGAAGGTGGATTTCTCAAGTCTGAAGCTCAGGGAGAGGCCCTTGCTAGAGGTGTGTACTTTTAGAGTCCTCAGTATGCAGCTGAAGTTTGAGCCACAGTCTTGGTGAGACCTCAAGGGAGGATGTAGACAGACAGGCGAGGAAGCCAAGTCTAGGAGCTGGAAGGAGATGAGAGGGCAACAAAAGGCCTCAGAAAGAGTGGCTGCTGAGGTGGGGGTGAGCCAGGTGAGTGTGGGGGACACCTGCAGGAGGTGGTGCTGCAAGGAGAAGAGACCACCCACGTCACAGGCTACCCATGTCACAGGCTGTGAGAGATCAGGAGGGTGGGGCCTAAGACTGCTGGCTGGCTTGGTGGCCCTCACTGATGTGAGCCACTGGGGTCTTGGTGACCAGTGGGGTGGGGCAGGGAGGAAACAGGCTGGTGACAGTGGCTGAAGGACATGGGAGGAGTAGCTGGGACTGCGATGATGGACCATTCTTTCCAGAAGAAGAGCAAAGAAATGCGGGTAGTAGCTGAAGAGAGATGTGGGTGAGGAAGAATAGCATAAAGAAACAACTGGACATCAATAGTGGGAACAAGTAGAGGGGGAGAAACTGAAGTGCAGGAGAGGGAGGCTAATTGCTGGAGGAATAAGTGGGTTTTCCCTTCTCTTGTTTCTTCTCAAAATGTTCTTTTCACTCTTGGTTTTCAGTCTTTTGACTATAATGAGCTCAGTTGTGTGTGTGTGTGTGTGTGTGTGTGTGTGTGTTTATATATTCATTCTTTTTGGGGTTTGCTGATATTCTAGGATCTGTAACTGACATTTTCTTCAATACTTTGAAAAATACTTGGCCATCATATCTCTGAATATTTTTTTCTGCTCTTTTACATTCTCTTTTCTTTTTTGATTCCGCTAACACATATCCCAGGCCATCTGAGACCACTGAGGCACTGTTCTGAAGTGTAGGTTTTGTAATTATTCAGATACAACAAGGGCAATAGACCAGGGGATGACCGCCATTGAAATGGTTTGTTACTCACAGCTCCCAAGAGGAGGGGTCATGCCACACCATGCAGGGCCACACAGGGCAGCACCAGGAGTGGCCAAGGGGGAAGAAGGAGTGACGGAAAAGCACGGGAAGGTCCGGCCAGGCAAGCAGGCTGACGATTGGCTCATTTCAGTCATTTTGGTGGGCTCTGGGGTACAGGTGCTGTCTCTAGTGGTCTGGTACCTGCCCTGGGGTAATCAGGGTGGGACTTGTGGCCACCCTGCTGAGTGTGAAAGCCCATAGAGGAGGTGGCATGGGTGCAGGTTCTGGATTAGCTGGTTTGCGTATGGAAGTTGTGCCCCAGTGTTTACACTCTCTAGGAACTGACTAGGCCTGGGAGGTGGCGGAGAGCAGTTTCTCCAGGGTCAGCAGGGTCCTGGGTGTCAAAAAGATATGTTTAACACACTTATTTTTCATGTTCTAGAAATCTTCAATCTCTTTGTTCTTCAGATGACATAGAAATTTCTGTCTTTAAGCTTGCTGACTCTCCTATCTCCAATCTGTTGTTAAACCTATCCAGTGTTTTAAAAAAAATTCAGCTATTATATTTTTCAGCTCTGGAATTACCCTTTAAACCTGGGACGTATTTATAATTGCTGACATAAAGCAATTTTTCTGTTTCTTTGTTTGGCTAGTCATTTTTTATTGTAAATTAGACATTGTAAATGGTACCTTGTGGAAACTCTGGATTCTGTTATCTTCCTCTGAGAAGTGCTGATTTTTGTCCCAGTAGCCTGTGCAGATCTCGATTTTATGCTTTGTTGAAACAGGTCCTGGAGGCCCATGGCGTTTACCCAGCCTCTACCTTGGTGACGCAAAGTCCCCACACTCTGTCTCCCCTGTGGACCTGGGGGCTCAGTGTTGGCGTTTTGAGGATGTGTCTGGAGCAGGGCTCTGAGCATGGTTGTGTCTCAGCTGCCTGCTCCACCTGCCAAGCTCGCCTCCTGACTTGGGTTGGTCCTGAGCCCCACCACCTTCCAGTGCTGCTAACTGCTACGCTCTCTGTCCTGCCTTTGCCCTGGAGAAGGGCACTTGGTCCTGCCCTCTGAATGCAAGGCCCCACCAGGGACCGTGAACCCTACACTCCCCTCCGGACCCTCTCTCTGGAATCCTGCCCCCCACAGTCCTGTCCCCTCAGTGCCTGAGCTCTGGTTTCTGCCTCCTGGGCTCAGCTTGCTGCCACACCCTGCCTGGGCTCCACTCCTGCATGAGTGGTGGGGAAATTGTCCTGGGTGGAGGGCTGGGCCAACGTGGCGCTCATCTCACAGGCTTTCCTTTTCTCCAGGATCACAGTCACATGCTGCCTGCACCAACACCCGAAGACCATCACCTAGTATATTCCCCCAGCGCTGGGGTTGCTTATGGTGGGAGGAAATGCACGGGCGGCAGAGGGCAAGGGCGTGGTCATTCTGATAGACCACGGGTGCCGAGGTGGGCACAGGAGGAAGGGCGGGCAGGAGAGGAAGTGTAAAGTGTCACTGGCTCAATGAGGACACGCGGTCCTGGTCGGGAGGAAGGCTGGGGGCTGGAAGTTGCGGAGGGTGGGAGTGCGGAGCATGGCAGGGCAGCGGCCGTGGAGCGGATGCTGGAGGTGGGTTTGTGGGTGATGACAGCCCAGGCTGCAGCCTCAGGAGGAGAGGACGGTCACTGGGTCAGGGGGCAGATGGACTGGCCGTCCCATGATGCTCAGAGGCTGTGAGTACGTTGGCTGGCTGGGGTTGCCATAGCCAGTACCACAGACCGGTGGGGCAAAAGCAGAAATGAACTTTCTCACGATGTTGGAGGCCGGAACTCTGAGGCCCTGGAATTGCAGGGCTGGTTTCCTCTCTGGCCCCGTCCTGGGCTTACAGATGCCACCTCCTCCCTGTTCCTCCGGGTGGTGTGCCTATGTCCTAATCTACTATCAGGACACCCCTCGGATGCAAACAGGGCCACCCTCATGACCTCCCTTTAATGGAATCAGCTCTTTAAAGAGCCTATCCCCAAATACAGTCCCATTCTGAGGTCCTGGAGTTTAGGGCTCTGATATCTGAATTTTGGGAGGTGGATACCATCCTGTCCCTCCCAGCGAGTGGCCCAAAGCTGAAGCCATTGATGAGTGACTGACAAGCAGCAGCCATGGCGGAGGGACCAATCCTGAGCTGGAGTTGGGGCTGTGGGGGCCTGAAGGACTGTAGGGGTTCTGGGGAGAGCCAGATGTCAGCTGTAGCGAGAAGAGAAAGACTGCCAGACGTGCGGCTGAGGAGGAGCCAGGCTACGCCTGCCCTCAGGCCCCCGAGAGTGTGGAGGCCCCTGGCCATGCACCGGAGGAGCCTCTGATGGATGCTTCATAAGAGTGGTGCCCACACTGCAGCCACCTCCGCTGCCAGGGACCCCTCCGGTGAACACGTTGGCTCCTCCTCAGGGAAGGGGCAAGTTTCGTGGCTTGACCGGAGGGCCCTAGGTGAGCAGTGCCGCGTTGTCTTTGGAGGAGGTTTCTCCTTTGGCCTCGGTTTGTCCTCTGTGTCATGGGGGTGATTGTCCCTGAACTTTCTGGCTGCTCAGGGCTGGATTTAGGCTCTGGGGAGGCCATGGGGGTGTTTCTTGAAGACCGAAGCCATGCTCGAGGCTGTGACTCCTGCGAGACAGGGCCTGAGGGGAAGCCCCGGGGTGAGTGGGTCTGTTTGAGGCTGGCTGGGTGTATGGGCCACTGTCTCAATCCCTTTGGCTCAAGCTGGTGATCATGAAGTGACCTCCCATGCCTAACTTATTTTGGATGGGTCTGAAGGCCACAGCACAAGCATCAGGGTGCTGGAGGCACTGCCAGGAGGGGTGGGAGAACAAGGCTGCCCTGGGAGTCCTGGAGAGGGGCCCCAAACATGGGTGGAGGTGGCCTCTGGGCTGGCCCTGAAGGCTGCAGGGGTGGGGGTGTAGTTGGCCTATGCCCTGTGGGGGAGGGAGCTGGTGAGTCCTGGGCCAGGGCAGGGCAGGGGGCAGAGCTATGAGAAAGGACGGCAGAAGGGGTGTGAAGAGAAAGTGAGGGGCTCAGGTGCCAAGGCCTTGGAGGTGGTGGGGCTGGGGGCAGGCGCTGCAGTTCTCAGCATGAGACGGGGGGCAGCAAGGACCCCACCTGCGCTGGCAGGCCCTGCTGCCCCTCTAGCCAGGAGGAGAATGCTTTTTCATAGGGGGAGGAAGGAGAAAAATGACTTCGGGCTCCTGGCAACTTCAGCAATCAGCTCCTTGTCAAGCAAATAAAATGCTTTTGAATGTCCAGATTAATGATTGATCAGCACAACGCGAGCCTGTTGGAAGCTTCCAGTTGGCCCACGTGGGGGTCCCCGCTGCAGGCGCTGGTAAAGTGACACCCCGTTAGTCACTTCTCTGCGTGTGCTTGGGAGAAGCCCACACACACATGCTGGTGCCTGACGTGGGGTTATTTCTGTGCTGAGGAGGCAGGAAACGGCAGAGGAGGCAGCTTCCAGGGCAGGGAGCACTGGGGCGGCCTGGCCCAGGAGGGTGCTTCATGGCCATGGGACAAGGCCCACACCAGGCCCTGGTGACGCTGGGCGAGAGCCTCTGTGTGGGCGAGGAGGCTGGGGCTGGCCGGTCCACTCGCCCAGAAATGCCAGAGGTGCCCAATGCCATGCGGCCTGGGGGATGCTTGGACCCGGAGTGATGACAGTGGCTGGTCATTTGCACCTTGAATTAAGCAGAATAAATCAAATAAGAGAACAAAGCCGATTCTTGTTTTGATGCTTATTTTATTTTTGAATGCAACACCCATATAGAAAAGGACATGCATCATAAATGTACAACAGGATGTGTAACTTCAGAGCCCGCATCTGTGTGACTGCCATCCAGATCACCCGGTAGAGTTCCCCAGCCTCATTCCCCTCCCCCTGCACCCTTCCAGCAGAGCCCCTGCACCTGCGGTCACTCTTGCCTCCTCCTTATATGGGCAACACTTCTGTCCTAGCAACCCTAAACAAGCTGGTGTGGCTTTCCCCGTCGGGGCCAGGGTGGGGGTTTATGTAAATAGAATAAAGCTAGGTGATTGCTTTGTTCCTTGTTTCTTTCACCTGCTGTTTTGTCTGATGTGCAGCCAACCTTGATAACATTGCATCTTCCTGTATAGGGGTGTGAAATAATCTCAGTGTGTTGAGTTCTTGGTTTCTCTAGCTATAGTCCGTTGGCTTCCATGGCTCCACCATGTTCCATCATGCGAACATACAACAGGCTTCTCATCCATTCTGCTGTTGATGAACACTTGGGTGGTATCTGAATTGGCTGAGTGGCCCATGCTACTGTGAACACTCTCGCCCATGTGCCCACTTGTCCTAGGGTCCCTCCCCAGGAGTGGAATTGCCAGGTCATGAGATGTGCGCCTCTTCAACCCTTTTAGATAATGCCAATCTGTTATTGTTTCTAATTAATAGACTATTTTTTTAGTCTGGACGCGGTGGCTCACGCCTGTAATCTCAGCACTTTGAGACACCAAGCTGGGCAGATCACCTGGGGTCAGGAGTTCAAGACCAGCCTGGCCAACATGGCGAAACCCAATCTCTACTAAAAACAAAACAAAAATTAGCTGGGCATAGTGGCACATGCCTGTAATCCCAGCTACTTGGGAGGCTGAGGCAGGAGAATAGCTTGAACCTGGGAGGTGGAGGTTGCAGTGAGCCAAGATTGCGCCACTGCACTCCAGCCTGGGTGACAGAGTGAGACTCCATCTCAAAAAAAAAAAAAAAAAAAAAAGAAAAGAAAAAAAGACTATTTTTTGAGCAGTTATAGGTTTACAAAAAAAAAAAAAATTCTTCCTTGAGGGTATCCGGGCAGCTCTAGGCTCTTTATGCTACTATTCACATTATACAGTCAGTTTGTTAAGCTTCCCATAGACACAGAACCAAGTGCTGTTGGGGTTTTGGGTGGAATATTATTGAACCAAAGCAATTCAGGAAGAACTGGCATCTTCACAGGTTGTATCTTCCAATACAGGAGCATGTTTTATCTTGTTATTTGGTGTTCCTTATTTCTGTCAATACAATTTTTAGTCTCAGATAAATTTGTTAGATATATTCCTAGATGCCCAATATTCTTTGATGCTTTTAAATTACATTTTTTTACTTGTTTGTTGATGTAGAAATACAATTTGAATTTGTTTTTCCTGTTTTTGTTTGTTTGTTTGGTTGGTTTTGTCTCCTGTTGCATTTTGGACACTGTCTTTAGATTGGTTTTCTAGTTTATTCATCTTTCTTTAGCTGTATAAAATCTGCTGTTAAAACTTATGCATTGGCCGGGCATGGTGGCTCACACCTGTAATCCCAGCACTTTGGGAGGCTGAGGCGGGCGGATCATGAGGTCAGGAGATCAAGACCATCCTGGCCAACACGGTGAAACCCCGTCTCTACTAAAAAAAAAAAAAAAAAAAAAAAAAAAAAAAAATTAGCCGGGCGTGGTGGCGGGTGCCTGTAGTCCCAGCTACTCGGGAGGCTGAGGCAGGAGAATGGCGCGAACCCGGGAGGCGGAGCTTGCAGTGAGCTGAGATCGCGCCACTGCACTCCAGCTTGGGCGACAGAGCCAGACTCTGTCTCAAACAACAACAACAACAAAAAAAAAAACAACTTAGGCATTGAGTTCTAATTTTTGGTTAATTTTCAGTTTTAAATATTTTTATTTGGTTCTTTTCCAAATCTTCTCTGACATGTTTTATAGTTTTCAGTCTCCTGTGATATGTTTGAATTTTTGAATCTTTTAAACTTAGCAAGCATCGTTATTTGATGTGATCTGATCTTCTGCTTATAATTCCAAAACCTGAAGTCTTTGTGCATCTGTTTCTATTGTCTTTTGTTTTTGCTGGCTCTTGATTGTGAATTTAATTTCATTTTGTGTGTGGTTATCTTTGTGTGCTAGAGATTGTATTGAAAAATTGCTTGTAAGAATAATTTGAGCCTTAGGATGATAGTTCCTCTCCTTTCCTCTCCTCTCCTCTCCTCTCCTCTCCTGTCCCCTCCTCTCCTCTCCTCTCCTCTCCTCCCCTCTCCTCTTCTGTCCCCTCCCCTCCTCTCCTCTCCTCTCCCCTCCTCTCCTCTCCCCTCCCCTCCCCTCCCCTCTGCTCCCCTCCCCTCCCCTCCCCTCCCCTCTTCTTTTCTTTTCTTTTCTTGATGAGTTTCACTTTGTTGCCCAGGCTGGAGTGTAGTGGTGTGAGCTCAGCTAACTGTAACCTCCACCTCCCGGGTTCAAGCGATTCTCCTGCCTCAGCCTCCTGAGTAGCTGGGATTACAGGCATGTGCCACCATACCCGGCTAATTTTTGTATTTTTAGTAGAGGCAGAGTTTCACCATGTTGGCCAGGCTGGTCTCCAACTCCTGACCTCAAGTATACCAAAGTCCTGGGATTACAGGCATGAGCCACGGCACCTGGCCAATAGTACCTTTCTTTAAGGATGGTGTTGGTTTGCTTTTTGCAGGTGCCTAGTGGGGCACTACCTGTCTGGAAGTATTTTACACGAAGTTTAAGCCTTGAGATTTCCTGGAGCAGGACCTCTGAAGTCACCATCACAAATGGCAGGCCCACACAAGGACTGATTTACTTCTGACTCACCCATGGCCTTCAGGCTTAGAGTTGGGGCCTTGTCGGATTCCTCTCTCTTACCAACTCTGGGCTTTGACTCTGTTGTCCCTAATGCCATGCTGATAAATAATTAATAACTGGCTCTTCATAAAAAAAAACAGTTTTGATCTGTAGCACCTGCCAATTCCCATGGTGTAAACACTCCTGCCATGGCTGACTTCAAGTTACCAACACAACATCACTGAGTGTGGGATTGGAAAAAGATGCCCATGGCTGGCTCTTAAGAGTCCTCTGAGCCTTGCTGGTTCTCCCTCACCTGCCATTGAGGGGGCTGATGGGTGCAACAGTCATTCCTGAGGCTGCAAAGTTCTTTAAAGCAGAAGCAGCTGACTCTTGCTTATGTTTTGCAGTACTTGCTGGGCTCTCAACTCCTCCAAGGTTTTGGCCTGGTAGTGCATTCTTTGCTACCTGATTTGCTCTTTTCTGCTTTAAAGAAGATTGGAAAAAAATTTTTTTTTTGAGACAGGGTCTCACTCTGTCACCTAGGCTGATCGTGGCTCACTGCATCCTCCACCTCTCAGGCTCAAGGGATCCTCCTACCTCAGCCCCCCAAGTAGCTAAGACCACAGGTGTGCGCCACCACATTAGGCTAGGTTATTATTATTTTTTTTTTGTATTTTTGGTAGTAGAGACGGGGTTTCTCTATATTGTCCAGGCTGGTCCTGAGCTCCTGGCCACGAGTGAGCCACCCACCTTGACCTCCCAAAGTGCTGGGATTATAGGCATGGGCCACCATGCCTGGCCAATTGAAATATTTTAATCCAGCTTTTCTAGTTGTGTTCAGTGGAAGAGTTGGTCCTAGTCACTAATCTGCTACTTATGGACAGAGACATCTCCTATTTTCTGTTGTAAGGACAGGAAAAAGCAGAAAATATAGAAAAGGAAATAAAGAGCAACCATCTCTCAATAGTACTGCTGCCCAACAAGAACACTGCTGACATTTGGAAACTGTTTTCCAATTTGATTCTTATTGGAAAGCATAACAACCAGCCAGGGCCTGTGCTGCTGGAGCGGGCAGTTATGTGCAGGGAGACAGCTGGTTACGGCTGGCTCCTGGCCTCGACGGAGCTTCTCAGCCTCTTGGAGCCTCTGTCCCCTCAGCTGCTGAAGGAACACATCTCCTGCACTTCTCAAGTTGCTGCCGGTGCGAAGGTGACTCCAGATTCTGCAGTTTGGGCTCCGTAGCTGCTCAGCAAATGTCAGCAGGTCCAGAAGCAAGGCTCCTCAGCTGCAGAGTGAATGCAAATGTCCCCATTGTAAATGGCCGTGGGGCCCAGGGCTCTGCAACCTTGGATGCCCAGGATCAGACCAGCTGTCCGCCGCTTTGGAATCTGGGTTTATGGGGGACCCGGGCCTCATAAATGTCAAAGCGTGCATTCTCGGCAGTCCAGGAGTCGGAAAACGTGTCTCTGAGGGGAGCATTCCTTCCATGCACACAGCTGCCTGGCTCACGTTTTTATCCTCGAGCCATAATTAGTCCTTTCCCCTGACCCTGAATTCCTGCCCCGGCCAGAAGCATGCTGTGGCCCTGGGGCCCGCGGCTCCTGGTGGTCGGTGCCCCTTCTGCTCTCCTGCAGCTGCGGCAGGTGGAAGAGCTGTCGGGGGTGGGAAGGGGGCTTGGAGGGATAAGGATGGGCTGGGGAGGGCTCCCAAGGCAGTGGACACTGTGGGCTCTGGGGACTGCATGGCTGTGGAGGGGGCATGTGCTGTTGGGCTCCCAGCCTCTTGGGGTCCTCTCTGTGCCAAGATAGAGCCTGTTACCCTCCCTGAGCAGGTGTGAGCAGACACCTGTCCCCTGCCCTGCATGGGAAGTGAACGATCCACTAAGTGGGGAGGTCAGGGTCAGATCCCCGGCCTTCCCATGCAGGATGACTGCTCAGGCCCAGGACAGTGGGTGGTCAACAGAAACCCCATCCCTGCCCATAGAGGGTGCTTCCCAGTTCACAGTGACACAGCCTGGCCTGCTCCTCTTCCAGCCACCCAAGGCAAGACACAGAGCAGGAGGCTGAGGCTGGTGTGAGGGAAAGGGGGATGCAGCAAGGGGATACCTCAACCTTGCCCGAGCTACAGACAGGTGAGGACTTCTCCCTCACCTGGTGTTTTCCACTGCATTCTGAAGAGCAGGTGACACCCACCCCAGGGTGGATCCAGGATGGATCTCTGGGTTTCCTGCCATCTACAATGACCCTCCTCATTTCCCCTGGCTAGCTGCCCCCTAGGATGGAGAATGCATCATGGTCACTGACACTTGGCGCCCTTTTCCAGCCTCAATGGCCTGGCAGAGCCAGTGGGGACACAGCAATAATGTGGGTGGCAGTAATAACAGCAGCTGAACCACCTGAGCACCATCCTGACGAGGCATAGCCTGAGCTCTGTGAACAGTGAAGTCCATCTGGTCTCTCAGTGGCCTGAGAGTGACTCTAACTATTATCCTCATTCTCTGAAGGAGGAAAACAAGGCAAGGGGATTTAAATAATTTTTAAAGGTCAGATACCTTCACAAAGGCTGAAGTGGGAGTCAGATGATAGTGTCTGGGTGGAGACCCCATACTCTTACCCTCAACTCTGAGCCATCTGCTATACAACATCTATTTGCTGAGTGGAAGGTGTGTAGCCTGAACCATGCTCACTTCTGGTCCAGAGCTCTTTCCTCAGGGCCCTGGGACATTCACGTTTAGTGTACAGTGGTATATGTATGCTGAATTCCTACATTAGGCCAGCCACATAGTCAGCACTGATTGCTAAAAGAATAACTGAATAAGGATAAATGCTTGAGGGGATGGATACCCCATTCTCCATGATGCGATTATTTCACATTCCCTGCTTGTATCAAAACATCTCATGTACCCCATAAATATATACACCTACTATGTACTCACAAAAATTAAAAATTAAAAAAGATACAAGTTAAACATCTGGCCAGTTATAATGATATGAAAAGTAATAAGGACAAAATATAAATAAAAGATTATAAGCAACAATAGCAAAAAGCATAATTGGATAAAAGGAAAAAAAAATCCCATTCCATGATGAAGAAACTAAGGTTCTAGGGAGCCAGGAAGTGGGGTCCGGGCTCCTGGCTGAGCTCTTAACCCAGAGCCCTAGCAGTTACATTTTCCACAGAAGGACAGAATGAGCACATGGGAGAGGCTTACTTGAAGTCCCCTTGCCATCAAGGGGCAAGGGTGGCACCTACCTCTCTTTGGGCAGGGCCCTGATCCTGCTGGATGGGGGCTGCCAGGGCTGCTGCTGAGCAGACTCCTAGGCTGATTCCTGGACCTGATTTTCATTGACGCTGCAAAGACCTCAGCAGAGCGCCTTTGCGCCCTGATGAGATTGACACACAGCTCAAACACACTGCATCCTTGTGGGGGTGGAGGAGATGCACAGACCCTGGCAGAATGCAAGAGAAGCCTGTTTAATGTGTCGACAGGAAGTATCAACCTGCAGCAGAATTGCAATGCAGTCTGTCCTGGGAGGCCAGGGGCTGGGCAGGCGGGGCAGGCGTTTGCCTTGCCTCGTGGGCCACTCCCAGGATGACTCCTAGCCTGGCCAGGATGAAGGCTTTGGCCAGCGTTGACGCTGTTTCCCAATGCAGAGATCACTCTGACACAGGCCAGCATTGCCTCGGAGGTGGCCCAGAGCTGGGCGGGAGGGAGACAGGCAGATAGCAGGGAAGAATGAGCCATCTCTGTCCCCTCAGCTGGGGTGCCCAGATTCAGAGGTCTCATGGTGATGGCTGCCTTCCTGGACCTACTCCTGGTTGGGCTCAGAGACTGGTCCAGGGAAGGGCCTACACAGCACTCTACAGTGCAAGAGATGCCGTCTTGGCCCTGGGGCCTTTGAGAGTCCGCCCCTCCAGAGGAGCTGGGGCCACAGGGTGCCCTGGCCGGGGAGTCAGGAGGCCTGCAGTGCCAGGGCCCTCTTGCTGGCCGTGGGGTGTGTGCCACTGTGAGCGAGCGGAAGTGTGTGCATGTGTGAGTGGGTGAGAGTGTGTGTGTTGTGCATTGATGTGAGTGTGAGAGTGTGTGTGTCCCCGAGGAGGGGACAGATGTCTATGGGAGGGCTCCGCTCTGGACTGAGAGCACAAGTCTGTGAGTCAGGACCTCCCGGAGCCGTGGTCCGGGGCTGTGTGCTTGGGGTGGTGAGAGGCCCCTGGCACCTCCAGCGGCTCCCAGTCCTGTGTGGGTCCTGCAGCCTGTGGTGCACAGGGCAGTGGGGAATGGTCCTGGGGGCCACACGAAGCCTTGGGGAAGTGCTGCATTTCCAGGCTGCAGAGGGCTTTGGGGTGCCGACTGCTGAACGAGGGGCTCCCTGCACTGCGGTCACCCTGTGGCAGTGTCGGGATGGGAGGACAGGGCCTTTGGGGGCTGCTGGGCCCTGCTCACCCTCCCTGGGCAGCCTGAGCCGGGAGGTCAGGTTGGGGGTGCTGGGCTCCCAGATTCAGCCCCAGGAGGCGTCCGGGCTGCCATGCTCACCCCGGCCCCGCCCGGAACAAGGGCTCAGAGGGAGAATGAACGGCAGCCGCCTGGTTTGCACATAATTTGTTCTGGGGCAGAGTTGCGGCTGTTAAAAGCCTCGGTGAAAAAGCCTCTGGGAATGTGACAGCCTGAGACAGGGAAAATCAGCCCAGGGTCCCTCCTCGGGTTCACACTGCTGGAACCTCTGCAACCTGCCTGGCAATTTGGATGTCACCAAAATCTGCCCTGCGGTTGGACGCTGGTGGCTGAGGGTGAGTCCACCGGGCCTGCTGAGGAGGAGAGCGGAGCAGGGCATCATGGGCAGGGGGGTGCTGGAGAGGGCTGGGGGGCATGTGGGGAGCAGCTGGCCCCTCTGGTGGCCCAGGGCACCTCTGGAGAGGGAGAGGCCTGAATGGGGGCTCCTGTCTCCACCCAAGGCTGTGGGGAGACCAGGACTCCCCACCAGTGAGGAGGGGCCATTTTTGGAGCTGCCTGCTCTGCCGAGTGAGCTTGTGGCAGGCACAAAGTGGACAAACAGACAAGCATCTGAGTGGTGGCTGCCCAGGCCTCCAGGCCCTGGGGGACAGCAGCTCCTCGCTCAGGAGGAAATGCTGTCCCCTCTGGGCAGGGGTGTCTGTATCTAAAGGAGTTGGGACACCTGGGCTCTGCCGGGGCTGGTGGCTGGGCTGGTCCGTGCCCCTCTTGGGGGTCAGACAGTGGCAGGGCCTGCAGAGCCTGGGTGTCCTTGTGGTGCTGGCAGGTTGCAGAGGGTGGTGCATGAGTTTGCGGGAGGACCACAGCCGGCGCCCACACGGCAGACGTGGGTTCTCTCATGTCATGGCTTGAAGACGGCTCAAGGCGTGGGCAGGGCTGCTTTCTCCTGAGGCCTCTCTCCTTGGCCTACGGATGGCCACCTTCCCTCTGTGTGCGTCCCAGTCTCCTCTTCTTACAAGGACCCCAGTCAGACTGTATCAGACCCCACCCCAGTGACCTCATTCCACCTTAATAACCTCGATAAAGACCCAATCTCTAAAGGCAGTCGCACCCCGAGGGCCGCCTTCAGCATAGGAAGTTGGGAAAACGTAATTCAGCCCAGGAGAGGTGGGAAGTGGGCCAGGCACTCAGGGGCGGGGATATCCAGGAGGCCTGGCTTGACCTGGCCTTGCCGCAGGCATCGCTGGTGGGCCCTCCTCAACCTCTGCCTGCAGGCTCAGGAAGTTTGTTGTGAAGCAAACAATCCCTGCGCTCCGAAGGCGCTTCTTCAGGCCGAGATCCAAAAATCTGACCCCCAGAACCTCCAATGACCAACTCTTTTTCCTCATGATGCCACCACCGTCCTCACCATTATTGTCATCGGCGTCATTGTCACCTCCATTGATTGAGCCCCTACCAGCTGCCAGGGCTGGGCAGGTTCCTTCTCACAGGTGGCCTCATACAATGCGCCAGCAGCCCTGGAGGTGGGGCAGCTGTGCCACTGCCCCATGAGAGAACAATCTGTCATGAGTGGGTTCTGCCCATGAGGACCCAGCCAAAGGGAGGTGGCCAGGATCAGGCAGGGCCAGCACCAGAGCCTCAGGCTTGGGCCTAAGCCTACCACGGGGACCCAGGCCGCCCTCTCCACAGCTCAGGGTGAGGCTGGATCTTCCTCGCTGGTGGGCACGCACGCAGGCGGGCAGGCTGAGAGGTGGGTGCTGGCCTGGTCTGCCAGGAAGGGTGGCCTCAGCTGCCCGCCCCAACCCTCACCAGTGGAAGAGAGGAACGAGGAGAGGTCATGAATGACTGGAACTGCCCTCCCGTGACCTGCCAGATGACCATCCAGGTTAAATTGAGATCTGAGTTTCATAAAAGCAAATTAAATAGACATACATGTATATTTTGATAATTAAAAGTTTTGAACCAGCCATTCACTCAAGGGTAGTTCTGGGGAATTTGTGCCCATGAGACCCTCCCCCTGGTGGGACAGAAGGAGCTAGGAGTGGGAGGCCAGGGGAGGCCTGTCTCCCTCATCCCCCATGTCCAGGGAAAGCTGTGTGGGCCTGGGCCAGCTCTCTGGCCCCATGGGCACTCTGTGCCTGGTGACAGCAGAGGTCCTGCTCTTGGGAGGCTCTGACCCCCCACAGCGGGGCTGCTCTGGGGGAGTGCTGGGGAGCTGCGGTGTCCGGGGAGGGAGCTGGGACCTGCTCCCTTGTGCTGGTGGTGTACCTGCCTGGCACCTCCCTGGCACCAAGCGTCTCATAGGACCCTGCAACAGTCCCGGCTGGGGATGCTGCCTGCAGGTTTCAATGGGGAAACTGAGGCTCAGAGGTGGGATGGGACCTGCCACCCTGTGTGACTGGCAGGACAGAGATGGGGCTGGATTGGGCCCCAGCATGGCTGGCCCTAAAGTCCCCTGCTTTCATGCTCTGACCATAAGGCTTTCCTCGTGGAGGTTGCTGGGGAGATGAGTGGGGTTGTTGCACAGGCCTCCCGGGTTTAGGCCGCACCTGGGCAGGGACCTCCCAGCAGAGATGGTCCCCCCATTTGGTGTGGAGGGACCACATGAGCAAGGCAGAGTAGGAGGTGCATTGGGGATCTCGCGGTGTAGGGGGTGGGGCCTGCAGGGGGCGGCTGGGATGGGGAATGGGGCCGAGGCCGGGGGGTGATGGTGAGGGTGGGAGTGTGAAATGGCAGTGCCCCCACCTGGGCAGCTGGAGTGCATGGCCCTGAGCATTGGGTCCTGCATGGTCCTGCGGTGGCCTGGTGGGCCCAGGAGACCAGAAGGCCTGGGCTGATCCCTGAGGGTCTGTCTGGTGGGGGTGGCCAAGGGCACTCAGGGTCATGGTGCTGCAGAGGGGGTGTCAGAGGGCAGTGTTGGCAGGAGTTCTGAGTGAGGAGGTGAGAATGCCTGGTAAAGGTGGAGGGGGAGGGAGGGGAGGGAGAAAGAGGGGGTGAAAAGGGGGAAGGAGGGAGGGAGGAGGGAGAGGGGAGGCCCAGTAGACATCCTCACCCGGGGGGCAGTGAGGGTTAGGGACCCTGCCCTGCGTGAGTGATTGGGCAGGGGATCCTGAGGGCGCTTCCAGCCCCTGCATGGTCAGGAGGTCACACGCCCACTCACCCGCTCATTCATTCATTGCGTGGTCGGGAGCTCACACGCCCACTCACCCGCTCATTCATTCATTGCGTGGTCAGGAGGTCACACGCCCACTCACCCGCTCATTCATTCATTGCGAGGTCGGGAGCTCACACGCCCACTCACCCGCTCATTCATTCATTGCGTGGTCGGGAGCTCACGCGCCCACTCACCCGCTCATTCATTCATTGCGTGGTCGGGAGCTCACGCGCCCACTCACCCGCTCATTCATTCATTGCGAGGTCGGGAGCTCACGCGCCCACTCACCCGCTCATTCATTCATTGCGTGGTCGGGAGGTCACGCGCCCACTCACCCGCTCATTCATTCATTGCGTGGTCGGGAGCTCACGCGCCCACTCACCCGCTCATTCATTCATTGCGTGGTCGGGAGCTCACGCGCCCACTCACCCCCTCATTCATTCATTGCGTGGTCGGGAGCTCACGCGCCCACTCACCCGCTCATTCATTCATTGCGAGGTCGGGAGCTCACGCGCCCACTCACCCGCTCATTCATTCATTGCGTGGTCGGGAGCTCACGCGCCCACTCACCCGCTCATTCATTCATTGCGTGGTCGGGAGCTCACGCGCCCACTCACCCGCTCATTCATTCATTGCGAGGTCGGGAGCTCACGCGCCCACTCACCCGCTCATTCATTCATTGCGTGGTCGGGAGCTCACGCGCCCACTCACCCGCTCATTCATTCATTGCGAGGTCGGGAGCTCACGCGCCCACTCACCCGCTCATTCATTCATTGCGTGGTCGGGAGCTCACGCGCCCACTCACCCGCTCATTCATTCATTGCGTGGTCGGGAGCTCACGCGCCCACTCACCCGCTCATTCATTCATTGCGTGGTCGGGAGGTCACGCGCCCACTCACCCGCTCATTCATTCATTGCGAGGTCGGGAGCTCACGCGCCCACTCACCCGCTCATTCATTCATTGCGAGGTCGGGAGCTCACGCGCCCACTCACCCGCTCATTCATTCATTGCGAGGTCGGGAGCTCACGCGCCCACTCACCCGCTCATTCATTCATTGCGTGGTCGGGAGCTCACGCGCCCACTCACCCGCTCATTCATTCATTGCGAGGTCGGGAGCTCACGCGCCCACTCACCCGCTCATTCATTCATTGCGTGGTCGGGAGGTCACGCGCCCACTCACCCGCTCATTCATTCATTGCGTGGTCGGGAGCTCACAGGCCCACTCACCTGCTCATTCATTCATTGCGAGGTCGGGAGCTCACACGCCCACTCACCCGCTCATTCATTCATTCCTCCGCGCATCATCCATTCATCCACAGTGCTCACTGTGGCCTCTGGGAGGATGCTCCCACTCTGTTGGGGGGGCCTGTGGCTGAGGAGCCCCCTCCTCAGACTTCGTCTTGCTTCCCCCAAACAGCTGCCCTGGGGCCTGCTGGGCTGGAGCCTGCAGATGGGTGTGTGGGGAGGGTGCGGGTGGGCGGGATCTCTCACGCCTATTGAGGCCCCCATGCAGGGGGTGCCGACTCCCGCCTGCCACCCACCCTTTGTCCACGGCGTTCCTGGCTGCTTTGGCTCCCTCAGCCTCCAGTCCTTTCTTCTCTTTTCACCTCCTTTTCCAATTAAGAGCCCACCCTGCCTGCCCCACAGACACCGTCAAGCCTGGCCCCATTATCCAGTCCCCTGGCGGGTGGTCTCTGCACCGTGCTGCCCTCCATACGCAGCAGCCTCTGTCTCAGGGGTCTCACTGCCCCATTGGGTGCTGCATCCTGGGGAGCGAGAGGGGCTGGTGTGACTGTGCCTGGGCCCCACACCTGGGCTCCAGCAACCCTCGCAACACCTATCCTGGCTCTGTTTGGCAACCTAAGGGTGGTGGGCCACGAGCGTCCCAGGACCTCAGAATTCCAGCTCTTGGAAAAGTGCCCAGGGCATGAAATTCCCTTTAGAACACACCCTGGGCCCACTGTCCCTCTTGGGCACTCTCAGCCCTCAAGGCTGGTGGCACTCACTCCCTGCCCTCACAAAGGCTGCTGCTCCCACCTCCTGGCCATGCCTGGGGCCAGCAGCAAGTACATTGTGGCCACAGAGCCGGGCAGTCAGGAGAGGCCAGAGTGCGGTAGCACCTGTCCCACCCGCTATTCCACAGTAGGGGACAAACGGAGCTTGGAGGGGTTCAGACGGTGTCTTGAAGGATAGAGCAGGTTCCTATCTTTGAGGACTCCTCCTCCTGCTTCCTGACTTCTGGGTGGACCTGACCATCTCCTCGTGTTGCAGAAAAGGGCTCTAAAGCCCAGTTGTACCACCTACCAGCCAGGGAACCTGGTGAAATAGACACTGTACAATGTCTTCCAGCCTTGTGCTTCTATTCTACAGACGGGCACCATTACATCACTAGGAGGAGTGAACCTGCCTCTGGCAAACAGGTCCGGCCTGCAGCACCCACGGCGGGTGGTTTCCTTTCCTACCCCACAGCCTCCCCTGGGGCCACTGTGTGCCCTGTAACCCCCTCCTTCCAGCGGCCCCACAGCTCCAGCTGTCTGGGCAGGCTCTCCTCTGACTCAGGTCGAGAGCTGCAGCCAGGCCAGGCCCTCTGCTGTGGGCACACCCGCTGGCATCACCCCTCTCACTGGGCCCAGCCACCCCTAGGCCTGGTGCCTCCTTGGACAGTGGGCATGGCTGCCCCTGGCTGCAGCTGGTGTCCTGGGGCTGGCATCCCAAAGCTCCCGCGTTCTCCAGCACCGGTGGAGAGAAAGCCCCGCTGTCCAGCCGAGTTCTGATGGAGATGGTGCCAGGCGGCTTGTGCCCTCCTCCGCCCTGGTCCTGGGGTCTCGTGGTGAAGTCAGCTGCTTTAGAAATCAGGCGGGAGCTGAGGGAGTGGAGGGCTGGGGGCCACGCCCTGAGCTTCCCTGGGTACCCCCTGACGGCTGCTCTTTAGGAGCCAGGCTGGGACTTCCAATATACCACGAGAAGCCAGCAACCTGGGCTTCGATCTGAGATCTGTTTAGAAATGTTGGCAATGAATTCAATATTTTAAAAACCAAGATGTAGTGAGGGAGGCTATGGAAAGGCTACCAGCAGGGGTTAACTGGCTGCCTGGCGTGAGATGGGGTCCAGGTGGAGGGGGTGAGAAGGGAGGGGAGCAGGGGCAGGATGGAAAGGACTGCGGTGAGGCACGCGGGTCCATCTGTGCAGAGCTGCTCGTGGAGGGGTGTGGAAGCCCACCCCATCCACCGCCCCACTGGGCCTGCGCAGTCAGGCGGTCCCCGGGAGCTGAGTAAGGGGGCTCTGAGGAGAGGGTCCTCATGACGGTTGGGGTCACCAAGCCCAGAGGAGGCTTCCAGGCAGCCAATTTCAGACTTAATTCAGGCAGCCCTCTGGGGCTGACCGAGTGCCCTTCTCGCCCGCGTTGGCGAGCAAGAGGCAGGCCCTGGTGTGCTGGTGCATCTCCTGGCGGGCTTATGAGGGGCTGGAGCCCTGGGGGACTCTGGAGCAGCCCCTCCAAAGGATGCCATGGGCACAGATGCTGTGTCTGGCTACAAGAGGCACTTGGATCCCCAGGTTTGCTGCTGTGTGTGCGTGCATGCAGATGTGTGCATATGTGTGTATCTTTGTGTGCGTGTTTCTGTATCTCTGTGTGGGTATGTGTGCGTCTATGTATATCTCTGTGTATGCCTGCATGTGTGTCTACGTGTGTGTGTGTATCTTTGTAACTGTGTGTGGGCACACAGACATATGAACGTGTGTATCCGTGTCTGTGTATCTGCCCACATGTGTCTGTATGTGCGTGGGTGAGTGTGTGTCTGTATCTGTGCATGTGTGAGTGTGTGTCTGTATCTGTGCATGTGTGAGTGTGTGTCTGTATCTGTGTGTGTGTGTGTGTGTCTGTGTTGGTTCCTTCAGCAGGGATGTCAGCTGTGGCCAGGGGGCCCGCAAGCCAGCCCTAAATTTGGGCAAATTTGGCCTGACCTAGGGAAGAAGGAAGCTGTGTTCACTGCCGCTGAGGGTGGGTGGGAGAAGGGCTGAGAGGGTGAGAACTGAGGGGCCCCAGGGGGCAACAGTTACCCTCAGTGGTGCAGGTGGGGAACTGAGGCAGAGCCAGAGGCTGGGAGACAGGAAGAGGTGGGAAGTGACCGGAGTGAGGCTGAGCAGAGGGAGCGTCTTCGTTTCATAAAAAGCCATAAATCCAGCCGAAGCTAACTGTGGAGGAAAGGGTACTGGGCCCCTCCTGTCTTCCCCGACCCCGTACACTGACCCGAGGCTGGACGAACCCTCAGTTCCTGCCCACCGAGAGCACGCATCTGTTCATGCCCCTAAAATATGGGTGCTCAGGACACTATCAGCCTTGGACAGCTGCTGTTTCCACTTGATCTGTGAAATTTATGCCGTTGGGAAGACAAATGTTCTTAGCCAGGGCTGAGGGAAGGTATGAGCAGCCCCCCTTCCCTCCTGTCCAATTTTGGAGGCTGGGAATATTGGCTTCACTCTGACAGCTCCCTGACTGGGTGGCCCAGAAACGACATATGGCTGGAGAATTCCCAGCCTGTAGGCTGAACACCTCCAGCCTTTTTTTCCTATTGTATTAAAATATACATAATCTTTATCGCTGTAAACATTTGTAAGTCTGTAATTCAGTGGCCCTGAATACACTCTCAGTGTTGTGCAACCATCACCTCTATCTATACCCAAAGCTTCTCATCTTCCCCCAACAACTCTGTCCCCATTAAATAATAACCCTCTCCCCCAACACCTCTACCCCCATTAAATAACAACCCCCTCCCCCAACACCTCTGCCCCCATTAAATAACAACCCCCTCCCCCAACACCTCTGCCCCCATTAAATAACAACCCCCTCCCCCAACAACTCTATCCCCATTAAGTAACAATCCCCTCACCCAACAATTCTGTCCCCATTAAATAACAACCCTCTTCCCCAACAACTCTATCCCCATTAAATAACAACCCCCTCCCCCAACACCTCTACCCCCATTAAATAACAACCCCCTTCCCCAACAACTCTATCCTCATTAAATAACAACCCTCTCCCTCAACAACTCTATCCTCATTAAATAACAACCCTCTCCCCCAACAACTCTATTCCCATTAAATAACAACTCTCCCCCCAGTGACTCTCTCCCCATTAAATAACAACTCTCCCCTCTCAAGACAATTCTGTCCCCATCTAATAACAACTCTCTCCCCTGACAACTCTATCCTCATTAAATAACAACTCTGTCTTCTTTCTTCCCTCAGCCCCTGATCACCTTTATTGTACTTTCTGTCTTTATGACTTTGCCTACTCTAGACACCTCACATGAGTGGAATCATGCAGTATTTGTCCTTTTATATCTGACTTATTTAACTCAGCATAATGTCTTCAAGGCTCAGCTCTGTCTCAGCACATGTCAGAATTTCCTTCCTTTTCGGGGCTGAATAGTATTCCACAGTATGAGTGGACCACACTGTGTTTGTCCTTCATCTGTTGATGAACACTTGGGTTGCTTCTACTTTCTGGCTGTTGTGACGAATGCTGCTACATGCATGGGTGTATAAATATCTCTCCAAGACCCTGCTTTCTTGTCTTTTGGGTGTATGACTAGGAGTAGAATTGCTGGGTCATGTGGCATATTCAACCTTTTGAAGAACTGCCAAACTGTTTTCCACGGTGACCACGCCACTTTATATCCCTACCAGCAATGCGCAAGAGTTGCAATTTCTCCACATCCTCATCCCCAGTTCTTTTCTTTTCTTTATAGCTGTAGCCATCCTAGTGGGTATGAAGTGTTTTGGTTTGCATTTCCCTAATGACCAGTGCTGTTGAGCATCTTTTCATGTGCTTATTGGCCATTTGTATATCTTCTTTGGAGAAATGTCCATTCAAGTTCTTTTTTCATTTTTAAATTGGGACCTCTAGCCTTATTGAGGTCTTTCTTCCTAGATCATAAAGGGTAGGAACACTGCTAGGCTGGGTCACACTGGTATGGGTTTAAAATGCAGGGGTCCTGGATCCAAGCATGGTGAGGGATTCTGGAGTCTGGGCTCTGGGAGGCTGGGGAGCATTAGGACATGAGAGATCTCTTGGGAGGGGCAGTGATGGGAGGTGGGGGTGCCAAGGGGTGGCAGAGCCTCCCTGGCTGCAAGGGACCATGGGCAGCCCCAGGTTTTGGAGAACTCCCCTAATAGGAGGGAGCATGGCATCAAGGACCCTGGCTGTAATGCTTGGAAGGGGAGGACTTTGGGGACAACTTTTCTGGAGCTCTCTTATCCTCCCCCAGGCCCAGGGCTTATGCTCACTACACTTTTCCTGTGCACATTCACTAAACAAACATTCTTGAGCACCCAGGCTGTGCCGGTGGCTGGGGCACCTGGAGGGAACCAGGCCAACATGGCTCCTGTCCCCACAGAACCCACAGTCTTGAGCTGTGCTGCTCAGTTTGGCAGCACTAGCCACTTAGTTACTGAAATTAAAGTTAAATACAGTTAAATAAAGTTGAGGCTTCTGCTACCAGCCAAGATGGAGTAATGTGAATTGGATTTATCCTTCCACCTGCAATAAGCAAGAAATGGACAAAAATACATGAAAAATCAGTTCTCAAGGCACTGTAGACAATGGAGTAGAGTAAGAGGCTAGAAACAAATCAGATGAACTCCACAGCTGTCATATCTTACTGCTGGAGAGAATGTCCATGCCGTGAAGCAGGAAGCAGGAATCCAGGCAGAGCCAGGTGGACTCCCTGAGTTAAGGAGGAGACCAAGGTGGTGAGAATTGGCAGGACAGAGGTGCTGCAGAGGGGAGAGCAGAACACAGAGAGAACTCTGAGATCCATAGAGGGCCCCTTTCAGGATTCAGTTGAGGACTGAGCATCCTCTGAGTATGAGGAAACTACCTGAGTTGGGAAAGGCTCAGAACTAAGGCCTGGTGTTCACACAGGGCCAGGAATAGTGCCTGTTCCTAACAGTGGGGCTGGAAAACCTCATAATTTCTGGGGCATTGGTAGAATGCCTTGCTTCAGTCGTGGGATATAATTTGCCCTAGGCTGAGCACTGCTCCAATTCTTCCTAAACTATCTTAAAAGCAAGACCCTGAAGAATCAAACTGTTTCCAAATGACTTAACTGAATCTCAGGAAAAGCTCAAGAATCCAACACCTAACAATATAAAATTCACAATGTCTGGAGTCCAGTAAAAATTAACAAGTATGCAAAGAAGCAAGAAAATGCAACCCCTAATAAGGAGATAAATCAGCAAAGACAGCCCAAGACTGACACAGATGTTAGAATGAGCAGGCAAGAGCATGAAAATAGTTATGATGACTGTGTTCCATATGATGAAAAAGTTAAGTAGAGACATGGAAGATATAACAAAGACCCACATCATATTTCTAGAGATAAAAACTGCAATGTGTAAGATAAAAAATACACTGGACGGATGGAATTATTGTCAGATTAGATGTTGAAGAAGAAAAGATGATCACACTTGAAGACATAGCAATAGAAATAATCCAAAATGAAACACAGAAAGACAATATTATTTTAAAAGTTAACAGAATATCATTGAACTTTGGGAAAATGTCAAGTGGTCTAATCTGTTTAATTGAATTATGTGAAAGAGAAGAGAGAGATGGGAACAGAAAAAAAAATACTTGAAATAATGGCCAAATATTTTCCACATATGAAAACTATAAACCCATAGATTCGAGAAGCTCAAAAAAGGCAAAGTACAAGAAACATAGAAAAAACTACACCAAGGAGCATTATAAGCAAATTGCTCAAAAGTAGTGATAAAATTTCTTGCTTGCAGCCAGAAA
Source organism: Homo sapiens (assembly GCF_000001405.40). NCBI lineage: Eukaryota > Metazoa > Chordata > Mammalia > Primates > Hominidae > Homo > Homo sapiens. The sequence goes on from NC_000014.9 coordinate 104,258,610, forward strand.
ATAAAAGGCAAGATTTGTATAGTGCAACAAAAGTGAGAATAACAGCAGATTTCTTGTGGGACACAACGTAAGCCAGAAGAAGGTGGATGAACATCTTTAAAGTTCTGAAGGAAAAAATATCTTTCAACCTAGAATTCTGTGACCATTAGAAATATCTTTCAAAAGCAAAGGCACAATAATGACTTTTACAAGTATACAAAAGCTGAAAGAATGTCTCAACAGAGGACCTGCATTGCAAGAAATTTTAAAGAAATTCCTTCAGGTGGAAGGAAAATGATACTAGTTGGAATTATGGCTCTACAGAAAGGAATGAAAAGTCCTGGGACTGACACTTTATAGGTAAATATATAAGATTTATTTTTATTATTTAAATTTATTTAAATGATAATTAATTGTTTAAACAAGAACAATAATGTAGTATGAGGTTTATGGCATATATAAAGTTAAAATGCATGACAACAATAGCACAAAGTTTTGAAAGGGAGGAATGAAAATATGCTATTAAAATGTTCTTATCTTGCATGTGAAGTAGTATAATAGCACCTGAAGGCAGCCTACGATAAGTTAAAAATATATGCTATGAGCCATAAAGCAACCAATAAATTACAAAACAAAGGGAAATAGCTAATAAAACAACAAAACACATAAAATGGAATTGTAAGAAATATTTCATTAATCCTAAAGAAGGCAGAAAAAGATGAAAAAGGGAAAAACAAGTGGGACAAATAGAAAATAAAGAGCAAAATAATAGACTTAAGCCTACCAATAATACATTAAATGTAAACAGTCCAAATATTCCAATTAAGAGACAGAGTGACTAACAGAATTAAAAAGCAAGACCCAACTATATGCTGCCTATAAGAAACACACATTAAATATGAAGATACAGAACTCTTGGTTTCTGGCCTGGCATGTGGCATGTAAACAGCTTGGAAGTCATCACTCCATTCTCATTACAAGTATAAAGCTGAACAAACCACAAAAGCAACTCTTCTTAGATCCTTAAGAGAAGCGAGGTCACAGGGCAAACTGCTGTCCCTCAAATTGGATGGACAGACAGACAAATACAGAGAATTACAACTTACTGGAGCAGAAACCTCTGCAGGAACCAGTGCTGGAACAAGAAAACCTAAAGTGTAATCAACAAATTGCCAGAGGCTCAGTGTGGATAAGCCTGGGAGTTAAAAACTCCAGAGAGACCCAGTCACAGTCCCCCTTCCCCCAGCTTTTGTGAATTTTTCCTCCTCGGTCTTTCCTCCAGGTTCACACAGTGAATACCAAAGGAAAATCCCTTTGTTCTTTCCAGCAGGGAGAAGGGGAAAAAGAGCCATTTTGAGATATACCAGACTATCTGTTCTTAATAATGGTCTACCTTCCAGAGAAACTAACCAGATCCTAGCCTTCTGGAGTTTTATCCATGCTTAATTGACCTGACAGAAAGGAAACACCCACCTCCAGCCCCCTCCAGCCATCCTGTCCCACCTAAGGAGGGGGATCTGAGATGCACTGGTGAGTTTCACAGTCCAGAGGCACAGGCTCACTAAAGGTAAAGATACAAATAAGCTGCAAGAAAGGGAATGGGAAAAGATATACCACACTAACATTAATTAAAAGAACTCTGGAGAGGCTGTATTAACATCAACAAAGTAGATGTACAGAATATTACCAGAAATAAATAAAATCACTTTGTAATGATACAGAAATCAATTCATCAGAATGTAACAATTCCAAAGATGTATGCACCTAATGACAGAGCTTCAAAATAAATGAAACAAACACTAATAGAACTACAAGGAGAATTAGGCACATACAATTACAGCCAGAAATTTTAATACCCCTTTTTCAATAACTGTTAGGACAAATTGACAGAAAATCAATAAGGGCGTATAAGACTTGAAGAGCAGATTCAACTGACATTTATAAAATACTCCACTCAACAACAGAATACCCATTCTTTTCAAGTGCACATGGAACACATTTACTAAGATAGACAATATTCTGGGCCATAAAACAAGTCCAAAAAATATAAAGGGATCCAAGTCATAAAAAGTTTTATCTGATCACAATGGGATTAGATTAGAATTGAAAAATGGAAATATTTCTGGAAAATTCCCCCAAATTTGGAAATGAAGTAACATATTTCTTGGTAACTTATGGGTCAAAGGAGGAATTAAAAGGGAAATTAGAAAGTATTTTGAACTAAATAAAAAGGAAAACACAGCCTATAAAATGTGTGGGATTTAGTTAAATCCCACTATTTAGGGGGAAATTTGTAGCATTAAATGCCTATGTTAGAAAAGAAGAAATATCTTAAATCAATGACCTTAAGAAACTAGAAAAGAGCAAATGAAACCCAAAGTAAGAAAAAAGGAAGTAGTGAAGATCAGAGTGAAAAATCAATGAAATCATAAACAGAAAGACAGTAGAGAAAATCAATGAAACCAAAAGCTGGTTCTTCGAGATGATTGAAAAGATGAACAAACCTTTAGGTAGGCTGGTCAGTAAAAAGAGAGAGAAGACACAAATGACCAGTATCGGGAATGAAGGAGGTTACATAAGAACTGATTCTACTGATATTAAGGGATGATAAGGGGATATTATCAACAACTCTATGTCAATAAATTCAACTACTCAAAATGGACAAATTCCCTGAAAGACACAAATTACCAAGGATGTGCAGGATGAAGTGGATAACCACACAGCCCTGTAACTATTAAAGAAACTGGGTTTGTAGTTAAAAACCTTTCTACAAAGAAAACTCCACGGTCAGGTGGCTTTACTGATGAATTCTACCAAATGCAAGGAAGAAAATACCACTTAACCAATAATAATATGCGGAGTGCAAATAAGCATGTGAAACTGCTCAATATAGTTAGTCAATCAAGTGGAAACTAACCCATAGTGTGAGAACACCACACACCTAGTAGAATGGCTAGCATTAAAAAGACTGACATACCAAGTATTGGAGATGATACGGAGGAACTGGAACTCTTCTGTGCTGCTGGGGGAGGCAGGGTATGTAAAATGGTACAACTGCTTTATAAAGCAATTTGTCAGTCTCTTAAATCATTAAACATATACCTACCATATAATCCAGTCATCCCACTTCAAGAGAAATGAAAACAGTCCATACAGAGTTGTATGTGAATATTCACAGCAGCTTTATTTGTAACACCCCAAAACTAGGCAGAACCCAAACGTCCATCAACAGTTGAGTGGATAAATAAAAGGTGGTGTGTCCGCACAATGGCTGCTACTTGGCGATAGAAAGTGATGAATTATTGATGTGCACGATGACGTGGATAAATGGCAGGTAATATACTGAGTAAGGGGGACAGATAAAAAGGAAATGTAATTCACGATTTTATAAAGAATATGTATGTAATTCTTGAAAATGCAAACTAATCTATAATGACAGAAAATAGATCAATGGTTGCTTGGGGCCTGGAGAAGCGGGCAGGGAAGATGGAGGGCAGGATCTCCAAGGGGCACGAAGAAGGTTTTTGGTGTGATGGGAATGTTCTTTACTTTTGTGATGGTTTTGCTGGTGTATACATGTGTTAAAACCTATCCAATTGTATACTTTAATTATGTGTAGCTTATTCTATGTTAGTTATACTTCAGTAAAGCTACAGAGTACAATTTTTAAAACCCAGGTCTGTGGTTACAATAACATTTCGAGTGCTCAGTAACCACAGTAGCTAGTGGCTGCCACACTGGACAGTGCAGATACAGAACGTTTTTATTACTGTGGACAGTGCTGGTCTCGAGGGAAAGACACACATGACCTGGACCATGGCGTGGGCTTTGTCTTTGCAATGGGAGGAAAACATCAGCGGAGTAACAAGAAGGAAGGGACTCGAGGGCCTTGGCAGATGTTGGTTGGGCTGACCAGGTCTGCACCCAGGCCCTGGGGGACCTGGTGGGGAAAAGGTCCTTCCTCCCCAGTGGGGTGAGGGGAGAGGTGTTGGCCCCAAGCAGGATGGTGGCGATGCCAGGTGGCTATGGTGGTGAGCGGCCCACACTGCTGTGGACCAAAGCCAGAGGGGAGGGTGTGAGGCTTGAGGTGGGGAGCTCAGATGCTGCTGAAAGAAGGCAGGCTCAGGGCAGCCCAGGCAAGAGGGGTTGAGCCAGTGATGCTCTCTGCCCTGCTGGGATGCTCTCCCCGTCCCCTGCTGCTCTGCCTTGGGGAGCAGAGAGAGGAGGCAGAAAGGGGTCTCTGGGGAAGGTGCGCCCACCCCAGCCAGTGTACTTTGGAAGGGAAGTGGCATCCCGGGTGTCAGGGCCCCCCACCCTGGGGCAGAGGAGGAGCTGACCTGGGGAGCAAGCAGATGAGAGCCCAGGGCTCACTAAGGCTTTGGGGAGCCCCTGGTTCTGAGCCCTGCCTTCCCCCTCCCTCTGCCCTGGGCTGGGACTCTGAGCTCCTGCTTCCTGCACCCCCATCACTGTCTCCTTTGGGGACAGGGACCAGCTCTGGGGGTCAAGTGCTAGGGTGAGGTTGACAGAGGTCCCGCTTAGCTGCACGGCCCCCACATGTAGACAGTGAGGGGGAGTATTAACTGGCAGGGGAGGCACACCCCAGCCCCCTGGGGAGGGGGCCAGCTGCATGCCGGGGACAGGCTGCAGCTGGGGTGACGGGGCTGGGCTCATTCCGGTTGGGGACAACATGGCTCAGATGGGTCCCACCTGCAGGCAAGCCTGTCCTGAGGGCCTTGGTTCCAGTGCAGGGGTGGCAGAGCCTCCTGCTGCACCAGACAGGGCTGGGGCAGGCGGGGTGGCTGGGCGGGGCTGGGGCAGGCGGGGCTGGCCATGTCCACTGCAGGGCCTGGAGGACGGGTCTTGGCTCGTTCCCCACCTGAAGGACAGGGTGGGGGGGGGGGACTCTCTCCTTTCGTTGTCCCATCTGTCCCTTGGGCAAAATTGAACAAACCCATAAAAGCCAAATAACTCTCATTGTAGAGGACGGTCCACCGCCCAGGTCTGCACAGTGGCTCCTGAGGCCGAGTTGATCAAAATGTAATCAGTTCTAACGCAAGACCTATTTGATGACAGGTATGGTGTGGCCGTGTGTAACTATCCTTACAATTAATTAACTTTTCATGTCGTTCATTAAGCTCCATAACTTATGAGGCCGGGCACTGTACAGTTGGAAGTCACAGAAGGGAAGACTGGAGTTAAACCGTGCTAGGGTGTCCCTGGCATGAGGGGCACCCTGCGTGGCAGCTCCCAGAGCTGGTGTCTGTGCACAAGCATGGTGGGGCTTACCCGACCCCTGCCCCTGGCTCAGCTGGGGACTCATGGTGGAGCAGCTGCAGTCGCTGTAGGATCATTCCCTTTGTGACTGGAAATAATTGTATTTGTGATTTGCACAATGCTGCAACATATTGATTTTTCAATTACGCCGGGAAGAAATCGAGAATGAGATGGAAGGGAGTGGCGGCTCCTCGAGGGGCTCTGAGTTGGGGTCTGCAGCATTGCAGCGGGTGACCCTCAGCAGGGGGCCTTGGGCCAGCGACCCCCAGGGTCTTAGAGCTACAAGTGACCTCAGACATACGTTCTTTGTCCAGCTGGGGAAACTGAGGCCCAGGGTGGGGACAGGCCTCGCCCGAGGGCTGGCAGTGAGGGTGGCACCAGAGCTTGGTCCCTGCCCCTGACTTTAGTATGTGAGGCCCTCACCTTGCCCTGGCATGAATAAATGAAGTTGGGACTAGCAGGAACCTTCTGAGAGGGTCCACTGGGCCTGAGCCGTCAGGGAAATGCGAAGTTGGCATACAAACTTGGCAAATCTGTTCCTCATGCCAACACTCCCCCTGGGGCTTGCCTTCGGGCCTTGCCTCTCTATCTCCGTTTTAAAATGTTAGTCTTGGTTGAAGCGTCCCTTCCTCTGGATCTTCTCAGGGCCTCTCTGTCCTGGCTGCCCCCGCCCCAGTATTGGCATCTTGTGGGTCTGGCCGGCCTGGGCTGCTGGGAGGACGGGTGAGCCCCCGAGGCAGAGCCTACTGTCTGCCTTCTCCGCCCCCAAGGGCAAGGACCGGGTAAGGCGTGGGAGCTGCAGAGCAGGAAGTGGCTAGAGCTTGCTCACAGGCAGTGCTGGGTGCCGGGCTTGGGGATGAGCTCCGGACAGGGGGCTTTTGGAGCGCTGGCCCAGGCAGTGGTGCTGACGCAGGGGTCTGGTATCCCAGGCAAGAAGGGTGGCTGGAGGTGTCTGTGGGTCACCCCCTTTCTGCCCTTCCCTGTCATCTGCTCCTATCCCTGGGATGGGGTTCTGGGCCTCCCCAGCCTTGGGTAAGGACGCTGGTGTTGGCATGAGCCGAACTGGTACTTGGGAGAAAGGGCTCCAGAGCCCCCAGCTTGGGGGAGGCTGGGCAAGCCAGGGCAACAAGCCCAGGGAACTGAGCCCACCAGGGCAGTGCAGCCCCGGGGTGGGGGTGCTTCCTGGAGGGAGGCTCCCAGCGAGGCCTGGGGTTGGGCCAGCCCTCCCAGCTGCCTGTGGCCTCTGTGGCACATGCCCAAAGACATAATTCTGCAGCACCTCTATGGGCGGCAGCTGGGGATGATGGTGCCACCGAGCCCGTGACAAAGCCAATGTCTTTTTGAGGGTCAGGCGCAGTCCATACCAGGCTTTAATTTAAAAATCAAATTCAGCCAGGCGTGGTGGCGCAGGCCTGTAATCCCAGCGCTTTGGGAGGCTGAGGCAGGCGGATCACAAGGTTTGGAGTTCAAGACCAGCCTGACCAACATGGTGAAACCCCATCTCAACTAAAAATACAAAAATTAGCCGGGTGTGGTGGCAGGCGCCTGTAGTCCCAGCTACTCAGGAGGCTGAGACAGGAGAATCGTTTGAACCCGGGAGGCGGAGGTTGCAGCGAGCTGAGATCACGCCACTGCACTCCAGCCTGGGTGACAGAGCAAGACTCCGTCTAAAAAAATAAAAAATAAAAATATTAAAAAAATAAAAATCAAATTCAGCCTGGCATGGTGGGTCAAGCCTGTAATCCCAGTACTCTGGGAGGCTGAGGTGGGTGGATCACTGGAAGCCAGGAGTTCAAGACCATCCTGGCCAACATGGTGAAACCCCGTCTCTACTAAAAATACAAAAATTAGTCGGGCGTGGTGGCGGGCGCCTGTAGTCCCAATCACTCGGGAGGCTGAGGCAGGAAAATTGCTTGAAGGTGGGAGGTGGAGCTTGCAGTGAGCCGAGAGCGCGCCACTGCACTCCAGCCTGGTGAAAGAGCGAGACTCCGTCTCAAAAAAAAAAAAAATCAATTTTTTTTTTCTCAGAACCTGCCCTGCTCATTTATAAGCTCATAGAAAGCTCTATAGGCAATTGCATTTCCTGGTGCGTGTGTGTGTGTTTTAAAGAAGTGGAAACCACATGGGAGGGAACACACGGGCTGCCGCCTGCTGGCTTCTGTTCCAAGGAAGCTCCTGGTTTCTCCTAAGATGAAGGAGCCACTTTCCTGGGCTCAGGCCCTCTGGGATCTGACGGCCAAATTTGGGCCTACAGAGTAGGGAGTGCGGGTGAGGGCAGGGACCAGGAGGCAGAGGCAGTGCTTCTGGGGTCTGGGGCGCTCACTCGGGTACAGGACATCTGGCTTCTGGGTGTGGCTGGGGAGGTGGGAAGTGAGGGCACTTGCAGGGCCTGTTCTGGGAGACCTGCCCCCTCTCCCACCCTGAGGTCCGTAGACTCTGCACTCCTCCTGCCTTCCCTCCCACCCTAGGGTCCAGAGCCTCTCCACTCCACTCCTCCCGCCTTCCCTTCCACCCTAGGGGAGCACGAGACAGAACTTAACACGCACCTCAGGCCAACACCTACCGTCATGGCCCTGCGAGGGAGCCGAGTTCGTAAATGACCGCACAGGTGAAGGATTTAATTTTCTCTCATTTGTCCCCGTATTCCGGCTGTCTCATAAATCACAGCTGTTTATGACTCTCTTCGGCACTTTTGTGATGGCTGATAATGGCTGAGTAAGTGGCAGAGAGGATGAATTCTGCAGCGGATTTTAAACAAACGTGCACATTGGAGCCACAGATAATGTGAAGCATCGCAGCAGTGGGGGGCACCTCGCAGGTCACCCCCAGAGCGCAGCCCTGGCCTGCTGGGAAGGGCCTGCTCTCTGGGGGCCTGGCCTCCCTCCCAGAGGTGGGCAGGGGCCAGGGGCAGCTTCTTCCCAGGGATATTTTAGTCACAAGGAGCAAGCCCCACCAAGGCTAGTGGGCACCTGTGTGTTTGAGAGTGTGTGCAAATATGTGCCTGAGTGTGTGCGTGTGGGTATGACTATGTGTGCACGTGTGTGTGCGCACGTGTGTGTGTGTGTGCACGTGTGTGTGCGCATGTGCACGCAGTCAGAGTGCGCAGGCTCCTCACCTGTCCAGGGCGCACGGCCCAGAAAGACCACTGCTTCTTAGGTCATAGTGCACCTATCTGGAGGATGGGGCGGTACCAGAGCCCCAGGTCAGAGTTCTCAGCAGCTGCAGGGCCTTGTTCAATGGCTGAGGGTCAGGCTCTGGCCTGGAGCCGGCTCCCGGAGAAGTGCCACCCTCTGTCCCCTGCTGGGGGCTGGTGGCTGCTCTCCCTTTCCAAGGGTCCCTCCCAAACTCACCTTCCCTCACCCCAGACCTCCTCTGTGAGGAACTGATAAAGCCATAGTGGAGGTGCACACACACTTCACACGTGCACACACACGCACATGCCCACACACGCCCACACATGCACACACCCCCCACACGCATACACATGCACAAACACGCCCACACACACGTGCACTCACACACACACGCATGCACACACATGCCCATGCCCACACACACGTGCACACACACTCCCACGCCCACACATGCCCACATGCCCACAAGCCCACTTCCCCGAGACGGTAGCCATGGGTTCATCTGGAGCCCATTCCTCAATCACCATCCGGTCTCACAGCCCCCGGGCACTGGGGGTGGTGCCCACCACTGTTTATTTTCTGCTAAGATGCACTTTGCCATCCTAGGGGTTGCAGCATCTCCTCGTAAAGCCATAAATGTAATTGATATTCTCAGCATTTCGAGAAAAAATACGAGTATTAAAGATATACAGTACACCTCATAAAATTCTCTCATATTTCTTCTTTATGGTGGGTTCTAAAATTGGCAAAATAAATTCCCTAAAACCCATTATGCTCAACGTACAGTGTGTTTTGGAGGCTGGGAGAGGCTGGGCTGGGGGCTGCACGCTCCTCTCCTAACATGGCCTCAGTCCCCGCTTGGCCACGAGGCCTGTTTTCCTAGAAACCTGGTAAAAATGGGAATGGTAATTGCCCAGCTCATGGTCTGTGACCGCGGCCGGGTGCTGGGAAGCTTAATCTCAATGCTTCCTCCAAGAAAATAAATGCTTTTATGATGCTCCCCACGCAGGTTCTGCCTGACTCCGGGATGCTGCCGTCCCAGCTCTGGGCTGAGCCCCTTTTGTAATTACATGGGGACCCTGTCCCCATGGGCGCAAACACTGAGGCCTTAGCTAGCAGAGAGCACAGGCTTCAGAGCGGCCGCTCCCAGATTCCTGCACTGCCCCCCTCTGCAGCTTCACAAACCTCCGCTTCCGCTTCCGCTTCCGCATCCGCATCCCGGCTCCTTCCTTCGTAGTGATAGTCACGACTCCTGATTGCAGATGCACGTTTTTTCTTTATTATCTTTCTATTTCAGGAGATGAAAGCTCCAAAGAACAGGCTACCACATTAAAAAAACCATTTACAGCCAACTTTATCGAGGTATCATTTCCATGTAATAAAATGCATACCTTTTTTTTTTTAAAGTAGGCTTTATTTTTTAGAGCAGTTTTAGATTCACAGAGAAATTGTGCAGATTGTACAGAAAAGCGCCACCTACGCCAAGCCCCATCGTGAACACCTCCCAGAGTCTGATGCGTTTGATACATTAATGAATCAACAGGGATACGCTGGTACCAGCTAAAGCTCACACATAACGCAGATTTCCTGAGTTTTTTATTTATTTTTATTTTTTTTTAATTTTAATTTTTTTTTTTTTTATACTCTAAGTTTTAGGGTACATGTGCACATTGTGCAGGTTAGTTACATATGTATACATGTGCCATGCTGGTGCGCTGCACCCACTAACGTGTCATCTAGCATTAGGTATATCTCCCAATGCTATCCCTCCCCCCTCCCCCGACCCCACCACAGTCCCCAGAGTGTGATATTCCCCTTCCTGTGTCCATGTGATCTCATTGTTCAATTCCCACCTATGACCTCGAGGCCTTCCCCTGCCTCAGGGCCGCGTCTGGGACACACCATGCCTTTTGGTGGTTGCGGCTCCTCCTCAGGGCCCCCTCAGCTGCCACAGTTTCTCAGACTTTGTTTTGATGACCTTGACAGTTTTGGGGAGAACGGGTCAGGTATTTTGTGAACCTTTATTGGAATTTGTCTGCTGTTCTTCTCATGGTTAGACTGGAGTTACAGGTTTTTGAAGGAAGACCACAGGGGCAGGGCAGAGGGCCACTGACGCCACACCCTTCCCAGGGTGCCTGCTCTCAACACGGCTGTCCCCGTTGGCGCTGACCTTGGTCCCTGGCTGAGGTCGTGCTGTCAGCTTTCTCCTAGGTGAAGTTACCGCCCACCCAGCAGCCCGCCACGACCTCCAGCACTCTTTGGAGGAAGGTCACGGTGCACAGCCCACACCGCGGGGTGGGGAGTCACGGTCGCCTCCTTGGGGGCAGAGGATCTGCATGAATCCTTCCGAATCCTTCTGCTTGGAGACTCGTCCCTTCTCCCGTGTTTGCTCATTTGCTCAGTTTTTGGGTTCCATCAGCAACGACTCACGGACACTCTTGTCAGATTTCGGGTGTCCCAGTCCTCCTCCATTTTGTTGCTCAAGCTGTCCTGTCTTTGGCGGTGGCAGCTCTTCAGTCGGCCTGTGACCCGTCCCTTTGGTTTTAACGCGTCCTTATTTTCTGGGATGAGAAGAAGCTCCAGGCTCATCCTGTATGTTTCCTGCCTCAGCCCCACATCAGCTGTTCCTCCAAGGAGCCCGGTGCCTTTTGTTGGAAGGTCCCATTAGACACCAAGACCTGGGCACCGGGCCTGCTTGCTGCTTGGGTGTGGTTGCTTCCAGGCCCTCTCGGCCAGCGGAGCAGGGAAGTGTCTGTGCGTGTACTAACCTGGGCATGAGCCCATGTCTAACGTGCTTCTGTGTGTGACCCTCCGTGTGAGTAGGGGTCATCAGAGAAACGGATGCAGTGGGACGTTCACACCCACTCCTGTTGGAGATTGCCTGGAAGCCTGGGCGCAGGTGACCACGCAGGCCGAGAGGTCCCACGCCCGCGGAGACCCAGGGAAGCTGGTGGTGCAGTGCGGTCTGAGTCCGAAGCCCTGAAAGCCGGAGGGCTAATGGCGTTAATCTCAGTGTCAGGGCCAGAGAAGGTGAGTGTCCCAGCTCAAGCAGCGTGGCAGGAAGAGGGGGGCAAATTCACCTTTCTCTGCCTTCCGCGCTATTCGGGTCCTCAGCGGATTGGGTGACGCCACCCACCCTGGGGAGGGCGGCCTGCTTTACAGAGCCCACTGATTCAAATGCTAATCTCATCCAGAACACCCTCGGACATCCCCAGAAATAACGTTCAACCCGGCACCCCACGGCCAGGGGAGCTGACACATAAAGTTAACCGTCACACCGCCCGCGTGGAGAGGGAGCCCACAGGAAGGAGCTGGTGCTGCTGTCTCGACCCTGACCCTGGGCCGTGTGGGTCGTTCTGGCCCCTGCCCCTGCTTGTCTGTAGCTCCCACCCCACAGTGAGGAACCTGCCCCACCACCCACCATCCATGGACCTAATCGCTAAGCTGCAGTGTGCAGGGGGAGCGGTGTAGGGACTGCTCACCTGTACCCCGCGGCAGAAGCGTGTGTCTGCCAGGGTACAGGGCTCACGTGCGGGTCCATTTGCTTTTGGCTTCACAGACTTTGTCGTTTGTGAGGGTACCCAGGTCAGCCCCATCCCCCAGCCCCTCCCTACGTCTGTAATACAGCTGCTCCCTGGGTCTGTGATACAGCCAGAGGCTCTCGCCACACATGGCCCGCCTTCCGTCCTAGACCCCCAGCCTCTTGACTGAGCTTTAAAATTTGCATACATTAAGGCTCACTCTTGCTGTGAAGTTCTGTGGGTTTTGACAGATGCACAGTGTCGTGTCTCTGCCATTACAATGTCGTTCACGTTAGTTTCACAGCCCTAAAAACCCCCTGTGCGGCCGGGCGCGGTGGCTCAAGCCTGTAATCCCAGCACTTTGGGAGGCCAAGGTGGGCGGATCACGAGGTCAGGAGATCGAGACCACCCTGGCTAACACGGTGAAACCCCGTCTCTACTAAAAATACAAAAAAATTAGCCGGGCGAGGTGGCCGGTGCCTGTTGTCCCAGCTGCTCGGGAGGCCGAGGCAGGAGAATGGCGTGAACCCGGGAGGTGGAGCTTGCAGTGAGCTGAGATCGCGCCACTGCACTCCAGCCTGGGCGACAGAGCGAGACTCCGTCTCAAAAACAAAACAAAACAAAACAAACAAACAAAACCCTGTGCTCCACCTATCCAACCATCTCCTCTCACCTGGAACCCCTGGCCAACACTGATCTTACTGTCTCCACAGTTTTGCCTTTTCCAGAAAGTCATACAGTTGGAACCATACAGCACTGTAGTCTTTTCTGATTGGCTTCTCTCACTTAGCAATATTCGTCTAAGGTTCATGCCTGTCTTTTGGTGGCTCGATATCTCACTGCTTTTTATCAGTGTATAATATCCCATTGTATGGATGGATCTGCCAGAATTTGTGTATCCATTCACCCAGGACATCTTGGTTACTTCTAGGTTTTGGTAATTATGAATAAAGCTGCTATAAACATTTGCATACAGGCTTTTGTGTGGACCTAAGTTTTTCAGGCCAGTTGGGTAAATACTTAGGAATGCAACTGCTAGATCATATGGTGAGACTATGTTTAGCTTTGTAAGAAACTGCCAGACTGTTTTCCAAAGTGGCTGTGCCATTTTGTCTTCCCACCAGCAGTGAATGGGAGTTTCTGTTGCTGTGTATTCTCATAGCAATTGGTATTGTCACTTTTTGGAATTTAGCCATTCTAATAGGGATAGTGGTGTCTCGTTGTTTTAATTTGCATTTCCCTCATGAAAAATGATATCAAGCATCCTTTTATATGCTTATTTGACATTTGTCTTTTTTGAGTGAGGTGTTTGTTCGGACCTTTCCCCCATTTTAAAATTGCGCTGTTCGTTTTCTAGTTGTTAAGTTTTAGGAAGTTCTTTGTGTGATTTGGATACAGGTCCTTTAATCTGACTTACATTTTACAAAGGTTTTCTCCCAGCCTGTGACTTGTGTTTTCATTCTTTTAATGGTTTCTTTTGCCGGGCAGAAGTTTTTAATGAAAAACACATCTTAACAATTTTTTCTTTCATAGGTTGGGCTTTGGGTGTTGCAATCAAAAACTCATCGTCAGACTCAAGGTCACGTAGGTCCCCTGCTTTCTTCTAGTTTTATGGTTTACATTTAGGCCTCTGATCCCTGTTGAGGTGACTTTTGTGAAAAGCGCCCTCAGTGTGTGTCTAGATTTATTTACTTATTCTGCATATGGATGTCTAAATATTACAGCACCATTTGTTGACGAGACTTTCTCTGTTAGAGACACATTTTCTCCTTTGTCAAAGATCATTGGCATTTGTGTGGGTCTACTAGTGGATCTCTGTTCTATTCCACTGATCTGTTTATCCATTCATTCATCAATATTTCCTGTCTTGATGCCATCATCTTATAGGAAGTTTTGAAATTGCGAAGCGTGAGTCCCCTAGCTTTGTCCTTCACCGTTGTGTTGGCCATTCTATGTCTTTTGGCTTTGTGTATAAACTCTAGAATCAGTGTGTTGATATCTACAGGAGAGTTTGCTGGGATATTGATTAGGGTTGATTAGATCTATTGATTCTATAGCCCACATTTGGAAAAGTAGACACCTTAACAATATTGAGTCTTCCTATGTGAACATGGACTATCTCTTCATTCATTTAGATTTTTTGGATATCTTTCGTCAGAGGTTTGCAGTTTTCAGCATACAGAGCCTGTACATGTTTTGTTAGATTTGTGCCTAGGTATTCCACTTTTGGGGGTTCTGCTATAACTAGTATTGTTCTTTAAATTTCAAATCCTGATTGTTTATTGCTGGCATATAGGAAAGGATCTGACTTTCATATATCAACCATGTATCTTGCAACCTTGCTGTGTTTGCTTATTTCTTTCAGGAGATAGATTCATCCATTCATCCATTTAATCATTTACATGTTGCTATGGTTTGGCTGTGTCCCCACCCAAATCTCATCTTGAATTGTAGCTCCCATAATTCCCATGTGTTGTGGGAGAGACCCGGTGGGAGATAATTGAATCATCGTGGCAGTTTCCCCCATACTCTTCTCAAGGTAGTGAATACGTCTCACGAAATCTGATGGTTTTATAAGGGGAAACCCCTTTTGCTTTTTTTCCTCATTCTCTCTTGCATGCTGCCAAGACTGTGAGGGCTCCCCAGCCATGTGGAACTGAGAGTCAATTAAGCCTCTTTCCTTTATAAATTACCCAGTCGTGGGTATGTCTTTATTAGCAGCGTGAGAGCAGATTAATACACACATCTTAGATTGATTTTCCAATGTGAAAATCATACCTCAAATAAGTCCCTCGTGGTCATGCTGTGTAATTGTGGTTATACATTGTTAGATTTGATTTGATAATATTTTGTTGATTATTTTCATATCTACATTCATGAGAGTTATTGGTTTGTAGTCTCAAGTTTCTTTTCTTGTAATTTCTTTATCTGTTTTGGTATTAGGGTAATGCTGACCTCTTACAATGAGTTAGGAAGCATTTCCTCTGCTTCTATTTTTCAGAAGAAAAATTAAATCACTTAACATAATGATCTCCAGTTCCATCTGTGTTATTGCATATAAAGACAGACTGTAGAGAATTGGTATTTATTCCTTACATAGTTGGTAGAGTTCACCAGTGAAACCATCTGGGCCTAGTGCTTTCTTTTTTGAAGATAATGAAGTATTATTTAAATTTCCTTAACAGATATAGACCTATTAAGGCTTTTTAAAATTTTTAAATTATTTTAAAAAGTATTTGTGGGTACATAGTAGTTGTATATACTTATGAGGTACATGAGATGAAGATGTTTTGATATAGGCATACGATGTGAAATAAGCACATCATGGAGAATGGGGTATCCATCTCCTCAAGGATTTATCCTTTGAATTACAAACAATCCTATTACATTCTTTATTTTAAAATGTAAAATTAAGTTATTATTAACTATAGTCACCCTATTGTGTTATCAAATACTAGGCTTTATTCATTGTTTCTACTTTTTTTTTTGTACTGATTAACCACTCCCACCTCCCTCCCAGCCCCTGAGTATCCTTCTCTGTCTCTGGTAACCATTCTTCTATGCTCTATGTCCTTGAGTTAAATTGTTTTGATTTTTTAGCTCTCACAGATAAGTGAGAACATGAGATGTTGATATTTCTGGACCTGACTTATTTCACTTAACATAATAACCTCCAGTTCCATCTGTGTTATTGCAAATGACTGGATCTCATTCTTTTTTTATGGCTGTAGAGTACTCCGTTGTGGATACATACTGCATTTTCTTTAACCATTCATCTGTTGATGGACACTTAGGTTGCTTCCAAATCTTAACTCTTGTAAAAAGTGCTGACCATCATAGGAGTGTAGGTATCTCTTCCATATACTGATTCCCTTTCTTTTGGGTATATACCCAGCAGTGGGATGTCTGGACTATTTAGCTTTTTAATTTCTCCTTGGGTAGTTTATGTCTTTTAAAGAATTGGCCCATTTCATCTTAAATTTCAAATTTGTAGAGATAGAGCTGTTCATGGTATTACTTTATTAGACTTTTAATGTCTACGGAATCAGCAGTGACAACCTCTCTTTCATTTCTGATATTGGCAATCTATGTTTTCTTTGTTTTTTTTTTCCTTAGTTAGTCCATTTCATTGATCTTGTTAAAAAATAAGCTTTTGATTTTTTTCTATCACTTTCATGTTTTGAGTTTCATTGAATTCTGCTTTACTTTTTATTATTCCTTTTCTTTTGCTTGCTATAGTCTTAAATGGTTCTATTTCTAGTTTCCTACAATGGAAGCGTAGATGATGTATTTTAGACTTGTCTTCTTTTCTAACATGTACATTCATGCTATAAATTTCCCCTGAGTACTGCTTTTGCTGCAGCCTGCACATTTTGATAAATTGTCTTTTCATGTATTCCTAAATATTTAAAATTTCTCTTGAGACTTCTCCTTTGACCCATGTGTTATTTAGAAGTATGTTGCTTAATCTCCAGATATTTGGGGATTTTCCAGCTGTCTTTTCTGTTCCTGATTTCTAGTTTATGCCATTGTGTCTTAAGAGCACGACTTCTCTTCTTTTAAATTTGTTATTGCGGGTCCTGCGGCCCAGAACGCGGTCTGTCCTTGGCGAATGCTCCACGAGAGCTTAAAAGAACGTGAACCTGCACGTATTCTGTGGTTGCTGGGTGGAATGTTCTAGAAACATCAGTTGATGAAGTTGATTGATAGCATTCTTCATGTCACCTCTGTCCTTGCTGACTTCTGATTGCTTGATCTACCAATGACTGAAAGAGGAGTGTTGATGTCTCCAGCTATAGAGGTGGGTTTGTCTGTTCTCCTTGCAGCTCCTTGAGTTTTTGCCTCCGGTGTTGTTTGGAAGGACGTGTCTGGAGCTGCTGCAGTAAAGCTGAAGAAGTGGCCGCGTGCAGTCCTAAGCTCCTGTGGCCTCTCGGTTGCCAGCAAGTCCTTTCCTTGGCTGTGGGCCAGTGACTGTTTGCGAGACCGCAGAACGGCGAGCTACATGTGATCAGCCGTTGGAGGAGCCTCTTCTCCCCGGCTCGCCAGCCCCACACGCCCACCCTGTCTCAGAGAGACTTATTTTTCCTTCTTCAATGTCGTCAGGCTTTGCCTCCTGACTTACCTTGGCCAATGGAACGTAAGCAGAAGCAGAAGCGCCTCTTCAAGAGAGTGAAACGGTCCTGGAGGGAGCGGCTCCTCCAGCCTGGATGCTCAACTGTGGCAAGCGCCCGGCTGACCTACAGGAAACGCGGAGCCCGAGTGGAAACACACGTGTGTTGTAAACTGCTGAGACGCCGAGATTGCTGGGGCCACAGCCCGGCCTGGCATCAGCTGACTCGAGGAGAAACTGGCACCTAGAATTCGTTGCTGTCACACACAAAACCTAAAATTTGTGGCATTGGCTGGGGTGGGGCAGGGGAGGGGGAGAAACTATAATTAGAGGCTGGGAGCAGCATTTTTATGTGGTGAAACATTTGGCAAAACTGTCATCTATGTTTTCTCGGGGGCGGAAAACATAGGAGGCTTTGGGCTGGGCACGGTGACTCACACCTATAATCCCAGCACTTGAGGAGGCTGAGGCGGGTGGATCACCTGAGGCCAGGAGTTCGAGACCAGCCTGGACAACATTGTGAAACCTCGTCTCTACTAAAAATACAAAAATTAGCCAGGCATGATGACGGACGCCTGTAATCCCAGCTACTTGGGAGGCTGAGGCAGGAGAATCGCGTGAACCTGGGAGGCGGAGGTTGCAGTGAGCCAAGCTTGCACCACGGCACTCCAGCCTGGGCGACAGAGTGAGACTCCGTCTCAAAACAACAACAACCATCACCACCAAACAGAAAACAGGAGATTGTGGATTCAAGCAAAGAGGTTTGGAAACCAAATGTGACTGGTGTGTCTTGGTTGCTATTGGAGATACGGATGAGATAATACAAGAAAGATGTGCTCAGATGGAAATTGTCTGGTTTGCAAACAGCCTTGAAAGAGGCAACTGCTTCTTAGCTCCAACCAGTAAAGGATAAATGGGAGACATGCTTGCTCCACAAAAGCCAGTTAGGCTCAGGCTGGTGGCAAAAGCCAGGTGGAGAGTGTAACCCCCGGGGGTTATGATCTCTGAATAGATTAAGGTGGCAGCCCAGCACATTTCTTTCTCTTTCTTTCTTTTCTTTCTTCCTTTCTTTTCCTTTCCTTTCTTTTCCTTCCTTCCCTTCCCCTCCCCTCCCCTCCCCTCCCCTCCCCTTCCCTTCTCCTTCCTTCCTTCCTTCCTTCCTCCCTTCCTTCCTTCCTTCCTTCTTTCTTTCTTTCTTTCTTTGACCAGTTCTCACTCTGTTGCTCAGGCTGGAGTGCAGTGGCACGAACACAGCTCACTGCAGCTTCAAGCTTCTGGGCTCAAGCTATCCTCCCACCTCAGTCTCCCCAGTAGCTGAGACTACAGGCGTAATTTTAAAATTAGCCCAGCTAATTTTTAAAGTTTTGTAGCGATGCTGTCTTGGCATGTTGCCCACACTGGCCTCGAACTCCTGGGCTTAAGAGATCTGCCTGCCTTTGCCTCCCAAAGTGCTGGGATTACAGGCATGGGTCACTGTACCCGACCCCAGCAAATCTTTTGAGTCAGGTGAAATTTTGTAAGAAGAGAAATTGGGGGCATTGCTCTCCCAAGGAAGCCCCAGAAGTTAAAAGTAGCTGCCGTAAAGTCAAGACAGTGAGACGTATCTCCTCACCTGCCGTGAACTGCCCAAAACAGATGTGAAGCCAGCCACGTGCTGAGGGATCTGCACACCCAGCTTTGCCTTGCAGTGACTGCGAAGGTGCAAGATTTAAAAATCACGTCTGAGCCTCCAGCGTTCTGTGGACAGAAAGCAGGAGTGGTGCGGGCTCCCTGAGGACATAATTTCCAATATCCTCTTCAGATGTAGCCCAGAGGGTGATGGAAAAGGAAGAACCTCCCAGAGGCGAGCTCGGTGATGGGCCAGTAATGGATTAGGGGCTCACACCACGGACTGGAGTCAGGTATGTTGATCAGCCCCCTGGGGTTTGCCTGGGACGTCGCTGGCTTCAACACTGAAAGTCCCACCTCTCAGGAAACCCACTCGTCCTGGTGAACCGGGCCGGATGGTCACCATGAGAGCCTGGTTTGGAAACATTCCCCACGCCCAGGTATGGGGCTCTCAAAAATCTCTGCCCAGCAGGAGCACAGGGCTGCCATCCACGAGCGAACACAGTGCCGCCCTTTCCCTCTCCAAAAGGGGTGCTTCTTCCGTCCATCCGGGGTCTGTCCCGCCGTGGTATTTTGTGTTGTGAGTGGAAGCTAACGTTCCCTTTTAGCTCCTGGATCGGGAGGAGATGTGTTCAGATGGGAGGCTGAGGCTGTTTCCCACATGTTCTGTGTGCAGACGTGAGGGGAGTGAACATGAATGGTGAGGTGTGTGGGCTGCTGGGTTATGGTCACCAACGTGGACTCCTCTTCTGGGACTTTCCCGCCTTACTCACAGCAGTCTTAACCACGCGACTCGCCCAGAGTGAGCAGATGTTAGCAGCAGTGGGCCGGGCTGTGTCCAGCACCAACCTGAAGAGCACCACGTGGTCCTGCCACATTCTTTCTCCCTCGGCTGCGGGAGGGCCTGGATCCCAGGAGAGAGAAGATGCATGGGGCAGACCCATAGCCACCTGCCGCCTACACGGAACACCAGCCAGAAAAAAACCTTGTGTTGAAAGAGAGATCAGAGGCATTGCTCAGTGATTCCAATCCTGAATCGCTGAGCTTCTGGGGATGTTTGTCATGGCAGCAGAATCCAGCATAGCTGACTAACACAGACCATGCCACTACCTTCTCCTGGAGACCCTCACTGACTTCAGGCTGACAAGCACAGGGGCCTCCTGCCTCCCCTTGGGCCAGTCCTGGCCTTGCAGGCACCGTCTATACCCTGACTCTGCTACCCTGCACATTATCTTATCTGCCTCCTTTTCTATCGAAATATTTTAAGCAAGGGGAGAAACGAGGGTGGAGCAGCAACCAGAGGAGACCCTTGCCCAGGGGATGCCTGCCCGGGGTCTGTCCTGGGCAGGGAGCAGCACAGCCCTGGTGGCTTGGGTAATGTGGCAGCCCCCTCCCCAGGAGTCCCTGCACTGGCCACTCCAGGCACCAGGATTCTTTTTGCCTTAATGAATTCCCCTCAAGTCTCCGGTTAGAAGTTTCCTGCTCCAATCTTGAATATGCATCTTTTAAAATACTCTGCAAATTTGAGGGCCTCTCATGTATCATTTCAATCCTCCAGCTATTAGAGAAATTGGGGTATCATATAGATTACGGAAAAATTACTTTGGGCAGAGAAGGAGGTAGAAGATCAAACGCTTATCTGTACAAATAAATTCAGTGCGATCCACAATTAAGCAGCATTTGACATTTAAAAAATATTTGATCCATGTTTTGGCTTCCAGAGCTGCTTAAGGGAGCTGCGATGTGTAAATTACATTCAAATCAGGGTTAAATATAGTTCCCAGAGAAAGATTGTATGATTTAAATTGCCTAATTATTTGGGGGAAAAATCTGTTCTCCAATAATTAAGAGAATGAGGATGTTCGACTTATTGGGGAGAGAGATCAGAAGTGGCTATTCCCTTCTGGGAGACCAGGAGATGCTGGCTTGGGGAGGGGATGGTCACCCCTCTGGGGTGGGGGCAGGCGATAGAGACCCAGCAGGCAGGCCCCAGGCAGGGGGAAGAGGCTGCCCTTATCTGGCCCCAGGCAGCCTGCTGGGGTCTGTGGCCAGGCAGGACACCCAGTGCTCAGGAACCAACCAGAAACCAACTAGAAACTGGCAGTCTGGGTGCTGAGCCAGGGGCCCGCAGCCGCGCCAGGCAGGGAGTGGGCGCCAGCTCTCTCTGGCAGGGCTGGCCGGCATATGGGAGCACCCAGGCTGGGGCCAGATGCCTCGGGAGGGGGATTTGGCAACACTGAGAGCCAGCAATTAGTTAATTAGCTGATATGTCTTAAAAGTCAGTGTGGGGAGGGGTGTGGATGGCAGCCTGCCTTCAGGAAAAATTCCAAACCCCAGCAGCCCCTCCCTCCAGACCCAAGAGTGTGTGTGTGTGTGTGTGTGTGTGTGTGTGTGTGTGTGTGTGTGGCCCTGGCGCAGCAGACAGCACGGGCCCAGCTAGGCAGCCTCTGATCCCTGCTTGACATAAGTGCACATGAGGCGTGCAACCTGGGCCAGCGCAGAAGGGCCCTGAGCCCCCGTTTCATCTGTGACATGGGACAAATTGCCACACCTTTCAGTCCGCGCTGAGGATTAAATGTCAGCATAGACGGGAGTGCAGTGGTCAGAATCTGGAGGCAGACCTGGCCCTGTGCCCTCTGCTGTGTGAACTTGGACAGGTTACCTACCTCTCTGAACCTCAGCTCTCAAGATAGTAAGAACAGTGACCTCCCAGGCTGCTTGGGGGGTTCATCGCAACCCCATTCATGAGGGAGGTTTAGCCAGGTCAGTGGTCGGGCAGGCAGCAGGCCTGGGCTCCTCACGCCGCAGATACCCACTGATGACCTGTGAGGGGCCTGGTGTCCGTCCAGGTTCCAGGACATCCACAAAGGGGTGGCGAAGGCTCCTGCTCACCTTCAAGTGTGAAATCGGGTCATTCACGAGGAAACGGGATCTTTGCAGAAAGCTGTTTGGCGCGTGATCTAGAACCACAGGTTCCGCGGGGGAGCGGGGGCCTGAGTCGGAAGAGGGGCTGCAGGCCGGGAGGCAAGGAGGAGCCATTCCCAGGGTGGGAGAAGAGGGCTCCAAGCAGAGGCTGGTGGGGGCGTTTGCTGTGTTCCCGGAACTGCGGGGGGCCGCTGGGACCTGGCAAATGATGGGAAGCCATGGGTGGGTTTTGAGCAGGGACCGCTGTGGTCTGATCAGATTGAAGGGAATGGCACTGGCCAGGGAGGAAGCAGGGAGCGGAGCAGTGGGCTGGGGCCAGACGAGGTGGTCGCAGTGGACAAGTGTGCACGTGTGTGTACGAGTGTGTGCGTGCAAGTGTGCATGTATGATCTGAATCAGTCTCCTGACTGCAGCCGCCCGCCACACACACCTGCCTGTAAGATAGAGAAGGCGGGTCAGTGTGGCTGCTGACTTTTGGGGATGGGGCCTACGGGGCTTGTGGAGTGATTGGGTGGAGGGTGGGCGTTGGGGAAGAAGCCCAGCTGCCTCGTGCCTGCATCACTGGCAGCAACTCAGTGCCCTGCGGGGCACAACCTGGGTGCCACTGCCCAGTGGCGGGCCCCGGGCCATGGGGAGGGTGCCCTGCAGGAAGCCCTGTACCCAGTGCTGTGATCTGTGGATGATGCACGTCCAGGCCCTGGGCCCAGCATGCAGGGCTGCCCCAGTCCAGCACACAGGCAGCTCCCGAGGGTCTGGGCCACCTCCACTCAGCACCAGGGATGGTGTGGAGGCTGGTCCTGGGCTAGTCTTGGCTCCAGAAAGCTTCAGGGGCCTGAGGTGACCTGAGGCTGTGCTAAAATTCCTAGGCCAACCTGCCCCGCAGGGCAGAGCTGAAGGTCCTGCCTGTCCTGGATCCCAGGCCGTGGAGACGCGCGGGAAGAGAGGCTGTGGTAGGCAGAGTTCAGGTCTGGGGACACTGACCGCGGTGTCAGGTCACTTCTCTGCCGGCCTAGGCAGGAAGGGAACCCAGCAGGCAGAGCCAGCATGGGATGGCGGGGCTGGACGTCTCAGGCACGATCAGGCCCACGGGAAAGTCGGAGGTCAGGGCGCCAGGGCCTCTGGTTGGGGGCTTCAGAGGCGTTGCAGTCGACTCCTGGAGCAGAGGTGAGTAAGCCCCTGCCGCCCTCCCCCTGCTCACAGCCTGACCTTTGAGACGTTCACGCTCAGCCACGGACCCCGAGAGCCATGTAAGGGGGTCTGAAGCCTCCACCCCCACCCAGCAGAGCCACCCTCTGGCCCCAGACTGAGCCCACCCAGTGGGTTTGCCCCCAGGTCCCTGCTGCTGTTGTGTGCCCCCATGTCTTGAAGGACACAAACAGTTGAGTGGGGTGGGTCTACCTGCAATGCTCCGCTCCCTCCCATCTGTTGAGCCCCCACCCCAGCATCTGTCTGAGTGAGGAGATCATCCCTGAGCCCCCAAGCCCTCCCTGGAGGCCCTGAAGGGACAGCAGTGCTTGGGGGGATGCAGGAAGCCTCCCTCTCCCCTCTGCTGGTGTGCACATGGCTTGGACATCCTGCCCCTGCCCCTGGGGGAAGCGTGTGGAGCCTGCTGGTGGCTTTTGGGCGGGAGGAGTGTGAGCTTTCATTGCCCAAGAATCCAAAGGGCAGAGCATGGAGGGAGGCGTCTCACAGCGCCAGCCCTCACAGAGCCCTGTGGCCACTAAGGCCAGCGGGGGCCCTTGCCCTCTGCCTCTGCCTCAATGCCAGCGGTCCTTGAGGCTGGTTTGGCTGCCCCTGCTCTGGTCATGGGGGCTGAGGGATGGCAGCCTGTGCTGGGGGGCCCATGCTCACGGCCTCCATGCTGTCTGCTGACCTACACTGGCAGGGCCCAGGCTTCCTGAGGACTTTAGACATCCTCTCTTGTCCCTGTCATCCATGGAGCCAGGCCTGGGTGGGGCACTTGCCTCCAAGAGACGCCCTGGAGCCTGCTCTGCAACGTGCCCATTCTGTGTCTGGGGAATGAGAAACACTGAGACCAGCTGCCTGCCTGCACGCAGCGAGGCCACTGAACGCCAAGGCCAGGCCTCCTGGGGGGCACCTGGGGTTCCTCTCTCACCTCTTCCCCAAGATGGACCATTGCCAAGGAGCTCAGGTGCTGGGGACACTTCCTGGGGGCGATGCAATGAGGAGAGGGCCGTGTGGCTGGGCCTAGGGGACCTCCAGCTAGCCTGTCCCCGTCTTTCTCTTCTGCCCTCGGGTGGGCCAGATCTATGCCCTGAGACTCACTTTGCCCCAAAGCACCTGAAACCCCATATGCCTAAGACTCTCTGCTGGGGGAGGCCCCTTTTCTTCCCATCCCAGGGAGAAACCAGGAGCCCTGGCTGGTGCGGGTCATGTGTCCACTCTGGGATAGCCCACTCCGGCCACAGGGCAGGATGCCAAGGCCTGAGCCCCAGGACCGTGGGGCAGGAGTGGAGGCAGAGGCAGGCAGTCAGGGTGGCGTGTTGGGGTGGCTGTGTGGGGCCGTGAGCACACACACCACACGGGCTCTCCACATCACCCGAGGCATGGTGGGCATGCCTCCCTGTGCCAGCCCTGCTCCTCTATAATTCCAGGGCACACGGAGTGGCATGCCAGCATGTCCTCTGACCCTTCCTGTGTGTTCAGAACTGGCTTCACTCACTTTGGGCTTCCTGGTTCCTAGGAGAAGGTGCAGGAGGTAACTTTGGCCTCTCCACCCTCCCCAGCGCCCCTTGGCATTTGAACGTGTACGACAGAGAGAGAAAGAGAGAGAGAGAGGAGCCAGCTGGCACGGGGTCACGTCTCTCTGTCAGAGCGCAGTGAGCACTGCTGGTCTTATAAAACCTGCGATGGTAATTGAATCCGGGCAGGAGTCCTTGATGGGGGCTGTTAAACACAGGAGCAGGGCTGGGCTTGGGTTTATGGGCTCCCGGTTCCCAGCTCCTCTCCAGAAAGGCCAGGGCTGAGCTTCTGCCGGGGTCTGGACGCGATGGAGCAGGGGGATGGACGCGATGACCCCCTCCCCGAGAGCAGCCAGGGGACTGGCCTAGGAGCCACAGTCTGTGCATTTCCACCCAGGGGCTCAGGAAGGCCCCGGGAACTGGCTCCCTCCGTGGGCGGGTGGTCACCCTTCCATCTATGCTCCCGTGGCCTGGGTTCCGCCCTGCAGTGGATGGGGGTCGGTGCTGTGCCTGCTGCTAGGCTCCTAGAGGAGGAGACGGTGGGACACTGACCTTGTGGAACGCCAGGAAGGGAGGGAGCCCAGGATGGGCAGCTGAGGCCCCTGGGGTGGTCAGGCCAGTGCTGAGGCTGGGGGCAGAGAAACTGCTGCCCGGGAGGGCGGAGGGGGCGTGTGCAGAGCAGGCGGGAGTGTTCCCTGCTAGTCCAGAGAGGTTGACCGTTGTCCCCAGGGTGGCCTGGCACACCTGTGGCTGTGCCCAGGTAGGAAGGCTACTGTGCCTTCTGGGAAGGCTGCTCCTGAAAAGGACACGTCACCAGGCATCTGCCCTTCGAGGGGCCTGTGCCTTGGAACTGTGGAGCTGTGACCTCCCTGCAGAGCTGGTGGGGGTGGAAGCAGCACTGGCACACCTGGCTGGGTGAGGGGAGCCGGGGTGGTGAATTATTTAGAGTCGCCAAAGGTGTTGAGTTAGAAGCTAATTAAACAAGCTCTCCGCAGAGCAGCACTGTAAAAGAATCATAAAATTCCAATCTCATTTGTTCTGCTCGGCTTGCACAGGCGTAGCATCCCCATAAAAGGCAGCCAGCGCTGCACAGTCTGTGGGCAGCTTGCAAGTGTGCGGCCTTCAGGGGTGCTCTGCAGGGCAGTCCTGCCTGGCTGGGGCTGGGCCAGGCTGGAGAAAGCACTGGGCATGTGCTGGCAGCTGGGAGGCTGCGGCCCCCCAGGTAGCCCCCTGGTAGGGGCGGTTCTCACTCAGGGTGAAAGGGGGACCTATTGTGGAAAGGTGAGGTGGTTTCGCTAGCCAGCAGGTGGCCCAGGGCCCCTCTGTGGTGCTGCTGTCCTCCTGCCTTGGGTCTTGGAATGAGGCCTTCTGGTGCCCAAGCTGCAGTGGGCAAAGCTGCTGCACCCTTGAGTTGTCGTGGGTGGGGGCGAGAGGCTGGGCTTGCAGAGGAAGGGGAGGGGCTTCTCCGTACTGGGCTGAGAGAGGACTCTGGGGTGGCGGTGTGGGCCGGGGCCCTGCTGGCCTCTGCGGTGCACCTGCTGTGTGCAGCTCTGCGCCAGGAGCCCAGACTGCAATGTGTGCAACTCCCACACATCTGCCATAGCTTGTCCAGCAGAGCTCAGCAGGGGGTCTGCCTCTCTGACACCTGAGGGAGGGGTGCAGGCAGGAGGGGAGGGGGCTGGTGCTTCTAAAGCCCGCCCACTCAGGCATGGGGAGGTGCCCTAGGGCTCAGGGTGAGGTGGGGGCTCAGAGCTCAGGCCTGTGTGAGGGGCTGCCTAAGCGCCAGGCTTTGCTGCGAGAGGTTCAGGTGGGTGTGTTTAGGCAAATCCCTTTAGCATCAGGGAACTTGGGCTGCGTCCTCTGCAGCAGACGCCGTATTGCCTCCTGGACCTCCCTCTACTGTGCCTCCGTTTCCTCGTTTCCACCATTGTCACGGAGGCAGCATGACTGGTGACTGCGAGGGTGCAAGGTGCTCACTGCGTGCTGGGCTCCCTCTCGGCTGGCAGAGGCTCCACATGCCCGGCAGGTTGCAGTTTGCAGACAGAGCTCACATGGTTTCCGGGACCTGTGTGTCCCCGCAGCGCTCCAGGGCGTCCACTCAGTTGAAGGATGGGATGGGACAGCTGGAGGTAAAATGGGCACCAGGGTCATTCATGCTACAGCCGGGTCTGTCCTTCTGGGTCTCTGACCTTCCAGAAGGACAGCTCTGCCCTGTGGGCCCCTCGGCACTCGCATGAAGCCTCTGGGGCCTGGACCACTCCCGTCCTATTGAGGGAGGATGCAGGGTGGAAAGTGCTCCTCCAGCAAGGATGAAGGAAAAGCCGGTGGCCGTGATTTGCCATTGTCACTGTCACCTGGATGTCCTGAGAACCCCCTGGGGACCAGCCTTGGAAGGCCCAGCCTTAGCCGGAGAGGCAGTGTCTGGCCGTCCTGGTAGATGGCCCAGCTCCTACCCTCATCGGCAGTTGGGTTTCATGAGCCTGCCATGCACCGTGCGTACAGGGCAGGTCTGGTCACATCTGGAGTTTGGAGAGCCCAGCTGTGCCCCTCCTGGGTAGGACTGGGGGTCGCCTAGGCCTCTCTAGAGCTCTGGAGGCTGAGGCAGGGCCGTGAGCAGTGGCCAGGGTCCTAGTGCTTATCTGGGATCCACAGTCCAGCTTTGAGCCCCACACACAGAGCCCAGGAGCCCAGGCTTCATCTGCAATGACAGGCAACAGGCGGACAATGTGGGCACCCGGAGCGTGGGTGTGCCTGCTGTGATTTGTTATCATCTCAGCACAAAACAGGCTGATTTCTCCAGCCTGGGTGGCCTGCCGTGTGGTATGGGGCTAGGGGACGCCATCATGCGGCATGTCAGGCCTCTTTGTCTCCTGGTTGGAAGATGTTGATGGATTCTCTATTGCTTGTTTGATCAAATTGTCCAGAACACAAAGGGGGAGATTGCGGCAAAAGCCACATTTGGAAAAACAATTCCTCATCCTGACAGCAGTCCCTGGAGAGAGGGCTGGTCCCGCTGGGTCCCCAGCACAAAGACCACTTGGAAATCTGGCTGGCAGGCGAAACCTGTATTTAGGGCCAGAGTGGGCTCCATGGCCAGGAGCAGGACAAGGAGAGGCAGCCCACCAAGGAAGATGCCCTGAGACCCTACCCTGAGATTCAGGATTTGTTGCAAGTGTGGCCTGTCATATGGGAGTTACCTGCAAGTTCATGGGCAGAGGAATGCAGAATAAAGTGGTGTGATCTGCCATTCAGGCTCCTGTAGCAAAACACCCCGAGCAGGGGGCTTATACATTGAGATTGACGTCTCCCAGGTTTGGAGGCTGGAGGGGCAAGGCCCTGGCAGACGCCTTGTCCGTGAGGGCAGGCTGCTTTTGTTTTCCAGTTCACGGATGGCCGTCTTCTGGCTGTGTCCTCACATGGAGGACGGGGTGACGGAGCTCTCCAGGGTGTCTTTGTTAGGTCCTTAATCCCATTCCTGAGGGCTCCACCTCCATGACCTAATCAACTCCCAAAGGCCCTGCCTCCCAGTAGCATCACGTTGGACATGAGAACTTCAACATGGAATTTGGGGGTGACTCAAACGTGGAGACCATAGCAACGTCTGCCCTGCAAATACTACACAGCAGATAAAAAGATGAGCTAGGTCCTCAGGGAAAGACAGGCGATGGCCATAGCATCTGGGGCATTCTGGCCGCGGTAAGCATGGATTCAACATGCTGCTCCTTGACTCAATAGACATTGGGTCTTGTTGGTGGCACAGTTCCAGGTGGGTCTTCCTGGTTGAGGGCCCAGGGCCTTCCAGGGCTCTGCCACCCTGTTGGGTCTCACTCCTACCCGAGGAGGGTGGAGAATCCTGACGGGTGGTGGAAATGGCCACATGGAGCTGTGAGGGGTGGGGAGTGTGGCTGGGTCATGTGGACACACGCAAAGGCAGCCTGGGTGCTGCAGGCAGTCGGCCCTGTCCTCAACAGTGTGCATAACTGAGTCACTGGGGAAGAAAAGAGAAACCCCAGAGTGACATGTGCCATTCAATGCCATCTAAGGAAACACACAAAGCACAGCTGCGTTCCCCCAAACACAAATGCATGAGGTGCACAGGGAATGTTCTGGAATGACACACACCAGTGGGAGAAGGGCTGTCACCCTGGGGAGGCCACTTGGACTGAGGAAGGGGAACAGGGGATTTCGGTGTCTATAAAGTTTGAATTTTTATTATACAAATTTATTCACAAATCATTTGCATAATTAAAAAACCAAACTTGAATACATTTTAAGAGGGTTGGTGATAAGAGGAATGAATTCACAAGTGTGGTCTTACGGGGGGCATTGGTCCAGCAGCCTGGCCATCTCCAGCTCTCCCCTTCAAGCCACCTCCCAGGCCCCCAGGGTGTCAGGGGCCCCAGGCCAGGCAGGTGACCGGAGCTTTCCAGTTCTGCCAGACTGAAGGGGTGGGCAAGGGGGAGCAGGTGCCTCTCCCATCCCATGGTCCCAGCTCTCAGGCACCATCCTCCACGGACAGCCCCTGCGACACCTCTCTGGGTGTAGTCCCGCACTGTGGACTGATGCTGGGGCCTGGCCAGGTGCGGAACATGGGTGATGGAGCCATATTCTCCTCTCTCCCAGGATTCAAGTCTGCAAAATAGAGGGGAGACCCCTAGGAGCTTGGGGACTGCGGAGGCCCCTAGGCCCAGGTGAGTCATGCCAGGCTGCGCTCCAGAGGGCAGACAGGAGGTGATGTGGGCCTCAGGGCTCTGATGGTAGCAGCTGCTGGAGAAAGAGTGGCATCAAAGTGGAACTGGGAGAGGGCTGGGGCCAGCTGCGATGCAGGGATGGGTGAGGTGCTGGCTGGCTGGGAACCCCAGCCTGTGGGGGCTTTGGCGGTGAAGGTGTCTTCCGGTGGAAATGTCTTGGGGGAGGTGGCCTGGGGCAGCTCAGAGGCTGGCTGTGTCTTCCTGGCCCTGTCATCCTTAGCATGGGGCGTCCAGAGTTGTTGCCTTGTGGACCAAGACAGCCCACAGCCCATGGCAGCTTCCAGAGCCAGAAGAAGAGGAGTCATCTCTGAAGAGCCCTGGACTACCTCCTTGCGGATCTCATTGGCCAGAACTTTCTGGCTCTCATGCTCACCACAAGGCCAATCACTAGCAAGATAAAAAAGGAGCACCCCGAAGGGCCGAGACCAGCTGTGCCTCCGGGCAGGGGAGGGGCTGCCCCTTCCTTACCTGAACTCAATTCATTTTATTTTTATTTTTTAACATAAAAGGCAATGGGAATTCAGTGAGTGGACAGCTAGCCACCTCTGTGGCTGCCTGCCGTGTGAGCACGGGCCATGTTCTATCTTTGATCTCCTCTGTGAAGCGGGAATAACAGCAGGGGCTAGGTTCTGACCCCTCAGACCTCACCCCTGAGCTTTCCAAGCCTGCATCCATTTGCTCTTCATCCCTACTCTCAAGACTTTCAGCATCCCATCTGCAGATGAGGACTCAGAGGCCCCAGGTTCCGTAGCTGAGCTGAGGGGCCAGAGGTCCAGCCCAGAGGCTGTTGGCTCCGTGGAACCCCGGGAGCTCCCGGCTCCCAGTAGTGCATGAATGTGCATGCGTGCATGTGTGTGAATGTGTGCATGCACGTGCATGTGTGTGTGCATGCATGTGTGCATGTGTGTATGTGCATGTGTGTGCACGTATCACGGACAAATACACATTAAAGTATGAGTGGCACGGCCGTCCCCCCTCCGTCATTCACTCACAGCCACATATGCATATGTGTGTGAATGTGTGCATCGTGCATGTGTGCATGTCTGAGTGTGTGCATGTCTGTGAATGTGTGTGTGCACGCATATGAGTGCATGTGTGCATATCTGTGTGTGTGCATGTCTGTGAATGTGTGCGCATGCATATATGAGTGCATGTGTGCATATCTGTGTGTGAGTGTGTAACTGTGTGCATGTCTGTGAATGTGTGTACGCATGCATATATGAGTGCGTGTGTGCATATCTGTGTGTGTGTGCATGTCTGTGAATGTGTACATGCATGTGAGTGCATGTGTGCATATCTGTGTGTGTGCATGCATATATGAGTGCATGTGTGCATATCTGTGTGTGTGTGCATGTCTGTGAATGTGTGCGCATGCATATATGAGTGCATGTGTGCATATCTGTGTGTGTGGGCACGCCTGTGAATGTGCGTGTGCATGCATATATGAGTGCGTGTGTGCATATCTGTGCGTGAGTGTGTGCATGTCTGTGAATGTGTACATGCATGTGAGTGCATGTGTGCATATGTGTGTGTGTGGGCACGCCTGTGAATGTGCGTGTGCATGCATATATGAGTGTGTGTGCGCATATCTGTGTGTGCGTGAGTATGTGCATGTCTGTGAATGTATACATGCATATGAGTGCATGTGTGCATATCTGTGTCTGTGTGCATGTCTGTGAATGTGTACATGCATGTGAGTGCATGTGTGCATATCTGTGTGTGTGTGCGCGCATGCCTGTGAATGTGCGTGTGCATGCATATATGAGAGTGTGTGCATATCTGTGTGTGCGTGAGTGTGTGCATGTCTGTGAATGTGTACATGCATGTGAGTGCATGTGTGCATATCTGTGAGTGTGTGTGGGCATGCCTGTGAATGTGCGTGTGCATGCATATATGAGTGCATGTGTGCATATCTGTGTGCTTGAGTATGTGCATGTCTGTGAATGTATACATGCATGTGAGTGCATGTGTGCATATCTGTGTGAGTGTGTGTGGGCATGCCTGTGAATGTGCGTGTGCATGCATATATGAGTGTGTGTGTGCATATGCATGCACATGTATGATGAGCCCAGCTACCAAGGCACCTGCTAAGCACAGCACCCGCACCCTGGAAACCCTCCCACATGCCATCAGTGAGGGTCATGAGTCAGCAGATATGATGTGCCTGACGTCAGTGCTCCTAAGAGAAGCCTAAACAATTTTCATAGGAAATGCACCTAGGGACTGCATTGTATAAATGCAACACTAATGACAGAAAATTTCAAAAATACTGTGCACAAAGAAAAATAGTCTCCCCTGTTATCACATCCCCCATGTCACCCACCGTAAACATGTTGATGTCAAAGGCTTTCGGGTTTTGTCTGTGCACGTGTTCATGTTATTAGGTCATTTTTTTTTCTCACAGGTTGAGACTGTGCTGCACTGCTGCTTTGTAAACCTGGAAGATTTTTATCGTGAATAAATACCTGCCGCAACAATGCCTAATGCTTTTGTGGGGTTCTGTTATTTGGATGTGCCACTGGCGGTGACGGCTGGCCCCTGGGTGGCCATGTAAGGTGCTTCCAAATCTCTGCGATGGAGACGTCACCTCAGCTGCCTCTCCAGCCACGAGTCCTGGCACCTCCCCTGCCTCCTGCTTCCTGCTGCTGCTTCTCAGCCCCCAGGCACATTCCTGCTGCAGGGCCTTTGCACATCCCGGGATTCTGGGGCTGTGCCCTCCCCAGGTCTTCTCACAGTCTGTCTGTCACTCCCCTGGGGCCTCTGCTCCATTGTTTCTGGTCTGATGATACCTTCCAAGTCAGTCCTCTGGAGTGGCACATTCGGGCCACATGACATGCCGGCCTACACTGTCCCCAGGGACGGTGGCCACTTGCCCTCTCGCTGCCTCTCCTCCCATGCCCACCTCCCAACCCTGGCCAGTGTTTGAAATCTCCAGTTCTGGATTTTTTTTCACCCCCCATGGCCAGCTTGGTGAGAAATGACTTCTCATTGTTGGAGTGTGTCTGGCTACACGCGATTGTGTGTTTCTGTGCCTCTTGTCATTTGCCCTTGTTTTATGAATTGCCACTTTGACCTTTTTGCTCATTTGTCTATCCAGTGCCTATCTCTTCCCAATGATTCCTGTGTTCTCAGTGTAGGTGGCTGGGGATGAGAACGGGAGCTTGTCCTCCCCCATGCTGAGTCCAGCATTCAGGATGGAGTGACATCTGGATGGCCATCAGCATGCACCGGGGCTGGGGCTTCTCGAGGTCAGCAGGGTTTGAGGGTTGTCAGGGCTGTGTGCCACCAGGGCTTGGCAGGTCCCCAGGTGTGGCGTTTGCCATGCTGGTGTCCCCTGCGCCACGGCACCTGTTCCCTGTGACCTTCCCCTGTTCCTGCTTCTCAGGTGAAACGTGGCCTGGAAGCTTCTGGTTATGTGGAAGACAACAGCTATAGAGGCCTCCCCGTGACCTCAGGGACCAAGGGCTGTGGAGAAGGGCTCACCGGGTGCAGACAGGGGCAGGTGGCCTGGGGGTCCCGAGCCATGACATCGGTCCTCTGTTTAGCCGGAAGGGTGCCTGTCATTGGCACCAGCAGGCACAGGAAGGAGGGACCTTGTGTGATGGCAGGTGGAGGGGTCTGCATGTGTCTCTCCCTGCCATGGCAACCTGTCTGCCCCCGTCCACCCTGCCTTCAAGTGCCAGAGGGTCAGGGGACAGCAAGGGCCACGGTGGCAGCAAGGACCCTGCAGATGTTGCCCTGCAGTGCCCTGGAGATCTGTAGACCTGGGGCCCCACCTGCAGAAGCCAGGCCTGTGTGTCAGGTTTCGGGGGCTCTGTGGCCGGCTCCAGTGCCATTACTGAGGCTGATAACTGTGCCCCCCTTCAGGGGTCCCTGGGGCGGCCGCTTACTCCTGGCTGTGCAAACACCCCTTCTTTCCCGAAGGCCGCCAGCCTCCTCTGTCTTGCTAATAGCCTGTTCTTTTAATGATCGATAATCAGTGTTTACCCAGAGCCTTCACCAGCAGCTCCTGACGCTTGGCTTCATTATGCATGCAGGCTTTGCGGAAGCTGCTTCCAGCTGCCTGTGTGGCCTGCTGCAGGGGACGTCCGGCTGGAGGTCCCACCTTCCTCCCGCCTTGGCCCAGCACCCTCCAGGCCTCGCTCCTGGCCCCTGGGGCGGCTTCAGGACGCTAGGGTGGTGACAGCATCTCGAGACCCCGCCTGGGCAGACCTCCTCCTGTCAGCTCCTCCTCTGTCTAAAGAGCCCTGCTTGCTGGGAGGGGCAGCACCTGCCTCGCTGGACAATGTCCAGGACACAGGAAGCACCCGATCAATTACAGCCAATAAAATGTTCAGTAATGGCCACTAGCATGTCTGCAAGCCGGCTGTGGTCTGGGTACTGTACTGGACACCTCATGCGTGTGTCAGGGACAAATATGTATTAAAGTGTGAGTGGCACAACCATCCCTCCCCACCTCTGCCTCCACCACCTCATTCCCCCTCCACCTCCGCCCCTCCCTGCTCCCCCCCCGCCCCCCCACCTCCCGCCATCAGTGGGGGCTCTTGCTGCTGTTCGGCTCTATGGCCTTTGATAGAACCCGGCGGGTGGTGGGTTTTGGAGCAGAAGATGCCCAAGAAGGAAGAGAAGGAAAGGCACACGGTGTGGGTGGGGGAGGGAGGGGGCTGCAGTGGCAGCGGGAGAGGTGGGGCAGCTGAGAGAGGAAGGTGGAGGGGCGGGCACTTTTGGAGGCAGAGGTCACCAAGGGCCTTCAGCTCCTGCCTGGGGCCAGGCCCTGCAGGGCCTCCCAGCGCAGCCCTCACCAAGAGTCACTGGAAATCAAGACAGGCCCCCCCCCCACCTTACTTCTGCCAATTTAGAGTTAGATCTGTACTTGTTTCTGGAAGCTTCTTATGTGAGGGACTGGCTGGAAGGTACATGTCTGGATCTCACCCTCGCCCAGTGACCGTTCCACCTTGGCCAGAAGGTGCTGATGTCATGGGCCGAGGGCCTGAGCGAGGGCCTGGGAGTGCCCACCCCACCCTCTGCAGCCTCCTCTTTCCCACAGCCTCTCTGTCCTCCAGTATCCAGAGGCCCTGAGCTGGTCACCCCATTGTCACTTTGTGTTACTAAAGCCCCGGGCCAGCCATGCCACCAGCGTTTTGGCTCCCGCGTGTTGGGGCGGGGCCCGGCAGAGCTCTCGGGGCGGCTGTTTGGAGTGGGCGCAGGGCACACAGGCACGATGTCTCTGGTCATCTGTTCCAGGTGTCCACAACGTTGATCAGCTTTGAGAGATCACGTTTCTGCGTTTCTCAGACCTGCCTTGGAAGGGGTCTTGCTGGGGCCGGGAGAGGGGCTCTGCTGGGGAGGGGGGCTCTGCTGGGGAGGGGGGCAGGGGTGTGGGAACGGGGGTGTCGACAGCTGGGCACGGAGCAGAGTCCCTCAGACGTGCTCCCCGCTTCTCCCCGTGACTCGCCACCTCTTTCTGAAAGTGGGTTTTGTTCTCCCCAGCATCTGTGGTTTCTGATGGATTCGAAAATATTTAATAAATATTTGGCTTCCATTTTCAAAATGTTCTGTGCTCTTTTTAGGTTTCCTTATGGAAAGAGACTGAGATATTCTTATTTCAACTCCCAGGAGCCCATGGGTGCCTTTTACTTCCTCCCACTCTTACCCCAGACTGCCTGGTTTGTCCTGGTTTGGAGGTGAAGGCTCTGGCCCGGAGCTGCAGAATCGGTTCCCCAGGGCTTGCAGGAGTAGGCCAGGGGCCTGGAGGGCCAGGGGGCTGCAGGGGCCAGGGGACTGCAGGGACCGGGGGCTGGAGGGACCCGGGGGCTGGAGGGGCCGGGGGGCTGCAGGGGCCATCTGCTGCCGGCCTTTTCCCTTGAAAACAAGCCAGTGCTTCATTTCCCTTCTTTTAGCAGCAGGTGAGCTGGCCGGGGGCCTCAGAGCGCTGGCCCAGGTGTGAGGGTCACGCTTCTGCGGGGACGCCAGCCAAGGCTCACCCATCCCCAGAGATGTCCTGTGAGGCCCCAGCGTGACTCAGAGCCCAAACGAGATTGTCTTGGGAGGTGCAGAGTTGGGAGATGCAGGCTGAGATGAACCCCGGGGGAGGGGCAAGGCCAGGCAGAGGTGAGTGCAGAGAGCAACGGAGGGAGGGGGCTGCCAGGAAGGGGCCCTGGGCAGGATGGAGGCTGTCCACAGCAGCAGCCTGGTTGGTAGCTGGGCCCTACCCTCAGGCCTCCTCCTCCAAGGCAGGACGGAGCAGTGGTTAGGATCACCCCATCCTCCCAAAGCAAAGGCATCCTCTGTTCTGGGAGCTGAGAGCACCAGGGAGCTTCCTCCTGCTGCCTGGCCCGGGTGAGTGTCTGGGAGGGGCTGGGGCAGCCTGGTTGGTCACCAGAGTGTGGTCATTGTCATCTGCATCCCGGGGTGAGAAAGGACAAGAGGGCTGCCCTCTGCCTCCCTCCCGTGCTCCCTGTCCTGAGGCTGGCGGCTGTGAGAGAGAAGATTGTCGCTCAGCAAACACTATTTCCTCATCCACTGTCCCCATTGATGGCAGGCTTGGCCACCGGGCTCGATTTAGCCGGAAGTGGCCATGTGCCAGCTCCCAGCTGAGGGCTCTGGTGACCCTCCTGTGAAGAGCCTGCCTTGGAGGCTGCAGTCCCAAGGAGGAGGCTAGACTCAGCCCTCGTCCTCCAATGCAGCTGCAATGAGCCTGCTCCTCCTGCTGGTGGAAAATGCAGGTAGGCACGTAAGCCACCAACCCTGGGGGCTCAGTCAAAATCCTGAGGACCCCCAAGGGGCAGAGCCGATGGGGCCTTCTGACCAGGGTGCCCAGAATGGATGGCACTGGGGGACACAGGCTAATTGCGGGGGAACAGGTGAAGGTGGGTGAAGCAGCTGCGTGTTTGGGGCAGAGGGAGAGGTATTGTGAGGGTTAATTTTATGTGTCCACGCGACTGCAGACATTTGGTGGACTCCGATTTGGGGTGTGTCCGTGCAGGTGTTTCTGGATGAGATTCAGGCTGGAATCCGTAGACTGAGCACAGCAGATGTCCCTCCCCCATGCGGGTGGGCCTCGCTCAATCAGATGAAGGCATGACGAGGAAACTGGTTGCCTTGCAGCCGGGAGGGCGGCTGCTTTCCTGCTTTCAGATTTGAGCTGGAACATCAGCTCCACCCAGGTGTCGAGTCTGCTGGTGTCCGGCCTGATTTGCCACCATCAGCTCTCCCAGGGCTCCAGCTTACTGACTCGGTGCAGGTCTGCGGACTCAGCCTCCATCATTGTATGAGCTAATTCACTGCAATAAATCTCTCTTTCCACGGCCTGTTGATTCTGAGTCTCTGGAGAGGAGAGTACAGCAGCAGTGGGTGACAGACACCAGGGACCTCATTGGCACTAAGGATTGTCCCCGACCGGAATGCGGAGTCCGGGCTGAAGGAGGTGACTCCCCACCTCCCTGCCCTGCCCTGTGGTGGGGATGGGTGGGGGGAAAATGCCCAGTTCCTGAGCTGGACTCTGAGTGACAGTGGCCCTGGTTAGTGGGGGCCCTCTGCTGGGCGGTGGCCGGAGGGAGACAGGGTGCCAGGCCGGGAGAAATGTTTAGAGGGCATCAGTGCCAACTTCCTGGGCACGGTGCAGGTGTGGAGAGAGCTGCCCCCAGCCTGAGAGGATGCTGGGTTGGGCTTATCTCCACTCGGAATCGAGAGAACTCACCGTCCCCAGAGCCGGACTGGCTGCCATGGGAGGCCACCCCACGAGAAGAGAGGAGGAGCCGAGGCCTGTTGCTGAGGGTTGCGGAAGGCAAGGAGGAGGACACAGAGGGGCCCTTCCCAGGCCTCTGTTATCACGGCTCATTTCTGGAGTCCCAGAGCCGGGCAGAGCCAGGCTCAGCACAGCAAGGATGACGGCCCAAGTGGAAGCACTGGCAGGGAGAGCTGGGACAGACGCAGCCCCAGACAGGCTGGACCCCAGGGACGGTAAAGGGTGCACACCGCTTGCCCCACTCGTACTCTGCGCCCAGCAGCTCCCTGGATGGTGGCCGGGCAGGAGGCTGTCCTGACTGATCCCGCAAATGTATTTACAGCTATTGACGGCCTGAACGTGGCCTATTGATCCACGCCTGAGCCTGGCCGGGCGGCGCGTGCACTTGGCCAGGGCAGCCCTGCGTGACGAATGGGCAGCTCACAGCCCACCCTCTCCGACAGGTGATTGTTTCAGTGAAAATGAGAAATGATGATCAGGGCTTAAGGCTGATGATTGAGGAAGATTTCCAGCGACTTTGCAGGTCGTCTCGGTGGTGCTAATAGCCAGGGCCTCCTACAGAGAGGCATGTTCCCCGACTAGGCAGGTCACCATGAATGTCTGCAAAGACGCTGTCCTGGCGTGGGGACCCGGGCAGGGGCACAGGAGGCACAGACGTTCCTGCCCCTTTCCCTGGCTGGGTTGCGCTGCTGAGGTGGGCCAGGTGGGGTTCACTCTTTCTGGCTTCTAAGGGGGTTCCAGACCCCAGATGGGCCTGGGGAAATGAGGGCTTTGTGTGGACAGCCCCATGGGAGAGGGGCTGTTCCCAGCCCTGGTGCCCGCCTGCCTAGTCCTCCCTGGGACTCTGGGCCCAGCCTTATCATTCCTCTCTTCTCTTCTAAGATGAAAAGAGGATTCCTGCAAGTGGAGACGAATCCTCGGGCCCCTGAGCTGCAGGTGGTGAACAAGGAGCTGAGGGCCTGCTGGTTCCCCAGGAGGGCAGGCAGGGCTGTGCTAACGAGGAGAAAGAACCGAGTGAAGGAAGGCACGGAGGTGCCAGGGAGAGACCAGGAACCTCCTCAGCTTCCTGGCTTCCTTCCTGGCCCAGGCCCCCTATTCCCGGGGCCCTAGGCTGGGCTGAGGTCCCCTCGCCCTGTGCAGGGCCTGGGGCTCAAGTTCTACCAGCTGTAGCCTGGGGCCTGAAGGTCCATCTGATATTTGAAGGACTCAGAAGGCCCTGGGAGGGTGTTGGCAGGAGTAGCCTCAGTGTTGATTCCTCGATGGCCCCTGAGCCAGGTTCAGGAGCACAGAGAGACGTGGGTGCCACCTCTCCCGAGCTTGGAGCTCACTCTTGGGGGTTGAGATGGGGCCAGGAAGGGGTTAAAGCAGGAAGCATCTTGCAGGGCTGTTAGGAAAATGATATTCTGCTGTTTGACGTCATTTTAATTCCATTTCAAGGGCATTTAATCTTATTTGCCCGATGACTAATCCCCGGCCTTGAGTGAATTAATGTGCGGCCCCTTCTCTGAGGGGAAGCGGGACCCTTTCAGTGGAGACATCGCGTCACCGCGTCCCGCCTCTTGCTTGGCTTGGCGGGCAGGGCTCCTGGCCAGAGGCGGGGGCAGCCACTGGGTGGGGGCTGTGGTGAGGACCTGACCCCTGGGTGAGGAAGAACGACTCGGCATCTCCTTAGCCCTGGAACTTTCCAGAAGCGTGCCTGCCTGCAGTTTCTCCTTTGTGCCTATGGGCAGAAAATGCCCATTTCCCAGGCCCAGGACAAAAGCTCCAGAACTGGATGCTTCGAGGCAGGTGCAGGGACCCAGGTGGCAGGGCGGGGAGCAGCGAGAGCCAGCTGCTGCATGTCCAGGGCTGGTCCACCCAGGCCACCCAGCAGGGGCCTCAGCCAGGGCCGCAGGGGCCGTGACAGGTGCTGGCATGCAGGAAGGAGTCACCAGACTTGTCCACCCAGTTGGAGAGGGCCAAAGAGAAACTGGAAACTGAGGCACAGCCGGGCAGGGGCTTGCTAGATGCATTTTTCAGAAGGGCTTGATCTTGTCCCTGGACTTTCTCTGTGATCCCACCTTGACTTTCAGCCTCACGGGGCTGGGACCCCCTCCCCTACCCCCACCCCTGCTTTGCCTTCAGTGGCCACAGGAGAAGAGGACCCATCTGCCGGGTGGGCAAGCTGAACTGTCACAGCCCCCACGCAGTCCCACGTCCCCTCTTGCTCAGGCCACAGACATGCACAGGAGATGCCAGGTCCTGTCTGCCTTGAAGAGTCCAAGGAAAAACTTTCTCGTTGTAATTTCGGGCCTTGGGGAGCCTCTAGGAGGAGGAGAGGGGGCCAGGGAGGCTCTGGTGGATGTGAGTGGAGTCTCGCCATGTGGACAGCCCTATGATGGGTGAATATTCCAGTCCTCACAGTGGGTGAGGCTGAGTGGTGGCTCCTGGGGACCAGAGATGGTCCTGGCTTAGCTCTTCGGCAGCAGCCTCTGACCTGCCTGTGCTCAGTGGGCTCCCTCCTGCCACCCCACAGGGCTGGGTGAAGCTTCTGCTTGGAACATCCTGCCCCCGGCCTGACCCTTGTGGGGTGATGGGTCCTTCCCTGAATCCAGGCTCCCCAGACTTTAGGGGCCCGGAGGCCTGGGATGGGGGAGCAGGCAGGGCCGCAGCCCCAGGAGGCGAGATGCCCTGGCTACCTTCCTCCACCTGCCCCTGCATCTGCTTTCACCTCTGCTGGTGCCTCTGAGCTTTGAGGAACTTCTGCTGAGTGCTTTAACCACCCACGGCCTGGACCTGGTTGAGCTTTTGGGTCTTCTGGGAGCGAGCATGTCCTGTGAGTACCCCAGGGTGTGATTTGCACGCAAGAGGTCTGTGTGGACCACGGGGGGCTGCAGGGGCTGCAACCTGGGCAGCCTGGGCTTGTGGGAACTGCAGCAGCTCCCGGGCCTTCCCAGGTGGTCTGGCAGGGACTGGAGGCATAGGAGGGGCTCAAGATGCTCGTTCCACCAGAATGAGCCTCCTAACACCTGGACAACCAGGTGGCACAGAGGTCAACCTGGTGACTGAAGGACAGTGTGGCCTGCAAGTTGGAGATGTTGGAACATCTGGGTTAATCAGAATGGCCCTACAAGCACAGCCATTGTAGCTGGCATTGGGGTTGACCCCAGCATCCACTGTGCCCCAGTGTTGCCCTGAGTCTGTCACCATGGCACCTACTTCCTTGCCATGGGCTTGGGGTGGCAAGGTGTGAACCAGCCAGGCAGGCTTGCCCACCCTCTGTGGGCTGCATGGGAGCAAGGAAGGTCATACTTCATGGTGGTTGGCAGCCACCGTCTGCTCAGAGCGGCCCCTACCTGACACAGAAGGCAGTACTGAGAGCGGTACTTCATCTGTCCATCCACCAATCCATCCATCCAATCTTACACCCACCTACCCATGCTTCCATCTACCCACCCATCTGTATACCCATTTATCTATCCATTTACCCATCTGCCCACCTACCCATCCATCCATCCATCCATCCATCCATCCATCCATCCATCCATCCAACCATCCATCTACCTTTCCATCCATCCATGCATCCATCCATCCATCCACCCACCCACCCATCCATCCATCCATCCATCCATCCATCCAACCATCCATCTACCTTTCCATCCATCCATCCATCCATCCATCCATCCATCCATCCATCCATCCATCCATCCATTCCATCCACCCATCCATCTACCTAAATATCCATCCATCCATCCATCCATCCATCCATCCAACCATCCATCTTCCATCCATCCATCCATCCATCCAACCATCCATCTACCTTTCCATCCATCCATCCATCCATCCATCCATCCATCCATCCATCCAACCATCCATCCATCCATCCATCCATCCATCCATCCATCCATCCATCCATCCAACCATCCATCTACCTTTCCATCCATCCATCCATCCATCCATCCATCCATCCAACCACCCACCCATCCATCCATCCATCCATCCATCCATCCATCCATCCATCTACCCATCTACCTTTCCATCCATCCATCCATCCATCCATCCATCCATCCATCCACCCACCCATTCCATCCACCCACCCACCCATTCCATCCATCCAACATTTACTTTGATCCCGCTGCATTCCTGTACTCAGACTGAGTGACAGTTCTCTGTACATAGCGTCCAGGGTGGTCACAGAGGGAAGTTCTGGGGTGGGGATGGGGCAGGCTGTGGCAACTCAGAGGAAGCCCCTGGCCCTAGCCAGGTAACAATAAAACAATATTTTTTTTCAAAAAAAGCCACCTATGAAATGTGTTATTAAACCCAATTTAATACAAATGTTTTGAAAGTCCTTGCATATGAAATTTGAAGACTAAACGATTATCCTTTGCCAGATCCCTAGTTTGGTTCTGGAAAGTAGAGTCTGTGCAGCTCGAGGAATTTCTTAAAAATTTCCTTAGAAGTTCTGACAACTGGAACTGGGTCCCCAGAGGCAGCTAGAAACAGGGTGGGTGAGGATTCTACAGTGATAATAATTTTAATAAAAAATGCTGTGACTTTATTTGGGTACCATAGGCATGGAGATCTGTTTTGCCAAACAGTGAAGCAAAAAGTCTGAGCGTGCTGAGCTGCTCTGTTTGCTTTCAGCTGTGTGGCACTGGCAGGCAATGTGATCTCTCTGAACCCCGGCTTTCTCCTGGGCAAACGGGGATGCTGGTTCCAGCCTGCGGGTGGCTGGACTCAACAGGCATTGCTTGCATCCTACTGTGGGGCCACTCCACAGGCAGGTGTTGCAGGAGAGGGACTGAGACGCATCACCCCAGGTGGCCGTGGGCGGAGAGCGCTACCCTCGCGTGGCCTGGTCTGTCCCAGCTCCTGGCTGGCCCCGGTGGAGGAGGGCAGGGTGGGTTCTCTGCTTCGGCAGGGAGCTGGCTCTGCTGTTATTGGGTTATCTCATTTGCAAACAATAAATGTCATGAGCAGGAGACCCTTGTCAGCCTCCCCTTCCAGGATGCAAATGTAGCCTTTATCCGCCTCTGCCCTTTATTAAAACAACCACGGAGCCAGCGGACAAACAAGACAATTAGCTGTGAATGATGTCATCTCCTTCTACTTTCTGTAATGAGGCCCAGGCCCTGGCAAGGGTGGTGGCGGAAGCTGGGAGAAGCCAAATCTGATTAAAGTGCGATCAAGAGGCAATGCTGACCTTTCGCTTTCAGCCACTGACCCAGCGCCTGAGAGCTGGTGCGACAGTTGGGACAACGGTGCGATGTCACAGCGATTACCTTTAACCAGGGGATATAGACTGTCCCCCGTGAGGAGGCACCAGTGGACGTCAGTCCCCAGACCCGTGGGGTGCGCTAGGCAGGGGCCGGGTGGTGGCCGAGCTTTGACACATCTCCTGGGGAGGGCACCCACTGATGCCACTGCATGGTGCCACTGCCACCATGACTATTAGTACTACAATGGCCGCCACTGCTGTGTCACCAATACCACCACCACTGCTACCATTACTACCACCACCACCATGACTACTACTACTACCATGAAGACCGCCACTGCTCTGTGACCACGGCCACCACCACCACCACCACCACCACCACCACCACCGCCACCACCACCACCACCACCACCACCACCACCACCACCACCACCACCACCACCACTGCTACTATTTTTTTTTTTTTTTTTTTTGAGACGGAGTATCACTGTGTTGCCAGGCTGGAGTGCAGTGGCGTTATCTCGGCCCACTGCAACCTCCATCTCCCGGGTTCAAGTGACTCTCCTGCCTCAGCCTGTTGAGTAACTGGGATTACGGGTGCGCACCACCACGCCGGGCTAATTTTTGTATTTTTAGTAGAGACGGGGTTTCACCGTGTTGGCCAGGCTGGTCTCGAACTCCTGACCTTGTGATCCACCCGCCTCAACCTCCCAAAGCGCTGGGATTACAGGCGTGAGCCACCGCTACTATTACTATCACCGCCACCATGACTACTACTGCTGCTGTGATGAGCGCCCCTGCTCTCCTAGGACCACCACCGCCACCACCACCACCACCACCCCGGCTATAA
Organism: Homo sapiens; assembly: GCF_000001405.40. Classification (NCBI taxonomy): domain Eukaryota; kingdom Metazoa; phylum Chordata; class Mammalia; order Primates; family Hominidae; genus Homo; species Homo sapiens. The sequence continues at coordinate 104,301,411 of NC_000014.9, forward strand.
CTACCACTATCACTGCTGCCACTGCTACTGCTATCACTACCATTACTATGGTCACCACCACCTGTATTAATACCACTACTACTATCACTCCTGCCACTATTACCACCGGTAGTGCTGTTACTGCTACCACTGTCACCAGCACGTCCACCACCCCTCCTACTCCCACTGGCAATATTATCACTACCACCACTGCTATTACTATCACCCTCCTGCACCCCCACTGCTACTGTTACCGCTGCTGCTGGTAGCGGTGGACACACTAACCACGTGGACGACCTGCCAGGACCTCCTAAGCACACGGTACTCCAGCTGCCTCATTTCCTGGACTCACGACGGTGCTGTGATGAGCTGGTGGCCACATCTCCATTTCACACAGGGGAAGCTGCACCAGGGCCCTCAGGGGATCCGCCCCAGGCCGCATGGGCGGGGAAGGGGAGCTGAGCCGGAGCCACTCCACCTGGTGCCGGGCCTGTGCCCTTTCCAGGGCAACCGATGTCTCAGAGTCCTGGCCCCAGAGCAGAGAGCCTCTGCACCCTGGAAGGTCCTGCTTGCTGGAGTGAGGGGCCTGCGAGGACCGGCCCTGTTCTCAAGCCCAGCCGTGGACCTGCGTGGGCTGCCTGGCGGGCCTCATTCTCTCTGCAGTGGGAGAAATGTGCAGTCAACCCTGAGCGAACGTCTAAACCTCCAAACACACCACGACTTTCAAAGCCTCATTTTCTATCCCGAGCAGCCTCGCTCTGTGAGACGGGCCCAGCTGCTGTGTCCGTGGCCACCTGCCTGGACTGGGGTTGGCTGCTGCCGACACACATGTGCTCTGTGTGAGTGCGCATGTGTGTACCACGGTTGTGTGGACAGGAGGGTGGGCACGGACCCTCGGGGTGGGTTCTGTTTCCCGGGGAGAGACAACACCCAGGCTCTGTGGGATGCTGAGTGGAGCGGGAGGCAGGCAGTGTGTGTTCACTGGGACAGAATTCTTCCCTCCCCACATCCCTTTCTTCCTGAGACTCACCCAGATTGAGCGCTGACGCTCTGCAGCCCTGGGTGGCCCCAGCAGCACCCCCAGCCCAGCGTCAGCCTTGGGGAGAGTCATGGTTAACAGCACAAACTGTGAACCCAAAGGATTCGAATCCCAGCTCTGCCTCCCATGAGCTGTGTGACCTTGGGCAGCTGACTTAAACTTTCTGAGCTTCTGTTTGCTCATCTGTAAAATGGGGCAAACGGCAGGATCTCCCTCATGAGGTTGGTGTGAGGGTGATACGCACTAAGCGTAGCTAGCACCCAGCAAATGTTTATGTTATTGTTACATTATCACAGAAAAATGCACCAGAATTTAAACAACGCTGACAATAAATATGCAGTCGATGATGACTTCCCAGAGCTCCAGAAGCAACTCCAGCACACGGAGAGGCGCTGATGTGCCTGTCAGGTGCTGCTACTGAGGAAGCCGTTGCTGGTCTCCGGAAGCTCTTGTATCCCCAGGAGTGCCGTCTGCCTGGCCTCCCCATTCCTGCAGTCCCGGTTGTCATCTATGTGGGCCAGGCCATGAGCCCTCCAGGCAGGCTGTGCTTCAACCCATCCCCTGCACCAACAGCAGCCTGCTCATCTCCAAGCTCAGCTCAGCCCAAGAGCAGAAAGGGAGTGTGCTGGAAGCAGGTTCAGGAAGATGAGCGTTCATGGGCCGTCTGCATGCCCTGGGCTGGGGAGCTCTCAGTGGGAGCCACGTGGGGTCGAGGATTGGGGGAGGCTATGCAGGCCCAGGGGCCTCGGGCTTTCGAGCTCAGGCTCTGGAATAGCCTTCTTCATGCACCCCCACACAGGGACTGACACTGATTTGCAAGAATGCCATTTCGAAATTTCACATCACACTTCCACCATGGCCCCAGACAGCAAGCCCGGCCCAGCCCCAGACAGGCAGGCAATGGGCATCTGCTCATCATCCAGCACCCTGGAGAGAGCAGGAATGAGTGCCGTGGTCCAAGTGCGTTCACTGGACTCTAAGAGGGGAGTGGGAGACCTTTCTGGAGACCCTTCCCTGGTGTATCAGTTTGCCAGGGCTGCCATAACAAAGACCGTAAACTAAGTAGCTTAAAACAACAGAAATGGTGTTCTCCCACAGGTGTGGGAATCCAAAGCCCACCTTCGAGGTATGGACGGGGTTGGTTTCACATAGGAATTTTGGGGGGACAGTTTGGCCCAGAACCCCTGGAGAGGAAGCCTAGAACCCACAGAGGGTTAGCCCTGAAGGCAGGTAGAGTAGTGCCAGGTGGGTGACCCATCCCTTAGGGGTGCCCCTCTGGATCCTGCTGGGCCCTGGGAGGAGATGGCCCCAAGTGGAGCTGGTGGCAACTGGCCGTCCCCTGCCAGGGTTCCCCTGCTGGAGACCGTGGTGGCTGAGTCATCGCAGGTCCTCAGGCCGGTCTGGGTGGACGTGGAGGGTGCTCAGGATGTGTGGCTGGATGCACCAAAGAATGAACGAGCGCCCTGCGGGAAACACGGGGAGGTGAGCCGGAGACCCCTGCTCTGCAAGCTGCCCGGGTCTGGCCAGCGGGCACTAGTGTGGGAGTTCAGCTGGCAACCCCCGACAGCCTTCTGAGCACGGCCCCCTTACCAGGTGCCGCCGCTTCCCAGCCTCCAGCCCCACCCCACCTCGGGGATCCTGCCCAAGGTCTGCTCTGCCCGGAAGTGAAGGAGAAGCCCGTTCTCTTCCCCCTCGGGCTGGGGAAGAGCTCACAGCCCAGGTCACGCCACAGAAATCCCCTCCTCATCTGGCCCTCTGACTCCACCTTTCCACGCTGTCCGTGGGACCAGGGGCTGAGCCGTCAGCGGCCGTGGACCTTGCCTTGATCCCACACTGGGCCCCGAGCCACTTTCTGCACATGATCTCTCCCAACCGCATCATCATCATCTTCTTCCCAAGTCCCCAGTGCAGCCCTGGGGGCCTGTCCTGTGAGACCCCTGAAGAGAGAGACCCCGGCAGGGACACTCTCACTGTGACAATGTTGAATTTACCTGAAGGTTAAGAAACCCTCTATTCTGGTGTTCCGGAAAACAGCTGATGGCAGCGGGGAGCCCCCTTGCCCGTAAGATGCTGGAAAACACTCCCAGATGCTCCTCATTTCCAGGGCCAGGCCCGACACATGCCCTCGAGTTCTTGTGTGGCCTCACGAGTGACTGGCTGCTCAACTGGAAGGAAAGGCGTGTTACTCAGCCTCGGTTCAGCTCCTCACTCCCCTCGAGCCCCGAACCTTGGCTGCCCTCACTCGAGCCAGCAGATGCCTTCCTGAGAACAGGCGCACCAGGGCCAACCACGCTTGGCTCTGACGTCTCTGTCCTGCAGACTGTCCCCGCTTCCCCACGCCACCTCCTCCCAGCTCTGTGGACGCCTCTTTCTAAAAGAGAAGCCCTTTCCCCTTACCCTGGAGAAGCCTGCAGCCCTTTGGTGAGGCGGGGGCATTCTCCCACTGGATTGCCCTTCCAATCCAGTGTCACCTGTGGCGACAGCCCGCCTCCCCCTTGCAGTAACCCTCTTGAATAAACGCCTCTCCTTACCAGTCTGCCTCTGTCCTTTCTTTGATAATGCAGAGGAGACAGAGGAGGCCAGGTGCAGTCCGACTCAGGGGTGGCTGCAAGGTTGGCAGGGACTTCGGTGACCCCTGTATTAGGGTTCTCCAAAAATGCCAACAGAGCCTGTGTGTGTGTGCATGCATGTGTATGCATATGTGTGTATGCATGTGTGTACGCATGTGTGTGCACACGTGTGTGTGTGTGTGTGGATGTGTGTTTATTATAAGGGATTGGCTCATGTGGTTATGGAGGCTGGGAAGTCACTGGATGTGCCGTTGCCAAGTTGGAGACCCAGGAGCGCCAATGCTGTGAGTTCCAGTCCCATCCAAAGGGGGAAGACAGATGTCCCAGCTCAGCAGTCAGCAGAGTCAGTTCTCCCTCGCTTCACCTTCTTGTCCTGTGCAGGCCTCCGACCTACTAGACAGGGCCGCCCACATGGGGAGCACCCCTGCTGGACTCAGTTCACTGACTCCAGTGTTGATCTCCTCCGGAAGCAGCCTCACACATACCCAGAGTCATGTTTGACCAAATGTCTGGGCACCTTGTGTCCCAGTCACATTGACACATGTAATGACCCATCACAACCCCTGAGAGCACCGGCTTTGTGAACTGGGCTGCTGCGGATGGGGCGGGGTGGGAGGTGTCCCAGGGCTCTGGAAACCTGTGTTTCAGGGTCACATGGGTGCTGAGGTCACCATGCCACTCCCTGGCCCTGGTGGCTGTGTCAGCCCTGACCCCGGACTTGACTTGGGCCTCAGCCCTTGTGTTGGAGACGCCAAGTGGCAGCCCCTCGCCTGCTCACCTTCACTCTTAGGGGCAGGATGCTTCGGCCAAAGCCTCTGCCTTGACGGCATCGCCTTGATGTGAGCACACGTGGCTCGGAGAAGCTCAGGGTCTCGCTGCACTTGGGCCTGGCCGCAGGTGTGTGTGTGGCTGCCCTGTGTGCAGGGTGTGCATGCACAGCACTCTGACTTCCCGTGCGCTCCCAGCTCCCCAGCACTCTGCTCTGCTGCATCCTTGGGGCCACAGCGAGATGTGAGATCTGCAGCCAGGATCTGGGAGTGACCATGTGACAAGAAAACCTCGGCCCCTTCCTTCCCCTGGGGAAGCCCGGGGGCCTTTGCCTGCTCAGGTCTGCTGGGCCCTTGTGGCCACAGTGAGTGGTCATTTCCACAGCAGGTTTTGTGACCGTGTCGGCACTGCCCGATGCATGGGCAGAGCCACCAGCTGTCGGGCAGACGGGCAGCTGAACCCTGGTTTTGACCCTGGGAGATGGGGGCCTTCATCAGCTGTTTGCCGGTAGCTGCCCTGAGACTTGCTCCTGAAACAGAAGAGGGCCTGGAGCCTGTGCAGATGGCCTGGGGAGGCTGGTGCGAGGGTGGGCGGCGGGGAGGGCAGAGCAGGCAGGGGCGCCGGTGTGCTGGGATCTCTGAAAGCACCAGCTCCAGTATTTCTTTTGTCAAAGGCAGGCATGTGGTTTGGTCCCTAGAATAAAATCCCCCCTTTAGTCGCCAGAGGCTTGGATTTTCATGCCTGCACTGGGGGTGAGGCTCCGAGGCTGATTCTTGACTCCTGGAGTTTTCAGCCCCTCTGGGGGCTCCTGGGAGGGATGAGGCTGCTTCTGCCATGAGGCCTGGACCCCTGCAGAGTTGGAGGTGTGGCCCAGAGCGGGGTGGGCTCGGTGACTTTCGACCCTTGCTGTGAGGTGAGCTCAGGAGGGAACTTCAGGACTGGGGGCATAGGAGGGAGCGAGAGGTGAGTGGCCAGGGCGGGTCGCGAGCACAGCGGGGCCCTGGGAGTCCAGGGGCATGACTACAACCTGGGCTGGAGCCCGGAGGGCACGTGAGGGGCTTCACCTGGGAGCCGGCTGGTCAGAGGTTGAGCTGGTGGTGCGTTCCTGCAGGGCCCTGGCAGCTGGGGCAGTGAGCCACAAAGGTGCCATGGCTGGTGAGGGGAGCACATGCAGCCAGGCGCAAGAAGCAGGGAGCGCCTGATGGGATGGCGAGGCATGGGCTACAGGGGCCTGTCCTGGCCCTGGGGGGTGCAGGGGTGCTGGAGTCATCAGCTTCCCTCTGTACCACATTTCAGTCCTCCCAGGAAGCAGAAGTGATGGTTCTCGGGGCTCCAGGGTGTGGTGGCGGTGACGGCCCCACAGGCTGCTGTCTGTGGGTTTTCCTCTCCTTGCTTGGAGCCACCTTTTCCCCTGCTGACTTTAGCTCATGGTCCCTTCAGTCTGGGAAGATTTATGGGCCTCCTTCTGGGTGCCGGGGACGTGGGCCAGATCAGGTGGTCTTGCCAGAGGGCTGGCGGTGGGAATGGGAGTGATCCTGACATGCAAACAGGAGTACCAGGCAGGGCCAGAGCCGTAGGGTCTGGGATTCAGCCAGCCTGGGGGCCTCTCCTGGGAGCTGCCCTGTTGGGGTTCCAGGGGTATGAATGCCCCTGGTGGGTGGCCCTCAGTTTGCTTGTCTTTGAAATGGGCCGTGACCAGGCTCCCCAGGGTGCCTGCCCAGTGCCAGGATGGGGTGTGAGGTTGGGATTGCAGCTGCCACCACAAGCCAGGCAGTAGGACAAACATGGTCTCAGAGGGTACGCCTGGGCACAGGTGACCCGGACACCATGTGGGGCAGCCGAAGGGGGCAAGAGGCTGGGGCTGGAATCCCACCAAAGGTGCCTGGCAGCCTGGGCAGGAGAGGGCCGGGGAGGGGGCTGCCCTCTGCCCCAGTGACCCTGCATTGGGCAGTCCCTGGGCCCTGACCTCAGCACCGCCCCTGGCCCGGCACCTCGTTTTTCCACTTGGACCCCTCCCTGGCTTCCTGGCCATGCCATCGCCTCATCCAGCCCTTCCCTGGGCTATCAGGGCTGGGCCTGTTTATGCAGCTGGGGCCAGAGGAACCAGCTCCAATGCCGAGACAACGCAGGCACAGCCATTAGTCATGGGTGGAAATCAGAAGTTAGACGAACCAAGGTCCGAACGTCAGGGATGGCGTTCGGGAGCGCAGGTGTGGGGCCGGGCCAGGCCGCAGGCTCCTTGGTGGGAGCCCCAGACTTGGGCCCATGGGCCTCCATCAGCCCAGCCACACCATCACCTGCACTGAGCCGAGCTCTCCCCCGGGGCTCGGATCCGCTGGGTGCTGATAGGCCCCTGTCCTTGGCTCAGGGCAACTCTGGGGAAGTCTGGAATCCTTTGAATGGTGCAGATTGCTGTGACTCACGGCTGTGGGGCCATGAGGGACTGGCGGCCGCCCAGCCTGCAACCTCGTTTTGAAACCTCAGGGTAGACCCCTGTGCAGCCCCAGGCCACCCTGGTCACTGCCCTCAACTGGGTCCTCATGCCCGAGCATGCTGTCCTGGGCCATGACCCTGCCCACGGGCTCTTCCTGCCCCTAGCCCAGGGACTCAGAGTCACACAGTGGATGGGACCCCACAGTCATGTAGGCCACATTCTGATTGTGTGGTGGCCCACACGCCTCCAGAAATGGGGCTTGCTGTTTGCCAGAGGCCAGAGGGCACAAAGAGGTCTCGGATTAGGCCCCTATATCCCAAAGAAGGATGGCTCTATATCCCAAAGAAGGACGGCTCTATATCCCAAAGAAGGATGGCTCTATATCCCAAAGAAGGATGGCTCTAGATCCCAAAGAAGGACGGCTCTATATCCCAAAGAAGGATGGCTCTATATCCCAAAGAAGGACGGCTCTATATCCCAAAGAAGGACGGCTCTATATCCCAAAGAAGGATGGCTCTATATCCCAAAGAAGCGTAGCTCTATATCCCAAAGAAGGACGGCTCTATATCCCAAAGAAGGATGGCTCTAGATCCCAAAGAAGGATGGCTCTAGATCCCAAAGAAGGACGGCTCTATATCCCAAAGAAGGACGGCTCTAGATCCCAAAGAAGGATGGCTCTATATCCCAAAGAAGGACGGCTCTATATCCCAAAGAAGGACGGCTCTATATCCCAAAGAAGGACGGCTCTATATCCCAAAGAAGTCCCCCTTGGCTGCCCACCCAAGGGAAATGGAAAGTTGATTGGCAGCATCTGCCAAGTCCTGGGGAGGGTACCCTATCCCGGAGCCCTGTGGGCCGGCAGCTGGTGCTGGTGCCCTGCAGCTGACCAGGCCCAGGCTTGGGCTGCTGGCATCCCTCCTGAGGGCACCTGCGTAATGATAGCACGATTAGACCCATACCCTGCAGGGACAATTCAGAGAGGCAGAAACTGTCATTGCTAATTGGTAATTCCATAAATTAGACAGTAAAGACAGATGTTGTGAGTATTGGAAAAACGCTGTCAAATAATTGGGTTATTCTCATAAGAGGAGAGGCGATTTGCTACCTGTCAAACAGCATTTCACCCCTGCCTGTTGCCTGCCTAGCTGGATAGAGGCTGGCTGGGGAGGGGCCCCAGGACCCAGGGCCCCTTAGAATTCTCCAGGGCCCCAACATCAGGGGGCAGGGAGCCCTACTGCCAGCTGGGAGAGGCCTAGGCTTCCCCATTCCCCATAGGCCCCTTCCTTACTGTCTTTCCCAGGGTGGACCTCCTCTCTGCCCCCCAGGCTCACATGAGCAGCCCCCTTGCCCGGAAGCTCTCTGTCTTCCTGTGCACCTTCTAGTCCTGGGAGACCCTACTGATGGCATACCTCCAGCAGGAAGCCTTCCCGGCCCCATGCAGATGCGGGGCCTATAGCCTCAACTGCAGCTTTGGGGGAAGCTTCAGGGCATGGGGGGTCTTGTTACTTCTTTCCCTCAGCATGAGCCCTACCTGCCCAGTGCTCCTGGAGGTGAGGAATCACATCTGCACAATGCCGTGGGCTCCATCCCACCTCCCACAGGCCTGCCCTGATGCCAACTGGGAGATGAAGTCACAGGTGAGAGGGCTCGTTCTGGGGCTTCAGCTCCTCCTGCAAGGCTGCAGACTCAGTGTGCACGAGACACATCTTGCCTGGAGCAGACAGCCTCGGGACAGGGAGCTCATGCCTTACCTGGAGAGTCTGGCCTTCAGCTCGATGCTCTGCCTGCTGAGAAGCTTGCTTGCCCCACTGGGGCCTCCCTTGTTAGAGCCTTCCCTAGCATGGGGGAGTGAAGGGCCCTGTAGAGAAGGCTGGACGTGGGCTTCACGTGGGACCTGGACAGGGGCTGCCTTGCCTCCCTGTGTCGAGTTGAGCTGCTTCTCCATCCTGGGCCCCAGGCCCCAGGGAGCTGCACCCTGGCCACTTGGCAGATTCTGGGACAGCCTCAGGCAGTCCAGAGTTTGGACAAGGAGAGGGCTGCTCTGGGGTAGGCAGTGGCCAGGCATTGCTCTCTGCTGCACCCCTCCAACTCTATGCACAGTTGGCAGGAAGCTGGGTCTCTGGGCCTGACAGCCCTGAGTGATCTGTGGGAGAGACAGTGTGGAGAGATGGACAGGGCTGCAAACATATCTGAAGAGAAGCAGGAAGAGACCTGGGGTGACCCCAGGTGGAGCTGCCTCTGCCCTCCCCTGATTGCCTGCTCTGGCCCATCTTCTCCAGGTAACAAATGGCCCTGAAGCCCACCTCTGGCATGCTTGCAGCCCCTTGGCAGTGCTGGGATGTAGGCTGGGTAGGGAATCCTTTATAGAAGCCCAGAGCAACAGATGAACTTGGGGAGGGCTCCCCTATGGAAGCGACTTTGGGACTGAGTCAGGGCAGGGAAGAGCACTGCAGGCAGGGACACGGCAAGTGCAAAAGCCTTGGGGTGGCAGGGAGTGCCAGGAGCATGCAGGGCTATGGCAGGGTGGCAGGGAGTGCCAGGAGCATGCAGGGCTATGGCAGGGTGGCAGGGAGTGCTAGGAGCATGCAGGAGTGTGGTGGGTGGGGTGGTTGAAGGGAGAGGGACAGTGTGGCAGTGATAGGGGGCCCCAGGGGTGGATGGAGCAGTTCATTTGGAAACAATACAGTCCATTGATCAAAAAGAATCTCAAAGGAAATTTTAAAATTACCCAAAACAGTATAAAAAACAAGCGAACTACAAACTAATAACCCCTCATGAATACAGACATAAAATCCTTACCAAAATATTAGCAAACAGAAGTCAGTAGTATATAAAAAGAATATACACTATGACTCAGTGGGTTTATTCCAGGGATGCAAGGCTGGTTTAATATTTGAAATCAGTCAATATCATTCATCATGTTAACAAGCTAAAGAAGAAAAAAAAAATCACATGATAGTGTCAATCTATGAAGAAAAATCATTTAACAAAATCCAGCACTCATTCATGATAAATTATCAGCAAACTGGGAATAGAGGATGATACGGTTTGAATATAGTTTGTCCCCTCCAAAACTCATGTTGAAATTTGATTGCTATTATGATGGTGTTGGGGAGTAGGACCTAATGGGAAGTGTTTGGGTCATGGGGATGGATCCCTAATGAATAGATTAATGCCATCTAACCACAGTGCATTCTCCTTCTCTCAGGACTGGGTTAGTGATTGTGACAGTGAGTTGCTATAAAGTGAGATTTCTCTTTGTGTTTGCTTTTGCATTGCACATGCCTGCTTGCCTTCCCGCTTCACCATGTCTCGATATAGCACAAGGCCCCCACCAGAAGCTGAACAGGGGCTGATGCTGTGCTCTTGGACTTTCCAGCCACCAGAATCGTGAGCCAAATAAACCTCTTTTCTTTATAAATTACCCAGCCTCTTAGGTTCTGTTATAACAACACTAAGTAGACTAAGACAGAGGTGAAGTTCCTCGTTTGCTAAAGAACATCTACAAAAACCCTACAGCTAACTTTATATACTTAAAATTATAACTAACTATGTAATTAATACTGAATTTCTTTCCCCAAGATTGGAACAAGTATATATATATATACTTAAAATTATAACTAACTATGTAATTAATACTGAATTTCTTTTCCCAAGATTGGAACAAGTCAAAGATGTGTAATTTCACCATTCTTATTCAACATAGTGCTGGAAGTTCTAGCTCTTGCAATAAGACAATGAAAGCAAATAAAAGACATAGTATATATATCTGAAAGGAAGGAATATGACTATCCCTACTTGCGGAGGTTGTCTACATAGAAAATCTGAAGGAATTGACAAAATATTCCTAGAACTAATCAGGAATTCAGCAAAGTTTCAGTGTACAAGATAAACATACAAAACTCAATTGTATTTCTATATCCTAGCAATGAACATGCAGATGCTGAAATTAAAAATAGAATACCATTTACAACTACTCAAAAAATGAAATAGTTATAAATTCAACAAAACATGTACAGGACTTGTGCTGAACAGTATACAACATTGATGAAAGAAATCAAAGATATAAATAAGTAGAGAGAATGACTATGTTCATGGATTAGAAGACAACATAGTAAAGAGGCCAATTCTCCCCAAATTGATATGTGGGTTTAATGCTATTCCTATAAAAATCCCAGCAAGCTTATTTTGTAGACACAAACAAGATAATTATAAAATTTACACGAAAACAAGAAAGACTTAGAATAGCTGAAACAATTTTGAAAAAGAATAAAAAAAAATCCTGCCATCCAATTTCAAGACTTTTTAGATAGCTATATTAGTCTAGATGGTGGTATTTGGTCAATTGGCTGAGGGATGGACCCACAAACCAATGGACTAGAACGAGAGAACTCAGGAGTGGAGCTACACAATAGTACCCAAATGATTTTTGACAAAGTGAGATCTCACAAAGTGCAAAAGTAATTTAATGGAGGACAAATAGCCTTTTAGCAAATGTTACTTGAGCAGAAAGAGAGCCTCAGTCTAAACATATCACACGTTATACAAAAATTAACTCAAATTGGACAAATAGTTTAAGTGTAACAGGTGAATCCAAGAAACTTTTAGAAAAAAGCATAGGAGAAAACCTTTGGGAACTAGGGGTAGGCAAAGAGTTCATAGACTTGACACCAAAAACATGGTCCTTAAAGGAAGCATTGATAAATTGGACTTCATCAAAATTAAAAATTGTCACTCTATGATAGAATCTGTTAAGAGGATGAACAAGCTACAGAATAAGAGAAAATATCTGAAACCACATACCTGACAAAGGATTAGTATCTAGTATATACAAAGTACTCTCAAAACTCAACAGTAAACAAACCTTAACAACCCAATTAGAAAATGTGCAAGACCCCTGCAGAGACATTTCATTGAAGAGAGAAGATAGATGGCAAATAAACAGATGAAAAGATGTTTGACGTCATTAGCTACGGAGGAAATGCAAATTAAAACACAAGGAGATGTCACTACACACCTGTCAGAATGACTAACTTTTACAAAGAATGAAAACACCAAATGCTGGTGAGGATGTGGAGAAGCTGGATGGGAATGTAACACAGTATTGCCACTCTAGAAAGACAGTTTGGCAATTTCTTTAAAAACTCAATTACCCTATGATGCAGTTGTTATATTCCTGGTCTTGTATTCCAGAGATATGAAGACATGTTCACATAAAACATGTACATTACTGATTAGAGCAGCTTTATTCACCATAGCCCTAAACTGAAGTCAACCCAGATGTCCTTCGATGGGTAAATGATTAGACAAACCATGGTGCCTCCACACCATGGAGCACCACTCAGCCAGGAAAAGGAGCGAGCTAGTGACACGTCCAGCCACCTGGGTGAATCTCTAGAGAATTATGCTGAGTGAAAAATGCCAGTCCCCAAAGCTTACATACTGTATGTATGGTTTCATGTATATAACGTTCTTGAAATGGCAAATTTATAGAAAGGGAAGAAGAGACTGGTGGTTAGCAGAAATTAAGGAGTGGGTGCAGGGGGTGAGAGGAAAAGTGGGTGTAGCTACAAAAGAGCACCCTGAGGGTCCCTGAGGGGTGGGTGCTCTGTGTCCTGGTTGCATCCATCAACACCCTGGTGGGGATACCGTGCTAGAGTTTTGCTGGAGGTTTCCACTGGGGGGGACGGAATGAAGGACACATGGGATCTGTTTGTGTTATTTCTTGTAGCTGCTTGGGGATCAACAATAATCTCTGAATAAAAAGTGTAATAAGTAAAGCAATAAAAACAACGAATAAAGGCATATGTATCACCAATTTAACCTGCTTGGGACGTGGCCCCTCCCTGTTCTCACTCTCTAGGTCTTCTTCTCGGCTGGATGTTGGGTTTGGGGGAGGGCAGGGGTATGGGAGGGAGGGGCTGCTCTCAGAGCATATGGAACTGCAGGCTCTTCTCATTGAAGGAGACGCATTTCCATGTCAAGGTTAGGAAACTTCTGAGGACGCATCAGAGGAACCTGAGGCCTCTGAGGCTGGGGGAGTCCCCTTCTCTCACCACGTTCCCCGGGGCAAGGCCCAGCTTCGACCTCAAGGTCCCCCGTGCCAGGTCAGGCCCTGGATGGGCCTCTGGGCATGTCCTGGCTCCATCTGCCTCCATCCCAGCCTGGATGCGTGTGTGGAGATCCCAGCCTGGATGCGTGTGTGGAGTGGACGACAGGCCTCCCAACTGCTGAGCAAACTGCACGAGCCACACACCTTTCTCAGCATCGTGCTTGCTGCCTGTCTCAGCACAGACTTGAGGGGGGGCCTTTGCTGAGACCCTGGATGAAACCCTGCAGCCAAAGGACAAGCCCGGAACAGGCCTGCAGGTGCCACTTCCAGAACGCCTTACTGCTCCTTGTCCAAGGAGTGGCTGCAACTCCACCTTTTCCCTGGAACAGGCCACCGGGGCATGTGGGTGAAGCCTGAGGGTCACTGCACCAGGCACCCTGCCTTGGGGTCAGCTGGACCTGTGGCCTCGGAGGACTCGCTTCCTGGCTCCTGCTCTCTTCTGTGGCCTGTTGGGCTCACTGCTGCAGGCCCAGCGTGGACTCTCACCCAGAGTCAGCGCCCGGTGCCTGGGGGCCCCTAGGGTGGAGGAACTCAGTCAGTCCCCAGGTGGTCTGAGCCGCCCATTGGATGCCCAGCCCTGCACAGTGGCCCTGCCCCGCCCTGCCCAGCCCTGCCTCTGGGGTCTCCACCTGCCTCGGAACAGCCCGGTCATTCTCATCCCCAGTGTTTCAATTGAAATGTCCTACCAAGGGCTTAAATTAAAAACCAAACACTCAAAGCACCAGTGCCTTTTAGATGACTAAAATAAAAACCTAATTGAATTTTCCTAGGGAAAAATATCTCGTGTAAATTTAGCTAAGGGAGTGAAAGAGTGGCTCTTTAAAAATAGATATATATGGTTTTTAATTCAGAGTTATTTGCAAAGCAAATTAAAGAAATTAAAAAAAAACCTGCTCTGCCAATGGGGAGACTGGATCCAGACAAAGAGGAGCTTGCGAGGCTTGGCGAGCACGGGGCGGAGCCAGGGGCCGACCCCACAGTCCTGCCCCTGCCAGCCTGGCTCTGGGGCAGCTGGCCCTGGACCGGGCTCCTCCTGCAGGGCCGGTGCTTCCATCCCCGGCGTGAGTGCCCATGTCCTATGTTCGTGTGCTCTTGTTTTTCAGGCTTTGAGCTGGATCTATGGGGTCTGGGCTCAGCTACCGGCTCCTCACCATGGAAGCCAAGATGCTGAGACCCCAAAGCCAACGAGGCAGAGCCGCCACCTCTCAGCCCCTCCCCAATCTCGCCCTCACTGCACCCCTGCCCACCTGAGGACAAACCTGGCCTCATGTCTTTTCTTTGCTGACCCTTCTTCTATTTGGGGAAGGGATTTAATAAAACAAAACAAAACAAAACAAAACTGAAGCTCTCTGCTGAGAACCAGACTAAACTGAAATCTCATTCCTGCATGGGACCCTCCCATCCACTGCCCCTGCTCCCAAAGGAGCAGAGCAGGCCTGGCTTCAACCACCAACACCCTGCCTTTGCCTCCACAGCACCATGCCCATGGCAGGGGCCACCTTTAAGACATGGGACGAACTCCCCCACCCCAAATTTGGCCCAAATGTTGAGGCTTCTGACACCACACACACCCCATGGGGGAGTGAAGGGCTTGTCACTCATATGGTGGGGCTTTCTGGGGACAGCAAGGCAGCTCCCAAGGTCTGGAAATAGCTTGGGAGAGCAAGAGGGCCCTGGCTTTGGGGTTTATGTGGCCGAGTGGGGAGTGGGGCCGGGTGGGGGGGTCCCCAGGCTGGCCCAAGCTGGGGCATTTGGAGTTTTCCAGGGTGCCAAGGAAGGAGCCCCCAGGACATAAAACGTGAGCCCAACTTTATGGCCTGTGACCTTCCAGCCTGGCTGAGCACCTGCCTGGCCTCAAGGGTGCTTCTGCCAACCCTGTGTGCGATGCCCAGCAGGCGGGGCTGCGATCTCCTTGGCCCTTGCCATGGGCAGCCCTGGCCCATCTTCTGGGACTCAGAATTTCCCACTGGGCCCTCTATCTGCCTCCAGGGCCAGTCCCAGCCTGGCTGTCACAGGCCAGGAGGCCCTGCCCCATGCAAGGAACTCACCAAGGACACTGCCCTTCCGTCTGTGGCACTGCTGCTTTTGCCTGCCGGAGGGCAGGTGGGGAGCGGCTGTCCGTGCCTCCTCTCCAGGAAGAAAGGCACTGCAGCCCGTCACAGGTGCTTCCAGGTTGGCGGAGGGGCAGGGCTTGGGCTGCAGGGCCACTGCAGGTGAGACCTGACAGGTGCAGGCGGGCGCCGTGAGGGAAGCGTGTGCAGGGGCCCAGCCTGGGCGCCTCCCCTCCAGGGACACCCATTTCCACCCTTCCTTTGGAGGCTTCCTCTTGGCTGGAAATTCAGAGTTCACTCCCACAGGCAAAGGTTGAATCGCTGATGCTGCGCCAGGCGAACGCCATGCACCGCGGCCCCGTCAGGGACACATTTTAATTAAGTGAGGACAAGAGAGGTGCCCTGCCGTTCCTGGGGGGACCCTGGACTGCCACCAGCATCTCATGACACACCTGTCAAATCATCACGGTCCTGGCAAGAAGTTCGGGAGGGCTGGGGGCAGGGGGCTGGGAGAAGAAGGGTTGCCCCTGGAGTCAGCCCGGCCTTTCCTCAGCTTCCAGAAGGAGGTGTGTCTTGGGAGGATGTGGGCAGAGCAGAGGCAGGGAGGCCCGGGTGCAGGCAGATGGTGAATGGCCCTTGGGGCAGCCATGAGATGTGTGGGGCTTCAGGACCCCAAAGGCCTATCTGCTCTGCATCTTTGAGGACACCCACCCTCAGTCAGCCTGCAGCCTCTCCATGGGGACTTGCCCTGCTTCCCTCCCGCCATCCTGCAGCTGGGGCCCCTGCCCTGCAGCCCCCACCCCAGAGAGTGCCCCACACATAGGCCACAGAGCTTCAGCCCCCGGCTAGCCGGGGAAGCTCAGCCTCTGGGTAACAGTCTTGTGTGCCTGCATCCTGGAGCCAGGGATGGCCTTTTGGGACCCAGCCTATTTATGCCAGGGTTACTCCAGGAAACTCAAGCCTTGTCCTCTTCTGAGCCTCTCGGACTAGGGGCTCATGGAGCTGTTGCTCAGTGAGGGCATTTGGGGCTTTCCCCTGCAGCATGGACAGGCCTGGTTTTGACGGACAGGAGCATCTCCAGGTTCCCCCGAGCCACACACTGCTAGGGAGCACCCTCTGCTGCATGGGATTGACTTCTGGGGCTTGGCCGGAGGAGCTGTGTATCCTTGGCACGCGCCTGTTCGTGAGGAGGCAGCGTTTTCTTCCTGTGAGTTCTGCTCCCTGGGAAGACAGCGGTTCATGGCAGGCAGGCTGGGTGGACTGCAGCCGTTGCTCTGGCCTACTGTGGACCCGACAGGTACTAACGCGCTCCGTGCACGCTCTGCTTCACCCGAAAATGGGGTTGTGGGCAGGGGCAGAGTGACGTGAGTGGACGTGTGTGTGTCTGTGCCCAGCACGACGCCAGCGTGTGCTCTGGAGATGAATGCTAACAGGCACAAAACAATTGATAAGGTAAAATCAGTTTCTTAATAAACACTGCCTTGTCCAAGGTATGGACACTAACGTGAGAGGTGAAGGCTGAACTGCAGGGATTTCAGGGGTTTGCACATGAATCCCTGTTTTTCAGGCTCCCCAAGACATTGAGCATATGGGGAGCCCTTTGCAGAGCACCTGAGTGAAGTGAGTCCCCTGACTTTACTGGGGAGTCACAGCTGTCACCCATCATGGCTCAGCCTTCGGTCTCCTCCACGGCACACCTGTGAGCAGCCGGGCCCAGCCCTCCTTGTCCTGAGTGGCCTGGCCCGAGCTGTGGCCAGTGCTGCTGGGGCAGCCCCACTAGACCTGGGGACAGAAGAGGACTGGGAAGGGCCCGTGTGCAGCTGCCTACATTGGGGGCTCGAGGAACACCCCCCATCCCAGGCCTCCTCCTCACTGGGGTCCTTACTTGGCACTTGGCACCCTCTTGGGCATTTGGGGTGGGAGTTCCAGGTTCCTGGCCTCTCTCATGCCCAGACCTGGAAGTTACGGAACCAAGGGAGTATCGGCGAGCGGGTTTCCACGCTGCAGCCCACCCCGGCGGCCGCCCATCTGTCCCTCTGCACCCTGACTTCATTTTCCTGCCGCAAGGAGAAGCCTGGTGCCTCCTCTGCGGTATGTGACTGGCTGGAGAGTGAAGAGGCTGGAGAGATTATAAACAGACCATGGGTCCACCAGAGTGGCCCGAGAGCTTGCCCAGAACCGGCCCCACATCATCTCTGTTTCCGCCCAGGCCTGCCCACACCCAGCCTCAGCTGGGGTGATGAGCTTCCTCCCGTCTCGAGGGGCCTCTGCCCGCCCCTTGGAGGACGTGCCCCAGCTGCGGCGGCACATGCGTGGGCTTCTGTGTGAGAGGCATCCCTGTTAAGTCGGAGGGGTGGAGAAACTGAGGCCCAGGGAGGCCCGGGGCAGAGGAGCTGGGCTGCGGCCCCTGCCCCCTCTCCTGCCCCTCCTCTCGGCCCTGTCCAAGACTGCGCTTCTTCATCTTCAAATAAACCCATGAGCCTCCCTGTGCAGGGACCCGTCACCCAGGCCGGCCTCAGGGCGCCTCCCCACTGTCCCTCCTGGCCTCCTGGCCCCTGTGGCCACCAGCATGGGCACGACCCCTCACCCCACCAGCACACGGGGCTCCAAGCTCGCCCGTCCTGGCCCTGCTGGCTCTGGCTGCTGTGAGTTCTCCTTGGCCAAAGGAACGTCCTAGGCCCTGGGCTGTGCCAGCGCCAAGAGTGGGGCTGACACCAAGCCAGCTCCCCACTAGCAGCTCCAGGGAAGTCAAGAGATGGAGGATCAGAAAGCCAGCCAGCGCCTTCCTCCCCCAGAGCCCTCTGCTGCCCCGTGGGGCCTCTCCCAGTACCATGGGAGCTGAGGCCCTTTCCCTCCCCATGGTGACAGGAGGGCCACAGGCTGCTGGGGCTGTGGTGGCCACCTGGAGAGGGCTTTTGCTCCTGGGGCTCCCTCCGTCTGTGTCCCAGGCTGGCCATTAGGAGGGTCTGGTCATCTGTGGCACATGCCAGCCAGCAAAGGGCACTGGGGCAATAGTGCCCCCCTGGTGTGGGCACAGAACTGGGCACCCACTGTGGTCTCAGCCAGGGCAGGAAGGGGACTGGAGTCACAGGGTGGGGAGAGGGTAACAGGCCTGACTCTAACAGAGCCTCCTCCCTCGTTCATCCTCCCTCCTCCCTCCCGCGCCGTCTTTCCCTCCCCAGTGTCTCTGGCCTCGTCTCTAAGGAGCGGGCTGCACTGAGATGGGCCCCGTTCTGTGTGTTCTGTGGGCAGAAGAGCCGGTGTGCCTGAGGGTGCGGGCCTCCTTGGTGCCCCAGCCTGTACATGGGAGCCACCCGCATGGTCCCTGTAGCGTCCTTTGGTGACAGGCAGGCCAAGTCAAGAGGTCCCAGGGTGTATTCCTGGGGCTGAAAGGGAACAGGGGCGAGGGACTCCTTGCCCCCAGCCTCCGGCTCTGCCTCTGGCTTCTGTGGGGAGCTCAGGGTGCACAGTTGGCTCCCAGCAGCCCTAGCAGTCTCGATGCCTCTTGATAAGACTTCTATCCATGCGGGCCGCAGGGCGGAGTGTGGGAGCCTGCAGAACCCAGGCTGGCCTGGGAAGCCCTGAGCCTGGTGTGAAGCCCTGGAGAACCTGGCTTTCCCACTGCTCTCCTGTGGAATCTGCCAGGCACCATTTATTCCCCGTGCTCAGGGGCAGCTCTGTCCACACCTGCCGGCCACGCTTCTGCAGATTCTCCCAGCAGCCCCTGCGTGTGTCCGGGATGCACCAGCCCCTCGGCCTGGCCTGAGCAGTGTGGAGAGGCTCCTCCTGGCCCAGCCCCCTAGGGTGAGGGCAGCCTCAGCCCCTTCCCCAGGCAGCCCAGGAGGACAGAAACCTGAAGGTGAAGGATCTCTGCAGAGTGGGGCCTGGGCATCAGGGGCGAAGAGAAAGTAGCTTAGGGACCTGGAAGAGAGACCCTGATCCCCAGACACACACCCTCCACCCCTCCCCCTCGCTCCCCCACAAGACAGACTCTGGGGGTCTTTAGAATTCATCAGGTCCCCACAAGTTGAAGTGAAGGATGGAAGAATGGGTTTTAAATTAGTGAAACCTTTTTACAGGGGATGGCTGTCAAGGATAATTTTTAATTGCAAATAAAAAACTATAAGAAAAAAAGTCTGTCAGAAGGAGGCCAGCCCTGGAAAGGGCATTCTGACGGCACCTGCTCCAGCAGAAGAAGGGCAAAGTCACCCAGGCCTGAGCACCAGCGCCTTCTCTGCACCCACCCACCCACAGCCCCTTCCCCTCATCACCACCCACGGCCCCTTCCCCTCATCACCACCCACGGCCCCTTCCCCTCATCACCACCCACAGCCCGTTTCCCTTATTGATGGCCCCATCCCCTCACCCACACTGCCCTCCTCCGGGCTGGCCGAGTCTGGCCTCAGGCCCCCAAGGGTACCTGGAGCTGGCCCTGTCACGCCCAGGGCTGCGTCCTAAGGAGCAGAGTGCCCAGAACATGGGAGTTTCGGTCTTATTGGCCCGAGAGCTGCTGTGGCCGGGGAGCCGCCCACACCCAGCTGGAGAGGAGGAGAGGAGTCCCAACGGCGGGACTCTCGGCAGAGGCTGGGGAAGGGGGTGCCTCCAGAACTGGCCTGGGCTCCGCCAGGGAGGTGGCCTTATTTTCCTCGCCCGTCTGAGCAGGGTCAGGAGGGTCTCGGGGCAGGCCCGGGGGGTGGTGAACAGGAACACCCTCCAGTGCCGGGGGTTTCTGGTCCCCGGGCTCAGTGCGCCGGGGGGCGGGTTATGGCTCAGGGAGTATTTTTTTTCAGAGCCTGCCACAGAGACAATAACACCTCTTAAGACATGGTAATTAAAATCCTCTCTGCACACAGCAATAAATCCATGCAGCACAACTTTCTTGTAAAAATGACCTTGCGAGATGATGTTTTCCAGCCGCATGTTTTATCAATATCACACTTCCCACAGCCTGACAGCGCACGGGGTGCCCCCCCCCATCTTCCTGCCGGGCTGCCCGGCCCAGATGCTCACTCCTTCCTCCAGTCCCCCTGCGCCTCTCCATGGCCCCTGGACGCTTGGACACCGCCCGTGCTGGACGCTGCCCACCTTTCCTGCCCCCTCCTGAGTCTGGGTATGGGGCTCCAGTCCCCACCCCACCACTGACCTGCCCCGGAACTTTCCTGGCTGTCTGCAGGGCCAGAAGGCTCCCCAGAAGGAGTCTGGGGGTCCCCACCGCTGGTCTTATCCCATCTTGGGGGACAGTTAGGAAGCAAAGGTGTGCGCTCATCTCCGCCATCATCATGACGTAACAGCCACCATCTAATGTTCCATGAAAGGGCAGGAGTGTGCTGTTGGTTTTGACCAATGCCATGGTGACGGTGGCGCCTCTCCTGTGGGCAGGCTCTGCGCTAGCTCCTAGATCCTAACAGCCTGCTTGGCAAGACCACGAGTATCCCCATTTCACAGATGGGGAAACCGAGGCTTGGGGTCCAAGTCGGATGTGAGCCGGGCCCAGAGATCAGGGCTGGGGCCCACCAGGCACGAGCTGTCTGGGAGGGCGAGTGGCCTCGGGGATGGAACACGTTGCACAGCACTGGGGGCGGGGGCGGCTGGAGGCATCCAGCATGAGGAAGGAAAGGTGGGACCCCTTCCTGCAGGATGGCATGGGCGTCCCTGTGCCCAGAGCCCTAGGCCTGTGCTCCTGCCTGTCTCTGCTCCTGACTTCTGGTAGGGACCCAGGAAGGATCTGAGGAGGGTGGAGAAGGGGCTGAGAAGAAGCCCCGTGAGCATCCAGGCATGGCCGCCCCTCCTGCACTGCCAAAGCCTGTCCCCCCATCTCTTCCTCCAGTCTTATAATAAAATGCAGCTTATTAGCCAGGTGCGGTGGCTCATGCCTATAATCCCAACACTTCGGGAGGCCGAGGCGAGCAGATCACTTGAGGTCAGGAGTTCGAGACCAGCCTGGCCAACATGCTGAAACCTTGTCTCTGCTAAAAACACAAAAATTAGCCAGGCGTGGTGTCAGGCGCCTGTAATCCCAGCTACTCAGGAGGCTGAGGCAGGAGAATCGCTTGAAGTGGGGAGGCAGAGGTTGCAGTGAGCCGAGATCATGCCGCTGCACTCCAGCCTGGTGACAGTGCAAGACTCCGTCTTAAAAACAACAAACAAACAAACACCACAGTTTATTTAGCTAAAATTCATGTACCATACAATTGACCCATTTAAAGTGAACAATTCAATGACTATGTGCTCACGGATGCGTGCACCATCACATTTGAGATCGTTTCCATCACCTCCCAAAATCCCCTCTCCATTAGCAGTCACTCCCATCTCCCCACATACTCCCAGCCCCTGCAGACCCTCTGTCTCTGTGGATTTGCCTGTTCTAGGCATTTATTTAAATGGCACCTTCGTGGCGTGGCCCAATGTGTCTGGTGCTTTCAGTGAGCACAGCGTCCTCAAGGTTCTCACATTGCAGCACGTGCCAGCACCTCATTCCTTTTTATAGACAAACCACATCCCATCATCTGGATGGACCGCATTTGTTTATCCATCCACCCCTTGATGGACACGGCTGTTTCCGCTCTGTGGCTGTGTGAATGGCCCTGCTGTGAATGCTCGCATGCGTGTGCTGTGGGGACGCATGTCTGCCTTTCCTCCAGGACAGCACCAAGGCGGGGAGTCACCAGGTCGCGCGGTTCCACTCCAGCCTTTGTCAGCTCCCCTCATGCAGAGCTCTCCCTTCTGGGCTCATCCATGCCGGCGGTGCCTAGAGCTTCGAGGCTGGCCCCTTTGGCACAGCAGAGCCTTTTGTGAAGTCTCTGAAGCAGACTCTGAAAGCCTCCGACGCCCTTGCTGGTGGCTCAGCGGCTGAAGGGCTGTCTGAGAGCGACGTGTTCATGCAGCATCACCTCCCCCATGTTCCCTTAGCGTGCTCTTCCTTGAGAACATGCGCAGGGCCTTTTAAGTGGTTTAGGAAAGCACGGTGGTTTAATGTATTACAGGAATATAATTGTATTTTTATTGCTCATTACATTCTGAGTTAATTACATAGCAACCAGGTTTGTACTTTGTAATATCCAACGAAATAAGCGTATGCACTCTTGATTCAGAGTAGGCGTCTTCTAGCCCACACACCTTGGGGTTAGTCGGCTATGGCTCAGTTTGTCCCACAAACAGTATCAGAACTATCATTGGTTACTGGGCACCCAAGAGGGTGCACCGTCCTGGGGCCCAGCCTTTGCTTTAGGGTCCACCTTCCACATCATTCCAGAAGGTTCCACCTCTTTGGGGTCAGGTGCTGCCTCACCCCTCCTGCCCATGGGCCGGCCCTCACCTTGGCTCAGACTCCGCCCTCTGAGACGTGCCGTGGGGTCTTTCCAGGATGAGGACCGCTAGTGCTGACATCTCAGTGGAGACATGCCTGCTGAGAAATAGACTCGATCTGGCCTCACGTTGGGGAGGCAGATGGAGAGTCGGTTGGGGCGGGGAGGACAGGTTCAGGCTGAGGGATGGGATCCCCCCAGCCCTGAAGCACTGAATGCCAGAGGCCCTGACAGTGGCCCCTGCGTGGGCAAGGTTCCATTTAGTTCTGGGGACTCCTGGAGATGAAGGTGCTGCAGCCGCTGACAGACAGCTACCTGCTCCTGGGTCCAGAGAGCATCCCTGAGGCTTGTGTGCCTTCTGTGGTGCAGGGCTGCCTTCCGGAAGCCTCTTCTTCTGAGAGATGGGATGACAGAGAACACACCAGTAATTTATCCTAAGGCAATCATTGGAAAAATACACAAAAATATATTTCCGAGGCTGTTGCTTCTCTTGCTTATTCGATGTGAATAGTCACTACTGGGATGAGTGTCAATATGCATTAGTGGGAGTGTGGATACGCATGAATGTGTTTGAACATGCATGAGTGGGAGTGAATATGCATTACAGTGAGTGTGAATGTGAACATGCATGAGGGTGAGTGTGAATATGTGCGACTGTGTGAGAGTGAATATGCATGACTGTGGGCATGAGTGTGCATGTGCATTACTGTGAGTTTGTGATTATGCCTGAGTGTGAGTGTGGATATGCAGGATTGTGAGCGTGGATATGCAGGAGTGTGAGTGTGGATATGCAGGAGTGTGTGATTATGCATGAGTGTGTGATTATGCATGAATGTGAGTGTTGATATGCAGGAGTGTGAGTGTGGATATACAGGTGTGTGAATGTAGTTATGCACAAGTGTGAGTGTGGATAGGCATGAGTGTGAGTGTGGATGGGATGAGTGTGTGATTATGCAGGAGTGTGAGTGTGGATATGCATGAGCATGAGTGTGATTATGCATGAGCGTGAGCATGGATATGGAGGAGTGTGGGTGTGATTATGCATGAGTGTGAGTGTGGATAGGCAGGAGTGTGAGTGTGGATGGCATGAGTGTGAGTGTGGATATGCAAGTGTGAGTGTGGATATGCATGAGTGGGAGTGTGGATAGGCATGAGTGTGAGTGTGGATAGGCATGAGTGTGAGTGTGGATCTGCATGAGTGTGAGTGTGGATAGGCATGAGTGTGAGTGTGGATATGCAGGAGTGTGAGTGTGGATAGGCATGAGTGTGAGTGTGATTCTGCATGAGTGTGTGTGGATATGCATGAGTGTGAGTGTGGATAGGCATGAGTGTGAGTGTGGATATGCAGGAGTGTGAGTGTGGATAGGCAGGAGCATGAATGTGGATAGGCATGAGTGTGTGGATATGCATGAGTGTGAGTGTGGATAGGCATGAGTGTGAGTGTGATTCTGCATGAGTGTGAGTGTGGATATGCATGAGTGGGAGTGTGGATAGGCAGGAGTGTGAGTGTGGATGGCATGAGTGTGAGTGTGGATATGCAAGTGTGAGTGTGGATATGCATGAGTGGGAGTGTGGATAGGCATGAGTGTGAGTGTGGATAGGCATGAGTGTGAGTGTGATTCTGCATGAGTGTGAGTGTGGATATGCATGAGTGGGAGTGTGGATAGGCATGAGTGTGAGTGTGGATAGGCATGAGTGTGAGTGTGATTCTGCATGAGTGTGAGTGTGGATCTGCATGAGTGTGAGTGTGGATAGGCATGAGTGTGAGTGTGGATAGGCATGAGTGTGAGTGTGGATATGCAGGAGTGTGAGTGTGGATAGGCATGAGTGTGAGTGTGATTCTGCATGAGTGTGTGTGGATATGCATGAGTGTGAGTGTGGATAGGCGTGAGTGTGAGTGTGGATATGCAGGAGTGTGAGTGTGGATAGGCAGCAGCATGAATGTGGATAGGCATGAGTGTGTGTGTGGATATGCATGAGTGTGAGTGTGGATAGGCATGAGTGTGAGTGTGATTCTGCATGAGTGTGAGTGTGGATTTGCAGGAGTGTGAGTGTGGATAGGCAGGAGCATGAATGTGGATAGGCATGAGTGTGAGTGTGATTCTGCATGAGTGTGAGTGTGGATAGGCATGAGTGTGAGTGTCATTCTGCATGAGTGTGAGTGTGGATAGGCATGAGCGTGAGTGTGATTATGCGTGCGTATGAGTGTGATTATGCATGGGTGAGTGTAAATATGCAGGTTTCAGTGCGAATACACATTGTCAGTGTGAGTGTGATTATTCATGAGTGTGTGACTATGCCTGCGTATGAGTGAATGCATGTGTCAGTGTGAATATGCATTACGGTTAGTGTGAGTGTGATTATTCATGGGTGTGAGTGTGTGCATGCACACCCCCAAAGGAACATGCATGGAGGGGAACACCAAATGTTCCACTGGGGCCTGGTGTGTATGGAGGAATCTCAAGGGTCCTTCCTGGAATCTTTGTCGTTCCTGGGCCTCCGAGTTGCTCTAGGTAGAGACGTGTTTTTCAGTGACCCAACACAGCCTCCAGCGCCCTGCTCCTCTGGAAGAGGAAGGCGTCCACACCCGGGCAGCCTCTCCAGCCTGGCCTCACCCAATATGTACCTGGGCTGCTTTGAACCCTCAGAATTTCTTCAAGGGGTTCTCCCATTGGCACCTGCTTGTCCATCCTTTTTTGTGGGTGGAGCTTCAGGAACAAGCTTTGCTCTGTTTCCCTGGGGTCCCTCTGGGGTCCAGGTCTCAGTGGCCCAGTGAGTCTCCACCACCCCTGCTGACACCAGGGAGCCCCTGGCCTGTACTGGCTCCCTGCCCCCTGCCCTGCCTTCTGGAACGTGTTGCCTCACTCAGCACCTGTGTCCTGTCTCACAACAGATTTTTTAAAATTGTGTTTTCTAAATGTTTTAATAGGGAGCTTTAAAAAAGACACAGAAGCAATGTAATGAGAGAGTGTGGTATCTGGATGCTCACATGCCCATCCCCCAGCTTCAATAATGAGCACCACCAGGCCCCCACTGGGTTATTTTAAAGCAAATTATTCCATATTTAAACTTTGGTCTTGGGACCCAGAAGAGTTCCTGCATAGATGTGGCCGATTCATGGCGCCTGTCTTCTTATGGCTCTGAGTGGCTCCAAACCTCTTTGCTGGTCTGGCTATGTATGTGTTGAAGAAATCAGTGTCTTTGCCTGTGGAACTTCCTGCCCTCTGCACGGTCGTTTGCGTCCATGCGGAGAGCCTCATGGTGCCCTTCACCCTGCACTTCTGCCCAGCAGTGCCACGAATCTGTGCTTAGCCCTGAGGCTGGGCTAAGCAGCCGCACACACCTGCTGTGTCACTGCACACACCCTTGGGATGGGGCTGCCGGCTGGGGCCACTAGCCTGGCTAAGCAGCCACACACACCTGCTGTGTCACTGCACACGCCACTGGGATGGGGCTGCCAGCTGGGGCCACTAGCCTGGCTAAGCAGCCACACACACCTGCTGTGTCACTGCACACGCCACTGGGATGGGGCTGCCGGCTGGGGCCACTAGCCTGGCTCCACCTTTATAAGGTTTCTCATGGGCTTCTCACCGTGGTGTGAGCAGCCACCAGGGGTGACGCTAGTCACCATTCTAACCCGCTGCAGCTACCTCCTGGCCTTCTTCCATTAGGGACATTTTCCTTGCCAATGATTTGATGACTTTGACAGACAGTTCACACAGAAAAGGCAGCCAACACCTGATCCTCACCCATGTAGCTCTGTCCACAGGGATGAGATGGTGCCGTGGTCCTTCCAAAGGGGCCGTGAGTTTTTTCTTCAGTGTTTTGTCCTTATGGTATCATTTAATTTGGTTTCAGTTCATTGCAGTCATACATGAGATGTATAAAGGTATAAATTGTATTCATTTCCTGGGGCTGTGTAACAAAGTGCCACAGACCAAATGACAGCTGTGTCTTGTCCCACAGCTCTGGAGGCTGGAAGCCCGAGGTCCAGGTGTCGGCAGGGCTGGCTCCTTCGTAGGCTGCGGGGGAGGCTCTGCTGTGGCCTGTCTCTGCGGCTTGCGATGGTCCTTCCTCACCATGTCTCTGCTCACAGTTATCCCCCTGTGCGTAGTTGGGCCGCAATCACTTCCTAAGAGGACATCAGTCAGATGGGATTAGGGCCCACCCTGAAGATTTCATTTTAACTTTATTGTGTCTTTAAAAATTTTCTCCAAACTATGGTCACATTCTGAGGTACTGGGGATGAGGACTTCAACATATGA
Organism: Homo sapiens; assembly: GCF_000001405.40. Taxonomy (NCBI): domain Eukaryota; kingdom Metazoa; phylum Chordata; class Mammalia; order Primates; family Hominidae; genus Homo; species Homo sapiens. Next base: position 104,327,933 of record NC_000014.9, read on the forward strand.
CTCTGGGAGACACAGTTTGGCCCCTAACGTAGACGTGGACTTTTGCGATGTGAATATCGTGCCATCCTCCTCTGGAGGGAGGCATCCTGGTTGCCTCCAGACTCTCTCGCTCAACCTGGTCATCCTGAGGGCTGTTTATTTTCCTGTATGACAAGATGTTCGAGATTCATCTTGCACATTTCCTGCTCCAGGTCTCACAGTGGCCATTTCTCTAGGCAGCCCTGTTTCCTTTAGTGGAAAATGGCATTTCATGGTCACAGTCGGGAGCTAAGGGGATTGCGGCTGCTAGGCAAGTCATTCCTTCTAAACCTTTCCTGTGGCCAAAGCTGAGAAATGCATTTATTTTTTGGGTTTTTTTGGCAAGAGAAAAATACATCATGAATTCATACTAATATTTCCCATTTAAATGTAAGATTACAGTGTTTGTGCAGCTTCTTTGATTTTTTAATTTCTATCTCTCTCCTCTTATGCTGAAAATCTTGGTTCCTAATGACATCTGCGTGATGACTTACCTGCTTTCTCTCACTGCACATGATCTGTGCGACTGTATTGGAACGTGGGGGAGCCAATTTGGCCATGAGATTTTTGCTCTGTCCCTGTCAAGAGGGAGAGTCTGTTTTCCCATGTTGTGCATCCGGACTGATCTTATTTGCTTTGTTCTGGAAGGTGCAGCAGACATGATGTGGTGTGACCTTGAAGGCAAGCCCTCAAGAGATCTTACAGTTCCTGTTTTCCACTCTCCAGGATCCTGAGACCGCCAGGCTATGAAGAAGGCTGTGATGAAAAGCTCTTTTATCCAGAGTGGGCCCAGCTTTTCCAGCTGCTCCAGCTGGGCCTGGTGCCTGGGCCTTCACCTGGCTGCAGGCAGGTGGGAAGCCCCTGTGAGGACAGCAAGGGAGCCGGTGTCGACCCCCATCATTGTGAGACGTATAAAGCATTGTTACTTGATGCCACCATGTTTCAGCATGTCTGTGGTGTAGCAAATAGAAAAGTGATTCAGACATTGGTACCACCAGTGGACTGGTGCCTTGACAAGCACCTGAGACATGTGACGTTGGCTTTGGGCCCAAGGGTGGGTAATGGCTGGGATGGGGAAAAGGGACCTTTGGAGGCTGGAGAAACAGTGACCTTTGTCACTTAGGAATAAGTGGCCAAACTGTCACCTATGGTAACTTGGAAGGTAAAAGATATACCTTATGAACGTGTAGGATCCGGTGGAAGGTCTTGCCTCTGGACAGAATGTCAAAAGTGCCCATCAGCTCCATCTCACACATGTGATAAGATACAGAAAGAAAGGTGAGCTGGGCCAGGTGCAGTGGCTCACGCCTGTAATCCCAGCACTTTGGGAGGCCGAGGTGGGCGGATCACGAGGTCAAGAGATCGAGACCATTCTGGCCAATATGGTGAAGCTCGTCTCTACGAAAAATACAAAAATTAGCTGGATGTGGTGGCACACGCCTGTAGTTCCAGCTACTTGGGAGGCTGAGGCAAGAGAATCGCTTGAACCTGGTTGGAGATTGTAATGAGCCGAGATTGCTCCACTGCCACTGCACTCCAGCCTGGTGACAGAGCAAGACTCAGTCTCAAAAAAAGAAAGAAAGAAAGAAAGAAAGAAAGAAAGAAAGAAAGAAAGAAAGAAAGAAAGACAAAGGTGAGCTGGAGAAGGGATCATTCAATCTGCAATCGGAACTTAAAGACAAAAGGCCCAGGACTAGCTTGTGTGGAAAATAAAACTGTCACTCATCCCCTTTCTCTCCAACTAGTAAAAATATGCAAAGTGAAATGAAGCCAGGGCCAAAGATCAAATTAAGGATGTATCTGTAAGATCCTTTGTTAAGGCTTTTGAAAGACTTATGGCAGTACCTAATAGGCCCTCTCAGCCACACAAAAGGGATTTTAAGAATCCAGGATTGTTCCATAACAGCCATACATGGCCCAAGACAGGGAAAGATCTGTCTCAAAAAATAATTATGCATGTGGCTTTTGAGATATGGTGTAAACTTCAATTAGATTCATAAGAAATCCACAAAGTTTTAAAGAGAGTTGTATTGGTAAAAACACTGTCAGCTTAGACCACAGAAGACGGTTTAAAATGAAAAGAAGCTTCTGGGAAGAAAAAGGTTGAGAAATTACTCAGCTACAAATGTGGGTCACTTCTTAAGGAAAAGAAAATAAAACTCAGAGGGTGTAGCCAAGAACAAAGGAGAACAATAAATTAGAAAACCACTCCCAAGGAGGAGAGCTGGACCTAATCAAGGAACATTCTTTGCCCTTGGAGTAGAGGACACTGGCTGTGTTTCATAATTGCCAGGATTGGTGACTGCATGTGCCTCCTGTTCCTCCCCTTTTTGAAGGGGAGTGCGTATAGGAGTTTTCCTGTCCCTGACTCATCAGTGTACAGGCACCTGTCAGAGATAGTGTGAATCTGGTTCCAGATCATCTCAGTAAAGCAAATAGCTAAAAAAGAGTCACACAATTTTTTTTATTTTTGCATTTAAAAGTTATGTTTATACTATACTGCAGTCTGTTAAGTGTGCAACAGCATTATGTCTACAAAGCAGTGTAGATACCTTAATTAAGAATTTTTTTAATTGCTAAAAATGCTAACAATTTTCTGAGCCTTCAGTGAATTATAATCTTTTTGCTGATGGAGGGTCTTGCCTCAATGTTGGCGGTTGCTGTCTGATCAGGGTGTTGGTTGCTGAAGTCTGGAGCGGCTGTGGCAATTTCTTAAAATAAGACAATAAAGTTTGCCACATTGATCGTTTGACTCTTTTCATGAAAGATTTCTCTGTAGCATGTGATGCCGTTTGATAGCATCTTACCCACAGTAGAACTTTCAAAATTGGAATCCATCTTCTCAAACCCTGTCACTGTTTCGTCGACTAAGTTTCTGATCCTATTTGAAATCCTCTGCTGTCATTTCAACAATGTTCACAGCATCCTCACCAGGAATAGATTCCATCTCAAGAAATCACTTTCTTTATTCATCTATAAAAAGCAACTCCTCATCCCTTCAAGTTTTCTCATGAGATTGCAGCAATTCAGTCACATCCTCAGGCTTCACTTCTAATTATAGTTCTCTTTCTATTTCTACCACATCTTCATTTCCTTCCTCCGCTGAAGCCCTGAACCCCTCAAAGTCATCCATGATGGTTGGAGCCAACTTCTTCTAAGCTCCTGTCAATGTTGATATATCTTCAATCACAAATGTTCTTCATGGCATCTAGAAGGATTAATCTTTTCCAGAAGATTTTACTTTTCCCAGATCCATTTGAAGAATCACTATCTATGGCAGCTACAGTCTTACAAAATGTATTTCTTAAATAATGAGACTTGAAAGTTGAAATGCCTCCTGATGCATGGGCTACCGAGAGGATGTTGTATTACCAGGCATGAGAACAATGTTCATCTCTTTGTACATCTCCATCAGAGCTCTTGGGTACACAGTCAATGAGCAGTCATATTTTGAAAAGAATCTTTTATTTCTGAGCAGTAGTTCTCAATAGTGGGCTTAAAATATTCAATAAACTATGCTATAAACAGATATGTTGTTATCCTGAATGTGTTGTTAAACTTTGGGATTTTTGACAGTGGGGTAGGTGGCACATGGAACCTTGGTGTGGTTTTAATTTGCATTTCTCTTATTATGGGGGAAGATGAGCTTCTTTTTACATCTTCTAGGGCCATTTGCATTTCTGTTTCTGTGAACTGTGTGTTCCTATCTCCAGCACAGCAGGTGTTTAAACCCAAAGGTGATGTGACAACAAGAAACCCCCTTCCCAACCCCTAACCCCAGGCAGACTGCTCTCCCAGGCTGGGGCCTCTTGGACCTTAAGGAATGAGGACAGAGCATCCTGAAGATGGGGAGTCCTCGTCCCCCAGGTAAGCTCAGGTGCCCTTTCCAGTGTGCCAAGTGTGTTGCCTGTGTCCTGCCCTGGGGTTCAGGAGCCTCCTCTTAGAGGAGAGAAGCCTGCAGGGGCCTGGCCTGCCCAAGGCTGCATGTTCAGCAGCGGTGCAGCAGTGCAGTGGTGCAGCAGTGCAGTGGTGCAGCAGTGCAGTGGCGCAGCCGTGCAGTGGCGCAGCCGTGCAGTGGCGCAGCAGTGCTCCTGCTGGCAGAGCCTGGTATTGGCGGAGCCTCACGTCATGTGAGCCTTGGAGCCGTGGTTAGTGTTGTCTGATGACTGTGAAAGCTGGACCCTGGAGGTAGCAAGAGTTGGGCCTGTGAGCCCCCAGGAGACACAAGGCAGCCGTGCAGCACAGAGAGAACATCCCGGAGGAGGCCTCTCCTTGGGAACCTTGACACGCAGGCTCTTCTCCTGTCACGCCACCCTCCACTTGCCCATACCTGCGTGGTCGGACGGCAGGGACACCAGCCCCCCACGCCTCAGCCTCTGCTGCTGCTGAGTCTCTGTAACCCCTGATGGCCCCTTCAGGAAAGGCCCCTTGTTCTCCTTGATCAGATGTGAGCGTGAGACCCGGGCTCCAGACATGCTGTCTGCATGAACCCTGAGAATGCTTGGGATGGAGCTGCCTGCCTCCTGGGAGCAAAGTCACAGCCTGAGCTGGACCGTCCCAGTCTTCCCAGAGGGACCAAGATTTCCTTTTCCTCCCTTGGCTGTTTGGGGAGCCCAGGCTTGAGAAGGCAAGGCTTGTCCAGCAGGAGCAGGAAGGCATGGTCGTGGGGCTAGAACCTGCCACCCAACCCATGCTCTGGTGAACGACAGAGTGGTGAGGGGAGGTGGTAGTTAAGGTCTGGCCAGAGGAGTCCGTGGACCAGCCTGCTGGCCACGAGGCCTTGCTCAGACCGAACCCAGAGCTGGGTGCACTGACCCTCCCAGTCCAGGGACTGCTCCAGCTGGCAGCCCCTGAACTAAGGCAGAGCCAGTCCCCGGGGGCCCTGTGGAGGACTCCACATCCTGGGCAGCTCAGCCCCGAGGAAGAGGGAGAGAGTCAGACCCAGTTCTTCCTCCCAGCGTCATCCTCCCTGGGGTCCCAGAAGCTCAGGCTCACAAGGGACCATGAGCCCAGGGCTTGCCAGCTGCCTTTCCCAGCACCAGGAAACATCCACAGCAGGAGGAAGTGTCTACATGCCCACGTGGGGGTCAGGAGACCGAGCTCCCTCCAGCTGCAGGCTCGCCCATGCGTCCGGGTGTCCCTGTCACCACCTCAGCTCTGCCCAGCTGGCCTTTCAAATGCAGCAGAGACTGTTTCCCCGGCCAGCCCAGGAGACCCCACCAAAGCTTCTTCTCAGGGTTCCTGGGCACGAAGGGCTGGGACAGGCTTGTGGTGGGGGTGGCTGCCTCTTATGGGGAGGGGGTTGCGTTCAGGCCAGGCTGAAGAGGCACCAAGAAAGAAGAGGGGGGTGTAAGCTGAGCCAGCACCACCTCCACACCCTCCACACCCCTACCTCCAGCACGCCCTCCACACCCCCTCCATGCTCCCCAGGGCGATGCCTTCACCACCCTCTCCCCAGGCTCCAGCTTCCCCACAGGGCTGGTCTCTGGAAGCAAAGACAGATTCGGAGCCCCGTGCTGCTCCCCAGGGAAGGATTTCACACTTGTCCCTGGAAAGGCCTGTTGATGATGGTGTGACCACTGGAAACTGTCCCTAAATAGCTGTCCGGGAAATGCTGCTGGTCGTGATGATCCGTCAGTCACATACTTTCTATGTGTTAGGGGAAATACCTTAAAATCTTTTTTAAATTGTCATTTATTTAGACATTTTTAAAAGAAAATCTAAGGGAAAAGTGCTTTGTTTAAAATGCAGGGAGGCCATTTGTTTCCAGTTATAGGCACATTATTATACCACTGACAAGGAGAGAAGTAGCTTAGCATTTTCCCTCCGCTTCTTTAAGAACTATTGGGGACTTTTGGCTTTAAAACGGGATCACTTAGGTCGAGGCATTCTTTGAAGCCAAACCGCTTAGAAACCAGTATTTTGTGCCAAGGGAAGAAATCTCACGGAACAGCAAAGCACTTAAATGTTCCACTTTAAGAATCTGAAGGCACAGATCGTTCACATCGGTTCCGATTTTACGTTCCATGAACGTCAAATGGATAAAGCCTCCTTGTTGCAGCTGTACCAAACCAGGGCTAACGACTGGTTGGATTTCACGCTTCTTTCAAAAGCTCCTGTGGTTACACCATCCTTCACGTGGCCTTTAATATCCCCACGTGCCGCGGCTGCATTGGAACCCAGCGCCACGCTCCCCAGTCTCTCGTGGGTTCCGGGCAGTGAGTGGCAGCCGGAGGGCCCAGGGCAGGTGCTGCCTGTCAGGACCTCAGCCTGTATGTGCCGGGGGATGTTCGTGCCCAACAGAGGCCACTTGTCTCTGGGCCGGGGAGGCACCGGGTGGCCGTGCCTGTCAGGGCCTCCTTAGACAGTGCCCTCTCGGGCCAGCCGGCGGCTGCCCAGGTCGGGAACAGATATGTCGCCGGCGACACCATTATCTCCCGGGCGAACGGCGACGTCTCCGCAGCCAGGCAGAGCCCAGGCTGCCGTGTAATTGGACCATTCAGAAGTAAATTATCTGCAGCTGGAAACAAGACACTGCCTTTTAACTCGGGCATTATAAGGTCAAGACTCGAGACATCGCTGGGAAAAGCAGTTATTGAAAAGCGATGGGAAAATGAAATTTAAAATTCAAAGCCACCATGGGCGGCGAGCGTGGCGGGAGGCGTGCGTCACCGGCGGCCCCAGGAGCCGGGTCAGGAGGTGTATTTGCATCTTTATTTTGCTGACGCTGGAGAGCACTGCGTGAAGTGACTCTAATATCAATCTGATGAAAAAATAAATCCTGGAACAAAAGCTGCAAGACACTCGTGGAGCCCGGGCACTGTAGAAGGGGCCTCGCAACAGACCCCGGCAGGGTGGTGGGACGTAGGCCCTGGGCTCTGGGCACCAGGCCGGCCTCTGCCCCACTTCCTGGCATTGGGATGGCTGTTCCAGGGAGGGTGACTCGGTCTCCCCCATTTCATCCCTCCTCTCGGCCTGGGGCAGTCTCCTCCCAGTTCCGCCCACAGCCCTCCGCACACACCCCTGCACCTGCTATCCTGTGGCCCCTCCTGCCACAGGAGTTTGCCCTCACCCCCACCCCTGTCAGGTGGCTCCCTCGGCCCTCGGCACCCTCCCTGCCCTCAGCCTGAGCCGAGCCTCTGTGACCTCATCCCGCTGTGTCGTGTGCACCATTGTGGGCCCTTCTGGGCAGTCAACAAGTGTGATGTGCTCACCTGGGCCCCGCTATGTGGAGTGCTTACCTAGGGCCCGGGTACCACACCCAGTCTCAGGCTCTTGCCCACAACTCATACTCCTTTTCTCCACATCCTTTTCTCTTCTTGTGCCTGGCATAGAGCCTAGCCCAAACCAGGACGCACAGGAGCAGGAGTGGCCCTCAGAAATGGCCGTGCCCACTCCCTGTCCCTGCAGCCCAGTGGAGACTGGGGAGTGGGGAGGCCCAGTGGGGAGGCCCAGTGGGGAGGCCCAGCCTGTGGGGACAGGCAGCCACAAGCAGACACAGCCTGAAGGAGAAAGCATCCCAGCCCCTCCCTCTTCTCTCAACCCCGCACCAAACTGCCCTCCCTCCCCAGCCCAGCCCAGCCCCCAGGTCTCTTCTGCTGCCAGCTCACAGTGGTCACATGCCTTGGGCCTGGTGGACCATGTGGAGGAACGGAGGATGGGTATTCGCAGGTGGAGGAAGCGGGTCCCTGCGAAGTGGAGAGCTTTGTCTGGGGTCACACAGCGACTTAGTCTGGGGGTCCTGAGACCAGAGCCCAGCCTAGTGCTGGGTCTTTGGCAGCTTCCATTCCCAGACGCCAGGGTGGGGGAGATGTTCCCTCACACGTCTGCCAGCATCCTGTCGATGGCCTGAGACTGTCTGCCCACTGTCTTCTGCGGGACCCTGGGCCCTGGGCCCTGGAAGAAAGGGATCCGTTTGGAGAGGAGCAGAGAGCACCAGCCACATGGAGCCCAAGGCACACTGTGTGCAATGCCAAGCAAGCCACGCACCGTCTGTGGGACTCGGTTTCTTGTTCTGATAAACAGGGGACATGTGTGCTCCTCACAGGGCTTCTGTGAAGATTAACCAGTGAGCACAGAGCACCCAGCCAAGGGGGCAAGTAATGGGCTGGAAGCTTCTGTATTTGTTTTCAGAGGATTTTCTGCTGCCTCTCACTCCTATATCTAATTAGAATTAGGTTCTGCTGGATAGAATAGAAAGCTCCCCAATAATCATGACTTCAACATGATAGAAGTGTATTTGTCTGTGTGTTTGTCTGTGTGTTTCTGAAGCTGGAAGGGGGCAGGTCCAGGGCTGCTGTTGTGAACTTGGCATCAGGAGCCGTGGCTGCTTCTGTCCTGTTGCTCCACCATGCATGGCCTTTATTCCTGAGGTTTCCTTTCCATCGCCAGATCTTAGTCACATGGCAGACCGCACTGCAAACAGGGCTGGGCAATGTAGCCTTTATTCCTGGAAGACACCTGCCCAGTGAAAATTGTGTGTTCTATTACTGAAGAAGGGGACCGCAGATATTGGGGGCAACTGGTAATCTATGCATGACCTACAGTCACATGCCTGAGAAAAAAAATATTTTTAAGACCTGGAATGAATAAGGATATTTTCAGCTAAAAGTGGGAAGAATTTGTTAACAATAATCCCTACTTTAGGAAGAGGGAAAATGATCTAGGAGGATGTTCTAAAGCAAAAGAAAGAATAGCAAGCAAAGAAAGGTGAGACATGTGGGTACACTTCAGTAAACATTGACAATATGAAGCCATGGTGGTAATGTCTGACTAAAAAGAACAAGGTAGAAATAAAATGCTTGATAATAATTACATATAGATAGGAGGTCAGTGTTGGGAGTGAAAGTATTCTCAGATCCTGTATGGTTGGAGAGGAGAGTAAGAGGATTACAGTATTAACTATTGCATTTTGCTTATTTTCTTGCTAATCATTTTAATTTTATTAACATTTTATATGGCATATATAAGAGTATAAAATGTATGTATATGGTTTAAAGAAGAAAAAGAAGATTAATAATCATGTAAACTCCTCTGTAGCCACCACTTGGATAAAATCCTCCCGGAGCCTCAACAGCCCACGGAATGCTCCTCCCTAATCATACTCTCTTCTTCAATCCCCAGTGTTCCCGGGTAATGCGAACTTGAATTTGTGTTCATCTTTCCCTTGTTTTCCTTGATCGTTTTTGCCATTTATATCTGTGATCCTAAATAACATATTGTCTTGTTTGAGCTGCTTTTAGACCTTATGTAAATAGAACCTTCTTCATATATAACGTTTGTGTCTTGGTCTTTCATTCAATACTATATGCATGAGGACTATCCATTTGAATGTTTATGGTGCAGTTCATTAGTCTTTATTGCTGTTGGGTACTCCGTTGTGTGAATATGTCACAATTTGTTGATCAGTTCTATCGCTGATGGACATTTATGTTGTCTGCAGGCTTTTTACAATCACAGTGCTGCTATAAACATCCTGGTATACATCTCCAGGTGCGTGTGCATGAGCCTTTCTCTGGGTGAGCCTGCTGGAATGCTGTGATTGGGGTGCAGGCATGTTTAAGCAATGGGGCCCCACTCTGTCTGAGCAGCCAGCAGGGCTGGAGCAGCTTGGACCCTGGACTTTCTGTCTGGCCTTGCAGCCTGGAGCAGCCTCGCCCATTTACTCCATTGTGTCATATAAGTACTGCTGTTTTCTGCCAGGAGTTGGAAAAGGTTTGGGGTCCTCTAGAGATGGCACCCGGTGAGGAGTTGCTGGCTTTTTAGTTATGTGCAAGTCACCTCTACTAGGTGTGAGAAACTGTTTTCCAAAGTAAGTGTAGCTCTGACAGCTGTGGCTGAGACATCCTATTGCCCACTCATCCTTTCCAGTACCTAGAATTGATCTGCTTCTTAATTTGTGCAAATTTGGTTGTAGTAAAATGATATCATATTATTTTATTTTGACTTAATAGATAAATACAATTTAAATCCAGTCCAATCCTATCTAATCCAATTGTCTATTATTGAGCATGTATATAGCTGAAACAACAAAACTCACACAGTACTAAATGGTATGTTCACTGATCTTCTCTTCCCTGATCCTGCCAGTGTCACCTCTAGAATTAACCATGATTGACTTAAAATTTTTTTGTTCTGGCATTTACACATCTGCATTTTTCTAAATATTGTGTATATATTGCTGCCTTTTTATTAATTCATTTAGAATATAATTTTTAAAATTTCCTGTTACAGTGATGAGAATTTAGCCCTTGCATTCTGCTAGCTCCTGTGCTCTCCTTTCTTCTCTTCCAGTATAGTTATACTACAATTTTTGCTTAAGTAAAGTTTGTACCTTTACATTGTCTATATAACATTCATAGCTCAGCCTAACATTATAGTATACTCCAATTATGTTTCCTTTTTTACTTTCTGTGTTTCCTAAAGTTATTCATTGCCTTGCTTTTTGATTTGCTTACTTTTTTTTTTTCTAACCTATTACTAATTCTTCCCACATCTTCAAATGTCCTTTTTGTGCACTTTTCCACATCACATATTCCTGTAAACCCTCTGCCTGAAGATCTTTTTCTCCTCTCATCTGGGCTGGCTGCACACTTCGTCCCGGGACTTGCCTCTGCTGATGCTTTTCTCCCAGGTGGGGGTCCCTGTTTCCTGGATCTCATTCATGTCTTCCTTTCTTGGTTTGCTCCCTTGTTTGGCATGAACCATTTTGTGGGTAAATGATGTGAAAAGATGGTTCATCAGCCCTGACAACCTTCAATATTCTGGTGTCCTGAAAAATCTGCTCTGATCTAGACTGGTTGCCCTGTATGCCTGGATCTTCCCTCACCACCATACTGGATAGTCCTTTCACTTTTCTCCTATTTTCTAGAGAAAACTAGCAACCACTAATCTTTTTTCAATCTCTATAATTTTGTCATTTTGAGAATGTTGTATAAATGAAGTTGTAAAGCATGTGACCTTTTGAGATTGTCCCCCCTCCCAGCACAATTCCCTTGAGAGCCATCTGAGTTACTGCATGCATCAACAGTGCTCCTTCTTATTGCTAATACTCCATAGCATAGATGTACAGCAATTTGTTCAACCATGCACCTATTACAGGAAATTTTGGTTGTTTCTAGGTTTTGGCTATTACAAATAAAGCTGCTATGAACAACAGTGTACAGATTTTGCATGTGAATATAAATTTTTATTTTTTAGGGTAAACGACCAAGAGTGTAATTGCTGGGTCATAGGGTAAGAGTACGTTTGGTTTCATAAGAAATTGCCAGACTGTTTTCCAGGTGGTTGTACTACCTTAAATTCTCACCAGCAATGTATGAGTGATCTCCAGTTTCTCCACATCCTCCCCAGCATTTGGTATTATCACTATTCATTTTAGGTGTTCAACTGGTATGTAGTGGTATCTCATCATGGTCTGAATTTGCACTTCTCTAATGGCTAAGGATGTTGCTCCTTAAGTGTTGTGCTCTGGCATCTTGTTAGCCTCATCCTAGTCCTGGCTCTGCCACTCCCCCTTCATCGTCAGTCCTAGAGACACCTGCTGCTGCCAGTTCCTGAGATTTTAAATATTCTTGGGAGCAAATCAGACTTATTCACAGTTTTTCCCTTGCTGGCTCAGGAGTTGTCTTTCTCAAGTCTGCTAAGGCAGTTAGCACTTGTCTATCTGCTTTCCAGCTTCCAAAATTTTGTTGTGTTTTACTGTTTACTGTTAGTTGTTTATGATTTAGTCTGTCATAAAGTACACTTCCCCTCTTCCTGTTGTGTTCTTCTCATCCCTAAGAGTTTATGTCATTAAAAAACCTCTCATTATAGTTTTAGTAGGAGTGTGGAGAGAAAGTGAGATGCATATGTTCAGTCTATGATCACAATCAGAATTCCCTAGAGGATTTTCAAAAGGCATTTCTGAGTAGGCACAGTGGCTCAAGCTTGTAATCCCAGCACTTTGGGAGGCCAAGGCAGGAGGATCACTTGAGCTCAAGAGTTCAAGACCAGCCTGGGCAGCATAGTGAGACCCTGTCTCTACAAAACTTTTTGAAAATTAGCAGTGAGTGGCAGTGCATGTCTGTAATCCCAGCTTCTTGGGAGGCTGGGGCAGGACAATTGCTTGAGCCTGGGGGATTGAGGCTGTGGTGAGCTATGATTGTGCCCCTGCACTCCAGCCTGGATGACAGATAGACCCCATCTCAACCAAAACAAAAACAAACAAACAAACAAAGGCATTTCTTTGATTACTGAAGAGGTTGAACTTACTTCCAAATGTTTATGAATCTGTGTATTTCCTCTTCTGTGAAATGCTAGTTCAAATTTTTTGTCCATTTCTTCCCACGGGGATTTTTGCCTTCTCTTATCGATTTGTAAAAGCTCTTCATATTTTTTGTATTCTGTTGGTCAGTTAGATGTGTTGCAGATACTTTCTCGTAGCCTGTGACTTGTCTTTTCACTTTTTGTTGTTGTTATTGCTTTTTGTAGAGAAGGGGTCTTGCTATGTTGCCCAAGCTTGTCTTGAATCCCCAGGTTCAAGCAGTCCTCCCACCTCAGGCTCCCAAAGTGTTGGGATTATAGGTGTGAGTCACTGTCCTCAGCCTTCGTTTTCACTTTTTAAATGGTTTCTTTTGCTGAATTGAATTTCTTAATTTTAATAAAATTGCCTTTTGTTACAGCTTTCCCTTCACGCTTTGCTCTTTTTGTGTCTTGAGAAGCCCTTCCCTCTTCAACAGTCTTTTTAGTTATGCCTTTCATGTTTAAATCTTTGATCATTTGGGATTTATTTCTGAGTATGATGTGAGGTAGGGATTCATTTTCTCTACTTAAAAAATGTATGGAGAGCAAGTTTCCCAGCATCTTATCAAAAAACATCCTTTCTACACTGATCTGCACTGTTTATTCTGTCAGTTATACTTCAAGTTTCCATTAGTATATATTTTTCTGTGTTCTCAGTAATCTTCTGTTGGTCTTTTTGTCCATATCTGCACCCATACCATACAGTTTAATGACTTCAGCTCTGTGCTAAGTCCTGCTGTGTTGCATAGGTCCCAGCTTGCTTTCTTCTTCAAGAGCATCTTGGCTAATCTTAGTCCTTTGCTCTTACATGAAAAAACCTCTTGTGATTTTTGTTTAAGTGTGTTAAATCTTTAGGTCAATTTGGGGAAAACTGACATGGTGATGAAGTACATAGTATGTTTCTTTATAAAATATATGATACATCTCTCCTTTTACTTACACCTTCTTTAATGTCTTTGAATAAAGCTTTCATTATTTTTCCCATAACGTGTTTGCACATCTGTTGTTGGTTTTATTCTTAGGTATTCAATATTTTTAATTGCTAGGGTAAATGACATTTTAAAATTTATATTTTAAGACCATGGTTGGTATAGAAATCGGTTTGTATAGATTGTGATTGTATTGAAATGCAGTTGGATTGGGGTATTGATTTTGTGCCCAGCAAACTTGCTAACTATCTTCATTCTAATTAGTATTAGTTTTTTTCCCTTCTACTTAAACAATCATATTATCTGCAGACCATGATCACATTTTCTCTTTTCTTTCCTCATGCATTTATTTCTTTGCTTTACTGAAACTGGACTGGCCCTTTGGTTAACTTTTGACTTTGTAAAAAAGCCTATTAAAATTATGAGTAACAACTGCCTTAGTGCATGCAGGCTACTATATCAAAATACCTCAGACCAGGCAATTTATAAACAGCAGATATTTATTGCTTACAGTTCTAGGGCCTGGGAAGTCCAAGATGGAGGTGTCAGCAAATTCAGTGACTGGTGCGCCGGTTTCTCACAGATGATGACTTCTCCCTGTGTTCTCATAACGCAGAAGCCGGAAACAAGCTCCCTCCAGCCCCTTCTGCAAGGGCACTAATCACCTCCCAAAGGCCTCATCACCTCTTGATACTATTGCATGGGGGTTAGGCTTCAACATATGAATATTGGGGGGATGCAAGGATTCAGACCACAGCAACTACTGAGACAATGTGAATAGTACACACAACCTCCAACCCGGTACAGAAGGAAAAATCAGGAATAAAAAATGTCTAATTCACATGAAGGTCAGAAAGGAAGAGGAAAATAAAGGTCAGAGGCAAAGTATGGAATTCCAAACGTGGAATGCCGAAATGGAGAACTCAGGTCCGGAGCCGGTGAATTGCCCTCCGCGCTTATGGAGATCGCCTGCAGCGCCACCTGCAGGCTGGAGGAGCACTCCGGGCCCCAGTTCACCGCCCTGGACCCAGCTGGCACCACCTGCGGTTCCCAAGGACGCATCCAGTAAGGGGCGGGGCGGGGCGGGGCGGGGAGGGGCGGGACTCACCACCCATGTGACCTGCACTGGCCTGGAGGAGCTGCCTGACTGCAGCGGACTCTGCCAAGAATTTCAAGAGGTGCAGTGGTCCAGTCATAAAGCAACATGAAAACGCTGTAAAAAGAGTTTAATCGCGCACACGAGGCAGACATTGCATTTAATTTATCACCCTGCAAAATTAAAGCCATTCTGGGGTTTGCTATCGCTCATGCAGGGTGGAGTTATTTATTGGACACTGTCAGAGCCGAGGGGATCTGAAATTCAGGTCAGGGAAAGTCAAGTTTACAAAGGCCCGTCCGGGTCCCTAGGGGCCCAGATGGCTCAGGGCAATGTTCCTGTGTCTTGCTGCTGCAGAGGCTGAGGGGAGCAGGCACTGTGTTCACATCCTTGATGAGAAAGCCGAGCTCCGTGTGGGTGCGTGCAATCCTGCCTCCCCGAGCTCCACGCTCTGACCCTCTAACTCCTCAGACCACTAAGTAGGCTGTCCCCTCACCTGCCCCTTTGACGATGTGCTGGGTGCCAGGTGCCTGAAATGCGTGCTCCTACCTGCCCAGCCCTGTAAGGAAGCCCTGCATGGTGACCCCCATGTCACAGATCTGAGCCCTGGCTGAGTTGATCACCGGGCCTGGCGCTGTCCACCCAGTCTGTGCTGAATCTATTTGAAGAAACCCATGGGGTCCTGGGCTTGGACCTTTTGCTTGGCCCAGGGAGGAGGGGCAGGGCAGGCGTGAGGCCTCCTAGAGGAAGGATGGCGGCCGGTTTGAAATACACCTGGGAAATGGCTCCGGGGGACACCACAGATTTGCCTTCAAAGCACTTGTTCAAGCAGTTACTCACTGGGACTGATTGCAGAGGAGGTGGGCAGGGGGCGCTGGCCGGGCCTCTGGGCTCTAATTAGTCAGGTAATAAGGCTGTTTGTGCCAATTTGCTGGGCCGACAGGCTGGCTGCTCACTGGCTGCCTAACGAGGTGGGGAGTTGGGGTGAGTGGCCCAGGCAAGGCCCATTGACTCACCAATGGGCTGCGGCTGCCCCTCCTGCTCCTGTCTGCAGGGCCCAGGAGAGGTGAGTGGAAGCTGGGGAGGCCGGAGGTCCCTGGCGTGGGAAGGCCACAGCAGTCATTGGCACCCAGACCAGCAAGACCAACCCTCCAGCTGGAGGCCCTCTGTCCCTCCGAGGACTCACTGCCCGAATTGCCAGACAACCTGCCAGGAGTCCCGGCACCCACACCTCCTGTCCTTGTGGGTCTGGGTTGTTTGCACTGAGTGCAGAGCTCTGCGGCTGATGTAGGGAGAGAACAGAGGGCTTAACCCCTTCCTGAATCCTCTCATTCTGGCCCCCACCACTGCTGAGTTTAACACCATCCTGACACCCACTTTCCAGAGAAATCAGCAGAGCCTGGAAGAGCCTCAGGGAGTTGAAGGAGAGACGAGGAGAAGGGGCTGCCACTGTGGGTTTTCTGTGTGACCTCGGGTGATGGCCTGCCCTCTCTGAGCCTGGGTTCCCTGTCTGTGGTATGAGCTGGTGCTGCAGGTCAGCCTTTGTGCCTCTCAGAGACAGTGTGTTGGGTGGCTGAGGGGGGCGCTGGGGGTGTGAGGGGAAGGAAGAAGCCCAGCAAATGCATGCGGTCTGCTTCCCCGTGAGATGTTCTGCTTTCTCCCATCTCTGCCACACCCCTTCTCCTGGGGACCCCCAGCCCAGCGCCCTGGACCCAGGGCCATGCTGACAAGGGATCCTGTGAGCAGCCTAGGAGCAGGCGCACATTCCACACATACTTCTGGAGCATGTGCTCAGTGCCAGATGCCACAACAGGGGCTGGAGACACTTGGGGAGCTCCAGGCTCACATCCCTGGGGAGGCAGGCGCCAGCCCCATAGTCCTCTGAGTAACTGTCCTGCAGGGTGGTGCTCAGCCGTGCCTGCCCACACCTCCATCGACTCCAGGTGGCACATCAGGGCAGGGTCACCCTCACCCTCCAGTTCCCAGAGGCCTCCTCTGTCAGGCTGCACCCTCTGTGAGTCCCTGGAGGACCCTGGGCTGAAGTCAGGCCTTTTTCCTCTCCCCTGCACAGATCTGGCACCTTCCAGCTCCTGCCCACAGATCTGTATTGCACCTGCCAAGCTCCAGTCTCCCACCCCCAACCTCTGCAGACTCTTCCAGCCTCCTCCAACTCCAGGTTCCTGCAGGATCCCTCCCTGTCCTACTAGACTGGAGTGACTCTGAAGTCACTTCTACAAGCCTGCGTTGGGCTCCCATGCAGATGTCCCATGTGCACAGAGCCCCGATTCTGGCTGCAGAGGCAGCTGGCACCAGATGTGCAGACACAAGGTGCCTGGGCAGGTGCCCAGACAGAAGCCTCAGTCTGGGGCCATGAGGTGAGCACACTCCCGAGGGAGGCATCAGCCCAGGACCTCAAACAACGATGGTGAGAACACCAGCCCGCACTCTTCCTCATTAGTTGGAGTCAACTTGGATGCCACCTTCGTGGGAAGGTCTCTCTTCCCCACCATACCTCTGTGCCTCCATCTCTCTCGGCCTTTCACCCTACCAAGGAAAATCTTCCTTGTCCTTCCTTTGTATCACTGATCATCACCCAGCATGATCTATTCATTTGTGAGTAAGCTTTCTGCTCTTTCCCCTGCGATGCAAGCTCCATGCAAACAGAAAGATTTGTCTGCATTTCTTTTCCTGCCAAATCTTTAGCATAAAGAATAGTGTCTGGCATGTAGGAGGTGCTCAATAAATATTTGTTGAGTAAACAAACGAATGAATTGGTTGTACATCCCCTTCGAGGCAATGTCCACACAGCACATTTATCATCGCTGCACTTGCAGGACAAATGGCTTCTGTGTCCTGCTGGCTTCCCTCCTTTTGGATACCAGTTGCCCACGTTTCCATTAGATCTTCTGATTTTTCACTAGCGCTGCCCAAGTGCTATCGACTGCCTGATGGGTGCCTTCCCAGACTCTTCTGCACATTGCACACTCAGGCTGTCAACACATCACTCCTCCAGACACCATGGAGAGGGGCGCCTTAGTGGCAAAATTTTTCCAATCGGGGGAGCAATTTTCTCAGGATAAGTTCCCATGAATTGCAATTACCTGATAGAGGAGCCCTTGCTATTGCTCTCGCCATGTGTTGCAAATTGCATCCTAGAAGCTATGTGCTGCTCACGTGCCACCAGCTCACAGTGCCACCAGCAGTGCAAGCACCTGCTGGGGGAAGTCCAAGCTGCACCTGCCTGAAGCCAGCATGAGGCTGAATCCCAGCCCTGAGCCTCCAGGGAGAGGCATGACCCAGACATGAAGGCAACAGAAAGATATCTGTGACCTGCCCACATGGAGGGATGGTGCCATCCAGGGTCCTTTCCAAAGAGGGCACCCAAGGGCAAGGTCCAGTGTGCATGGAGCTTAGGGCCAGGGAGGGTGAGGAGTGCCGGTGGAACCCCCTGGAATGAGCACCAGTGCAGAGAAGCATTGCCTCCCTGCTAGAGGAGGCCCCAATGGATCATCGTGACCAAGGGGGCAAGCTCTAGATGAAAGAGTAGGACAAAAAGAGAAAGGAGGGAGGGCCTTGGAGAGAAGAGAAGGAAGGTGAGCAGGCCAGCGGTCACTGAGCTGGGTGTCCATCTGTGGCTTCATGAGCCTGGTGCCCCTCTCCTCTCTTGAGGTGCAATGGCAGACCCTGTAGGGTCCCCTACCCCCACTGCATGTGCCCCTGCTGGGGCTGCCCATCCAGGGTCCAGGGCTGCCTCCTTCCCTCCAGGCCCTCTTGACAACCCCGCTCCCCTACCCTAATTTGTGGGAGGATTGGATCCTAAGCCAGTTTAGCCAACTCTGAGACTCACTCTGTGCCAGACGGAGGCAAAGTGTGGGGCTCACAGGCTCCAAACTGAAAAAGCAAGTTCACAAAACGGGGGGCACCCGGCACCGTGGGAGGCGTGCAAGACATTGGATCCGACTTCACTGGAGGGCATTGCGAGAATGTTGGAGATGGGGAATGAGAGAGACCGGCAGTGAAGGCGGCACACCCGCCCCACCCTCAAGGCACCGTGCACCGCCCTGTCCTCGGATCTCCCCTCCAGGGCAGGAACGCACCCACCTGACCGAGTTGCTGAGGACAGGCTCCAGTGTGAGTCATCTGGGCCACGCTTGGCTCCTTTTTGGTGGGGAGTGGAGGAGGCAAACTCTAAATTTTATTTTTGAAGTGAAAAAAGCTGCCATTTAAAAAAGTTGTCAGTCAAGTTCCACTGCTGTGTGTCCATCAAAGCTCGAATTGGACTGATCCTGCCATAGATAATGGTGATAACCTCTGGACAAATAACAAAAATAAATCAATCAACAGAACTTCCAGTTTCAGCTGCAACATGTAAACAGCTTGGAAGTCACTCCTCTCCTTACAATAAGAAAAAGGCGGAAAAAGTGAAAATCAGTGACTTTTCTCAAACCCATCAGAGAATGGGGTTGCAAAGCAAACTGCCACCCTCAAATCCCGGGAGACACATGAATATGGAAGAGCAAGTCTGAGATCTGCTCACCTGGAGCCGAAGCCGCTGGAGCCAGAAACCCGCAACTTGACTGGCAGCCTTGATGAACTGCTGGGGGCTGACCGTGGAGTAGCTTGACAGGGAGCAATTTCCTGGGGCCACACTCTTTTTTTTTAGATGGAGTCTCGCTCTTGTCGCCCAGTTTGGAGTACAGTGGCACGACCTTGCTCACTGCAACCTCTGACTCCTGGGTTCGGGGCCACACTCCTTATGGGGGGCCCATTTTCGTGGGCTTCACTCCCAGAAACCAACAAGTCTTTCATGGTGAAGATCTGAAAATGACCCCTGTGTCTCTGGCAGTGGGTGGCGAAGGCAATCGTGTGAAATATACCCAGTGCCTTCTTCATAACCAAGGCCTGTTCTCCAGGAAACCTTATTGCAGGTGGGGGAGGGATTTCCTCCCACTCCTGCCCCCGCCAGTGTGTCTGTCTCACCTTAGGATAAAAACAAAAAACATAGTAAACGAGGGCCAGAGAGCTTCAAAAGAATAGATTGGGAATATTGCAACCAGGAAAGGACTTGCAGGGATAGGAAGCTATACCCATGCAGAAACACGTGAAGGTAACAGCCTAGGGTCACAGGCCCACTACAACACTGACATGTAATTGGAAGATTATAAAGAACCTCCTCCCCAACACCTACCACAGCCCCAACAGGGCTCCCATATAATAGCAGTGGATTCTGGGACAGACACAGACTCTCTAAGGAGGATTACTCAGGGAAGCCCAAAGTCAAAAGTGGCGGACACAAACAAGGATACTAGAGGAATCTGATGCTTCTGGCACCCATAGCTACAGCAAACATTAAACATGGACCAACTCCTAGCAAGGTTAACATAAAACTTCACACTAGGCCAGGTGCGGTGGCTCATGCCTGTAATCCCAGCACTTTGGGAGGCCAAGGCAGGAGGATCACCTGAAGTCGGGAGTTTGAGACCAGCCTGACCAACATGGAGAACCCCCATCTCTACTAAAAATACAAAATTAGCCAGGTGTGGTGGTACATGTCTGTAATCCCAGCTACTTGGGAGGCTGAGGCAGGAGAATCACTTGAACCCAGGAGGCAGAGGTTGCGGTGAGCCAAGATCCCGCCATTGCACTCCAGCCTGGGCAATAAGAGTGAAACTCCGTCTCAAAAAACAAAACAAAACAAAACAAAACTTCACACTAAAGGCTTATTTCTCTCAGTTCTTACCACCCAATACAATATGTCAGGTTTTCAGCAAGAAATTACAAAGCATGCTAAAAAGTAAGAAAAAAACACAATCTGAAGAGACAACGCAACCATTAGAAATGGACTCATGTAACACAGACGATTCAATCATTAGACAAGGAAGGTAGATATAACTATAATTAATATGCAAAGGGCTCTAATGGAAAAAGACAACAAGCAGAAACAGATGATTAACCTAAGTAGAGAGATGGAAACTCTTAGTAAGAATCAAAAAGATATACTAGAAATTTTAACAAACAAACAATTATGACAGAAATGATAAATGGCTCATCAGAGGACTGACACATCCAAAGTAAGCACCGGTGAATTTGAAGATAGGTCAATTAACACGTCCCAAACTATTCTCTGTGTCTCTTAATATCTCTTTTGTATTTTCTACCTCTTTTCTCTCTAAGACGCATTCTGTGTAATTTCTTCAGTTCTCTTGTCTAATTTAGTAAGTCTGTCTTTGACTGCATCTAATCTGCTACTGTTTATATCCCTCTTCCCTCTTTAGCATATTTGTTGAGTAAACAAACGAATGAATTGGTTGTACATCCCACCAACCCATTGGTTGTACAACTGCCACCAACTGAGTCCTAGGGGTTCTCTTCCCTAAAGGCAGGTTGTGGGTAGCACACAACCTCAGGCTCTGCTTACCTTGACTTGAAAACCTAGTGACAAGAATGTAAGTCTTGGCAGAGAGACAGTCTCTTTATTCACTTTTTAAAAAATTATTAATATATAATTAATATACCATGAAATGCACCATCAGTTTTCCTTTGCTGTGCAAGACATCACCGACAATCTAGCAGCTTACAGCAACCATTCATGTTGTGCACGGTTCTGTGGGTGGTTCTCCTCTGGTCTGGTCAACTGACCTCAGCTGGGCTCACTCATGCACCTATGGTCAGCTAGCAGGTCAGCTGCGAGCCAGAAGGTCCAGGGTGGCTTCACTCACACGCCTGGTAGCCAGCAGACTGTTGGCTGAGGTGATAGGGCTTCTGGGCAACGTGTCTCTCATCATCCAGCAGGCTGGTCCTGTCTCCTCCATATGTGTTCACAGGGGTCTGAGAGCAGAAAGAAGTCAGGCCCCATCATGCCTATGTCACATTTGCTATTGTCTCATTGGATAAGCCAAGTCATGTGGCCAATCTCAGATTCTGTATGGGAAGGGACTGCATAGGGATATGATGCAGAAAGATGTGTGACTGCAGTGGTCTACCCAGATGTTAACTGTTCTATGGCCCCGGTCCTGCTTTCTCTGCTAATGGTCCCTACTCTGTTATCTATTGGTGTGAACAAATGACTCCAAAACTTAGTGGCTTAAAACAGCTATTTTATTTTGATGGGCCAAGAATTTGGAAAAGGCTTGGCTGAGTGATTCATCTCTCATTCAGTTGGTGTCAGCGGGGGTGACTGAGGCTGGAGACTCTACTTCCGAAATGCCTTCTTCACTCCCATGTTTGGAGCCCCAGTGCCTCTGTTTCTCTCTCTCCTCCACACACTGTCTCATCCCCCAGGGCCTCTCTGCATGGCTTGGGCTTCTTACAGCAGGTACATCTCAGGTTGGCTGAATTTACATGACTGCTGGTCTCCTGGAGCAAGCATTCCAGTGAGTGAGGCAGAAGCTGCCAGACTTCACAGGACTTAGTCTAGAGGTCCTGGCATGTCATGCCTGCTGCATTCTGTAGGTCAAGCAAGTCACTAAGACCAGGGCAGATCCAAGGTAGCAGCAGATTCGACTTCATTTCTCAATGAGAACAAAGAATTTCTATCCATCTTTAATCTACCACAGTCTGCCCTGTGGCTACAACTGTTGATACTCCTTTCAAATGCAACACACACTGAATCTCACTGAAGGCCCTCGCAACGTGCACCCAGCCCCACTGGAGACCCCCGTTTGTCTCATCTGTTTGGCTTTGGCTGGAGGTCCAGGACCCTCTGGGCTAATGAACTCCAGTGCACATGGGGTCCTGGGTCCTCCAACACAGTTGTTCTGATCTGAAGAACTGCAACCCAGATACGAGCCATGGGGCCCTTCCACCCACCTAGATTCTGGTGGTGAGACTCTGGGGACCACCAGAATGAACACCCATTCAACAGAGCAGAAAGCAGGAGTACATCACAGTCATTCCATGGCGATCCTGAAATCCACCCTGGCATGTTGCCAGCTCCTGCGCCCTGATGTGATGCAGAAGGAGTGTGACTGCAATGACCCACCCAGATGTCAACTGTTCTGGGGGCCCCTGGGTGAAGAAGATTGTGCCTTCTGGGCTCCTGGCATCATCCTCTGAGTCACTCTTTCTCTTCCATATGAGCTGTCCCTGTTCACAGGTAGGTCCTCAGCTCGGCCTTCCTCCTACCTTAGGAAGATAGAGAACACCACTGGTACAATTTTGTTAAAAGGTTTGAGAGGTTCTTCCAGACCAACTAAAAATCAGCTGGATTGGATCAAAGCTGCCCTGGCATTGCCTGCTGAGGCTGGCCTATCTTCACCCTGGGCAGCCGGCTATGGAACAGCACCCAAACATGCCTGGAAGCCTCATTGACTGGCTGGGAGCATCGGTGGGGCACCCCCTGAAGATGTTTAAAGGCTCTTTTGTTTAGCTGAGAGGGCAGTGAGCCACCCCCTTCCTTCTCTCTGAGGTCTGGACAAGAGCGCTTCCAGCTGCGCTGGCTTGCAGCCACACATTTCTGCCCCGAGATCATTGTTTGTACTGAGAATCTTCGTTGGGAGAGCTTGAGGGTGACACAGTTTTGTTTTTGAACTGAGCAAGTCCTGGGTCTTTTATGTTCACTCTAACTTCTGCTAAGAATTTAACTGTTCCTTAAGCTGACCCCCTCTCTCTTTGTATTTTATCACAGGCAAAGCTGGCTGCCTGGAAGGGTCCCCTGTCAGATCCACCGGTGGGTGAGCTGCCCTTTCTCTTTTGCAGGTCAAACTTTCCATTACTGTCACCATGTAACAGGGGCCCTTTCCTCCAGCCTCCAGTAATGTCCTCGCCACCCTCACCCTTAGAGCCCTCACCAATGATTCCCCATGCTGCCTCCCATCATCTTGTCCCCAAACCAATGACCCATGGTGAACTTTTCCTTATTAACATTTTTAAAATAAAATTGTATGTATTTAAGATATACAACATTTGAACATACACATAGTGAAATGACTACTATATATTTCATTGTATATATTTAAGATATACAACATTTGAACATACACATAGTGAAATGATTACTATAGTCAAGCCAATTAACAGAGTCATCACTCCACAAAGTTACCTTTTTTAAATGAGAGCACCTGAAATCTATTCTCAGCAAATTTCCAGCATATAATATAGTACTGACTACAGTCCTCATGCTGTACATTAGAGCTCTAGACTAATTCATCCCACATAACTGCAATTTTATACCCTTTGATCAACATCCCCCCATACCCACTCCTGCCCCTGGTAACCACCGTTTCTCTTTCTGATTCTATGTATTCACCTTTTAAAGATTCTACAAATACATGCAGTATTTTTCTTTCTGTGTCTGGATCATTTCACTTGGTATGATGTCTTCTGGATTCATCCATGTTGTTGCAAATGGCAGTATCTTTTCCTTTTTTATGGCTGAATAGTACTCCATTGTGTATATGGACCTCATTTTCTTTACCCATTCATCCACTGATGGACACTTAGGTTGACTCCATTTCTTGGCTGTTGTGAATGGTGTTGCAATAAGCATGGGGGTGCAGATATCCCTTTGATATGCTGATATCATTTCCTTTGGCTACATACCCAGCTGTGAGATTACTGGGTCATACAGTAGTTCTAGTTTTAGCTTTCTGAGGAAGCTTCATACTGTTTGCCACGATGGCAGTACTTATTCCCACCAGCAGCATGCAAGGTTGCAAGGTTTCCTTTTCTCCACAACCTCAACACTGCTATTTTTTGTCTTTTTGACAACAGCCATTCTAACAGGTGTGAGGCGGTATCCCATTGTGGTTTTAAATGTGTCAGGTTGGTGCAAAAGTAATTACGGTTTTCCATTACTTTCCATTGCAAAATCTGCAATTACTTTTGCACCAACATAACACATTTCTCTGATGATTAGCGATGCTGAGCATTTTTCATGTACCTGTTGGCCATTTGTATGTCTTCTTTTGGGAAATGTCTATTCAGACCCTTTGCCCATTTAAAAATTGGATGATTTGTTTTCTTGTTATTGGATCATTTGAGTTCCTTGTATATTTTGGATGTGAGTCCCTTAGTGGGTGAATGGTGTGTGAAAATGTCCTCCCGTTCCTCAGGCGCCTTCTCCTGGTGCTCACGGCTGCCTTTCCTGCACTGGAACTTTGTCGTTTGGTGCAATCCCGCCTGTTTATTGTTTTGTTGCCTGAACTTTTGGTGTCATCTCCGAAAATCCAAGTTCAGGAGCTTCCGCCTGTGTGTTCTACCCATTTAATGGTTGTAGGCCTTACATCTAAGTCTTTAATCCATTTTGAGTTGATTTTTGTGGATGGTGTGAGATCAGGGCCAATGACCCATGTCTAAAGATTTTGTTACAGCAGCACGCCCACCTTCCAGGTATCAGATTATATTCTGGTGACTTATTGCTGTGTAATAAATGACCCCAAAATGTGGTGGCTTAAAACACCCCCCCATTTTATTTGGCTCCTTATTTTGTGGGTTCAGGTTTGGAAAGGGCTCAGCTGGGAGGTTTTTCTCGGATCCACATGGTGTCTACCGTGCCCACTTCCCAGATGGCATCTTCTCCCACATGCCTGGTGCCTGGGTGCCACGTGGTTCCTCCTCCTCTACATGGGAGTCCACGGCTTCTCACGGCATGGCCAGGGAGTAAACATGTTACCCTGAAGATTTCCAAGTGAGTTGGGTAAAAGTCACAGGACTCTTGACTCAGCCTTGGGAGTCCCAGATGTCACTTCTGCCAAATTCCATTGGTCAAGCAAGTCGCCGGTTAAGGCCAGTGCAGGCTCAACGGGGCGGGTGGATCAGAGTCCATTTCTCCAGGGAGGAGAAACAAGAAATTTGCTACCATCTTGAATCTACCATGGTCTCTGGAGCCCGGCCCCTTGCCTCCCAAGCTAGATCCTAGCTTCTTCGGCCTCTCTTTGCTGTCTCTGTCCCACCAGGAGAACAATAGGGGTGGGTGCCCTCCAGGCCTGTAGGGACCCAGCCAGTTTCTCCTAACCCGGGCAGCTCTGGCCCAGAGGGATTGTACATGGCAGTCCAGGGGTTGGGGGCTGGGGTGGTCAGGCTGGAACGGGAGCGGCCAGGGGCAGGGGACAGGAATGTGGGGGAACACTGGTCCTAGGGAAGGCCAGGAGGCCTGAGGAGGAGGCCAGCGGATCCCAGCAGGTGAGGGAGACAGTGGGGCAGGAGGGGAGTGAGGATGGGGGATTGTGACGGCCCCTTCTCCCAGCATGAACCTCCCAAGCCGGCTGTGGATGTCTTGCAGCTTTGCTCCTTGGAGCTGGGGCCCCCACTGTGGTGACTGGCCGCTGCCTCCTGCTGTGGTCCCTCCCCCAGATTCCAGCATTGCAGATAATAAGTGAAGGGGCTCCCAGTGCCAGCCCTGCCCACTTCTGAACAATAGTGAGTGTCCTCAGGCACTCAGAGCCCAATGAGGAAGAAAGACACATGACTGGCTGGCAAAGCCCTATTGTGAGGGGCACGGAGGGAAGGGGCGGGAGGACCCCGGGTCGGCTGCTGGGTGGCCTCGTGGTACAGAGACCTAAGGGGTGGGAAGGAGGCCCTCAGGGAGGAGCAGAGGCTCTGTACCGACAGGTGGGCTGGCCCCTCATCCACCCATGTCCTCTCCTGGAGCCTCAGTCTGTCCATCTGTCAAATGGGCAGAGGGACAGCACCATCTCATGGAGCTGTCGTCGGGGCTGCAGGCTGTGAATCTGAAGGCTTGGCACATGGGAGGTCCTCACGAGGATGAGATTCTTCGCTGTGTTGTCGAGTTTTCCCAGCAGAGGGAAGCGTGCAGAGGCGCAGCAGAGCCTGGTGTGCTGGAGGAACAGACGTGTGGTCGGGGGGCTGGAGGCACGGGCTGTGAAGTGAGGTAGGGGTTGAGGGTCAGGTTTTGCTGGGAGAGCCTTGACTTCTGTCTCACAGCGGAAAACCAGAGTCCTTCAAGCAGGGAGTGACTGGAGTCCCAATTTGGTTTCTCAATTATCAGGGAGGAGGGTGAGCTCTAGGGGTTGCCAGGGAGATGGGGGTCTCCGTGGTGGGTGCAGGGCTTGCTGGAACTGTTCTGGAGGTCCCTGGAGATAGAGGGGCCCTGGGTTGGCCCTGGAGCCCCCGGTGGTGCTAGAGAACTTGGCATCTGGGTGTAGGCTCTGCCGGGGGCTGTGTCCCTGCCCAGTGGCCCTGGCTGGCCTTGTCTGGAGAAAGCTCCACCATGTTTGGCCCTGGGTGGCGGCTCCATCAAGGCCACTGCCAGCCGCTGGCCCTCAGCCCTTCCAGGAGCCTGCTCGGGAGCTGCCGGGACATTGCTCTGCATCGTAATGACGCGTGCTGGCTCTCGAGGAAGGATGTGACATTCAGCATCCAGGAAATTCATTGTTATTGCCGCACACTGAATGCCAAATGAACCCATAACGGTGGTGGGACTGAGCTGAAATATTATCCAGGTTTCAAGTGACTCTGGATTATTGCAAACACACAGGGCAGGGGGAGTGGGTGGAGGGGTTGTGCAGACGCAGGTCTGGGACAGCGGCTGGCAACAGGAAAAGGGGACAGAGTTGGAGGCAACAGGTTGCAGCTGCTGGGGGCAGGGGGCTGGGGGCAGGGGGCTGGGGGCTGGGGGCAGGGGGCTGGGGGCTGGGGGCTGGGGGCAGGGGGCTGGGGGCTGGGGGCTGGGGGCTGGGGGTTGTGGGCTGGGGGCTGGGGGCCGGGGGCAGGGGGCTGGGGGCTGGGGGCTGGGGGCTGGGGGCCGGGGGCAGGGGGCTGGGGGCTGGGGGCTGGGGGCTGGGGGCAGGGGCTGGGGGCTGGGGGCTGGGGCAGGCAGGGCCGGAGCCTCTCTCAGTAGCTCTTTGCTGCCCCAGGGAGGTCCTGGTCACAGCACGTGGGCTGACGTGGCTGCTCAGAATGGGGGTGCGTCCACCAGCGGTGGCTCCCCGGCACAGCAGGCCCCAAGTTGGCCCCGCCCCTGAGGCCCGCCCGAGGGTGAAGGCTTCTACAGGGGGTCTCCGATGGCAGCTGCCTGACCAGTGCAGCACCCGCAAGCTGCACTCCAGCTTGGGGCTCCCTTCCCTGTCCTCCCGTCCACTGTCACCTTGCACAGCCTTCGACTCGCTCTCCTGACTGGGACCGGCCTCTCCCAGCCAAGCTGGGCCCCTGGGAGAGCCCCCACACTAGGTCTGCACCCCGTGGTCTCCCATCCCTGACTCCGTCCCACAAACCAAGCTCCTGGGTGGGGAGAGGGGGCCTGTAGCTGCATGCAGTGATGGGGGGGCCAGTCCCCCACCTCCCCAGGCTGTTGAGAAGGCAACAAGGACCAAGGGTGGTGAGTGGCTGTCCCCCTTTCTCAGACCCAGAGCCAGTGGCTGCCCCGTGGTTACTTTGTCCGACAGCGGTGGGTTGGCCGGGGTTGGTCTCTCCTGCACTGGGGCAGAGGCTGGGGGGACAGGCAGCCTGGATGCAGCCTCTGAGCCTGTCCCTCTCGGGAATGGCAGCCCAGAAAAGGCTTTTTCCTTCCGTTCTGTCTTCTTGTATTTCCACTTTTTTTACAAAAGAAATTGCTCAGAAATGATTTAGAGCTTTTTGCTAAAAGTGCATTTTGTCATTACATGGAAAAAGCATTGATAATTATCCCAGCTGCACTCTGCTCCTGGGAGGATAGATGGGTCCCAGCTGTACCCCACTCCCACGAGGATAGATGGGTCTGACATCCATATCCAGCCCTCATTGTCCTCACTGCCTGGTGCCTCTGCCAGGATGCCAGACCACCCTCGTCCCTGGCCAAAGAGAGAAGCTCCTTCTCACTCCTACCATCCACCAGAGGCCCACTCCCTCCAGGTCCCAGGCCCTCCGTTTTTTTGGGCCCCTCCATTCTGGGTTGTGGGAGGCATTTGGGGAGCCGGGCCTGGTGTGGCCTCGGGGGTTCTGAGTCAGTCACGGGGCATCCTCACAGGAAGGCATGCAGGGAGGCGGGCTGCAGCTGTCTTCACCGTGGGCCATGTCCTGCTTCCCCTGCCATCTGCAGGACGCTGGGAGAGCCAGTCAGATGAGGGAAGGCCCCGGACGGCTCCCCTGTCCCCACCCGCCCCTGGGCTCCATGTAGGACAGTCCCCACCCACCTCTAGGCTCCGTGTAGGACAGTCCCCACCTGCCTCCAGACCCCAGGAGACAGGGAAAGGCCTCCGTCTTTCTCATTTGTCCGTGCTTCTCCTTTCCCAGCTCTTCAGGAGGGAATCACCAGCTCACTGCTGGGCGAAAGTTCTGGCAGCAGCTGCCTGGGCTGGGCTGGGCTGGCTGAAGCCTCAGCCACTGCTCCTGGTGGGAAGCTCACATGGAAAGCATTCCAGACCCAGAGTCCCAGCAGGGCCAAAAGGTGGGCTGTGAGCACAGGCTGGGGCCCAGCAGCTCCAGGGTAAACAGAAGGTGGCCAGCTGCCCCTTGGTGCTGGGTGGGCTCCTGGATATTCCAGGGCACGAAACATAAGCCTGGCCTGATTCTCCCTTGGATGCGTCTTCTGCAGGCCTGGCTCCCTAAGGACATAGCAGGGAAGGTTCTGGCCACGGTGGGACCCCAGGAAGCCAGCAGGCAGCCCCGTGCAGCTTAGGCTGGGCCTGGAGAGCACCGAGGAGGCCATCCCAGGCACAGCTGGCGCTCACATGCTGCGGGGGGGTTGGATGGTGCCCCTCAAGGATATGGCCATAGCGTAATGCCTGGAGCCAGTGGTGTGGTCTCACCTGGAACTAGGGTCTTTGAGTGAAGGATCTCGAGGTGAGGTCGTCCTGGATCGTCTGGGTGGGCCTTAAATCCCACGGCTGGCGTGTGTCCTTACACAAGGAAAGCCGAGGGAGATTGGACACAGAGAAGGAGGCCCTGTGAAGATGGAAGCAGAGACTGGAAGGATGTGGCCACAAGCCAAGGGTGCCCAGGGCCACTGGAAGCTGGGAGAGGCAGGAAGCAGCCTCTCCTGGAGCCTCCAGAGGGAGCAGAGGGTGAGTCTCCTCCAGGGCGGCTGGAGGCTCTGTGGGGTTTGCACTCGTGGTGGACGGCCACCCCTGCTGGCAGCCTGATTTCAGACCTCTGACCTCCAGGCCCTGAAAAAATGCACTTCTAGTGTAAGCTCCCGGCCTGCAGACGTTTGATGCAGCGGTCACAGGGGAGCAAGGCAGATGCTGGTCTGGGCGCCTCAATCACCATCTCTGGTCCCGTCTGTCTTGCTCCCGAGACCCCAGGGCCTGGTCCTTGGTAGCACAGGGAAAACACCAGAGAAGGGAATGCAGGAATGAACGACACGGCAGACCCAAGCACTGGCTGGAGGGCGGTCACCGTCAAAGACAGGGCCCAAGAGTGAGAGTGTGGCCACAGGAGCCGAGAGCTAGGAGGGCCAAGTGTGAATTGCAAGGGCCGGGGCTGTCCTATAGCAGGGCTCAGGGCCCCAGCGGATGCAGCCTGACACTCGTGGTCCAGCTTCCTGAGCACGTTCTTCGAGCCACATATTTTGAGGACCTACTGCGTGCTGGCCAGTGCTCGGAGGCTTACGTGGATCATGTCTACCTCGGTAGCCCTGTGGGCAGCATCAGAACCCTGGCTTTGTGGGCGAGTGAAAGTCCAGGCCCACGTGTGGCCGGGAAGTGGCAGGCTTGGGCTTGGACCCCGGACCCCAGACCCACGTCTCTGCCCCTGGAGAGGCCTCCTGCAGTGCCGCAGCTCTGGAGTTGGATGGAAACTAGAGCAGGGACAGTGTTGCCGCAGCAGAGCGCTGCAGTCCCAGGAGGTGAGAGCCCTGGTAAGCGTGGGCGGTGCAGGAACCCGTCCTGGAAGTGTCCCTACATACCCGTGTGCCAGTCACTAAACGCCACACAGGCCGCAGGACTCCTTCGGCCCAGGGCCACTGTCCTGCAGTGGTGAGAAGCCTGTCTCCACTTGGTAGGACCGTAATTAACCAGTCTGGAAGCTTCCGTCAAGCTCTGTATAGAATCAGCCCCAGGCAAGGCACCGCACAGTGGCCATGGGCCTAGCGCACTCCATGGGCGGAGAATACACTGACGATGGCTGAGCCGACAATGGACTGGGCACAGACTCAGCGTGCCAGGGCCTCCCTGAAGTCCAGACAGAACAACTGGGACGCTGGCTTTGGGGATCTGATGATCATAGATCTTTAGCCGCAAATGTGGGAGGATACTGGAGTAACTCACAGCTGTCAGTGTGGAAGGAGACAACCCAGAGTGCAGAGGAAATCAGCATCTGTACAGAGAGTGGCGGGCACACGGGGCTTCGTGCTCCCCACCTGCTTACCAGGCACTGGGAGCCATGGGTGGCTCTTGAGCACGAGAGTGGCAGGACAAGCCTCTCGTCTGGGAGCCGAGGCAGGCGCTTGCAGGCACGGGCCAGGTCTTTCAGGAGCATGAGGAGGTGGGGGCACAGGGCAGTGGGGGGCCAGGGCCTCTCTGTGGGCTTTGGCATTCCCATCTGTGCCATGGGATGAGCACCCTGCTCTGGGATGCCAGGCCGGGCAGGGGCTCACTTGGCACTGGGTGGACTCTTGAGAGGAATGAGCCTGGTGTTGGGCTCTGGCCCTGGCCCCTGACATTTGCTTCTTGCCTTGGAATTGGGGGCAGTGGCCTGGCCCACTGGAATCGTGGTGACAGGGTGGTGGCTCTCCCTTCACCAGAAGTGTGACCTCCATGGAAAGTCCAGGAAGCAGGGATGAAGGAGTGCCTCATTCTCCATGCTGGACTCAGGCGGACCTGCGGCTCCAAGGGCTCCATGCTGGACTCAGGATGACCTGCTGTTCTGAGGGCTCAGCGGCTTCCTCCAGGGCCATCACTGGGATGAGAGGACCTGGTGTCAGGTGGGGATGTGCCAGCTCCTGTGCCCCCAGCTCCCCTCCTCCTGGGGCCGAGGTAGCTGAGTGGATGGGGAACATGCCCTCCCTTGCCGGGCCAGCCAGCTCCCTGCCCTCGTCTAAGCAGCCTCTCAGTGGGCAGTGGCCTTGGGCCATCCCTGCTTCCAGAGGGTCCCCCATGGGGCCCTCGGCCCCTGGCAGAGCTGGGGAGGGCAGCTGCAGTGGGGTCGCGTGCCTGGGGGGCCGCGGGAGGTATCTTGTCCGGGGCTGTGTTTTGGATTCATTTATTTCCGCTCTGCCTGGAAACCCACTCTGTCCCCTGTCCTCCGGGTGTACAGTGCCTCCTCAGAGATTTTGGGGGCTCTGCAGGGGCGAGGACAGCTGTGTGTTTGCCGGCCACATGGGGCAGCCTGTGGGATGAACGGCCAATGAGTGAGGTCCGGCAAGCAGGTCTGGGCCCCAGCTCAGCTGGTGGCCATGACACAGGCTCCTAGAAGGCAGAACCATGTGTGTCCATCTGGGCCAGAGGTTGGGAGTCTGCAGCATCAGGTTGGGTTCAAGGCCTGGGAAGCCTGTCCTGACAGCTCCCCCTGCCTCCGGCCCCCAGCCCTGACCTTAAGCCCTCACACCACCATGCAGAGGCCCAGATGGTGCAAGCCACTCTCCTGGCTCCCCGGCTCCAGCACCTGCTGTGGCTCCCAGATAGACAGCAGCTACCATCCCTGCAGCCCTCCTGCAAAACACGGCCATTCACACTGCAGGGACCCGGAGGGGACAGTGGACCCACAACCTGGCCTGGAGCTCCCGAGGTCTTTCATCATCTGGCCCATCAGCCCCTCCAGCTCGTGCCCATGGTTCCCTTGCACACCCTACAAAGTTCAGCCAAACTGCCACTCTGGGCTGACCCGAGCACCTGCTGCTACCTGGGCTTCCCTGGGCTATCCCAGGGGTGCTCCCAATCTCCAGCTCCAAGCCAAGGCCTCTCTGGGACTGAGCATTTGGTCCTGTGTCCAAATTCCTGTTGTCCATGTTGGATCCAGCTCCTGTCCCTACTCCTGCAGAGGGGCCCAGCCCTGCAGTCCAGCAAGATGTTGGCGAGTGGGGATGGGGGCAGCAGCCCTGGCTTTTGCTGGAATAGGAGGATCTCCCCGGCCGTTCCCACACACCCTGGGCTCCACAGAGCTGGGAGGACGGAGCCTGGGTTGGGGAAACTGCCTGGTCTCCCGGTGTCCCCACAGTCATCTCTACTGGTCCTGCCCTGGCTGGGTCAGCTCCTGGCTGATGACCCAAGCCTGAGGTCCACCTGTGAGCTGGTGGTTGGGGCCATGCATGGCCCACGCACTGGCTGCCCCCAGGGAAGACAGCTGCCCCTCACCCACTGTTGGGCGAGGGTTGAGTTCTGTTCCCCATTCACAGGTGGGAATCCAGCCCCTGGGATCTCAGACTGGGACCTCATTTGGGAACAAGGTCCTTACAGAAGCAACCAAGTTAAAGTGAGCTCACTGGGGTGGTGTCCTGTGTGGCTGGTGTCCCTATAAGCAGGGGGACTTTGGACACAGACGTACACAGAGGGAAGACAATTAAAGACACAGAGAAGACAGTGTCTATCAGCGGAGGCCGGAGGCCAGGCACAGACTCCCCTCAGGACCCTGGGAAGGAGCCTTGACCACAGACTCCAGGCCGGACCTGTGAGCAGCAGGTGAGTGCCGTCTAAGCCCTGGTCTGCAGGGCATCAACAGCCACAAGAAAGCAGCTGGCTGTCCCCGAGGGAGCGATCTGCCCGGCAGACACACTGGAGTCCAGGGAGGGGCTCAGGCTGGGCTCCTGCCCCAGCCACTACCTTCCCTCCCCTGCCTCCCCTCCCCTCACCCTTGCCCTCACCCTTGAGGGGCTGAGCACCAAAATGAAATTCAACCTTCTCAAGAAAACGTGTGGCTTTTGGAACCATGAAAAAAAGGCCCTTCATTGTACAGATGGGGAAACTGAGGTCTGGGGCTGGGAGCTTCCTCAGCCCATTTCTGGCCCATGGTGCCCATCTCCCACATGAGATCTGGCCTCCAAGCGGTGGGGGTGTCTGTCTGGGCCAATGAATGTCTTGGCCTTTGCTTGGCGTCTCCCTGTGGCCTGACTCATTCCTGGGGGAGTGTTTGATTTTAGAAGGAAAGGGGGACCCACTGCAGGGTCTGGAGAGGGACTTTCCCTCGTGCTCCCCTCCCTGATGTCCCGGTGCACTTCTTAGCTCGCTTGGGAACCCCTTGGCCGGAGCAAGCTCATGGGTCAGGCGAGTTGACGTGAGGCTGCTGGAGGAATGACTGTGGCTGCCTTAAGTGGCTGGGATCCCACGAGAGCAGGCAGCCCGAGCTTCCACCGAGGGCAGACAAGGTCAGGGGCAGGGAACCGCCGGGTCTGGGGACCAGAGAACCTGGGGAAGTGGCTTGTGGAGGAGCAAAGCCTGTGTCTGCACAAGAGCATGTGGTGGGCTCACCAGGGCCTGGCGGGGGTGAGACTGCTGAGCTGCTTTGGAAGGGAGTGGGGACCAGCAGACCTGGGACAGACATCTTTGTGCAGAAACTGCTGTGGAATTGGAAGCCGGCCTCACTCTCCTAGAAATCAAAGCAGTCAGCAAAATGCCTCCTCCTTCAGGGAGCCCTCCTGGTTCAGGGTGTGTGTATAGGAGAAAGAAACCACCTACTTCACGCTGGCTTGCGTAGTGAGCTGTAAGGAATGTTCTGGCATCTCCTCTGGGGTTCTGGCATTCTGGGGAAACTGGCTGAGGAGACCTTGGAGCCCACTGGCCAGGGATGAGAACAATGCTTTGGGAGAGCCTGGGTTCTTGCACTGGAACCTCTGGGCTCGGTTCTGTGGAAATTGTTCTGAGAATCTGCCCTTGATTTGGCTGCTCTGGAGCATGGTGGCGGAGTCTGGGTGAGTGCCAGGCCCTGCTCCCACCCACCATTGCTGTTCTGTGTGGTGGGGACTGAGGCTGAGAAGCCGAACACCAGCCAGAGCCCACAGGACTCACGTGGCAGGGGCAGGGCAGCCTGGTGCCCGAGCTCTCCTTGGCCCATCTGGAGAAGGCTGGGCTGGCCAGGAGGTGGGGGGTCGGGTCCTGGAGCCCTCAGCCAGGGTAGAAGGAGGCCAGGGCCTGCATCCCCTGCTGTGTCCCTACTGGGGAGTGGGTGGGCAGGAGCCCTGGCCATCCAGGGCGTGTGGTGGCCCCCGGAGCAGTCGCACCCTCATTCCTCACAGGTGGGCCCTCGTCCTCCAGAGAAACTGCAGCTGCTTTATGAGGCCAGCCCGGCGGTGCAAAGCACTGGGGTGATAAAGGAGGGCAGGGCCATTACTTATCGGGTTCAATTGTTCCGGGGCCCTGGGCAGGGAGGTGGGGTCACTGCAGAGCACTCTGACATCTGTGCTTGGGGCTCTGACTGCGGTTGGGGCCTGTGGAGGGGGTGTGGGGGTGCAGGGCTCCTGAGAACCCAGGAAGCAGCGAGAGGAATGTTCCGGGACCGGCTTAGGCTCTGCCGTTCTGGGTGTTGGAGGGGAGGGCGGCTGCCTCTGCACAGCAGGGCCCGGACCAGGATCTCACAGGTCCCCTGGGAGCTCTTGGACCATAGTGGACAGAAGCACCAGGATTTCTGGGGTCCTGGCTTTGGACCTGGGTGTTCCTCATGTTGACGGGGGTCTCCCACACACCAGGTCCCTTTGTGGCAGGGGGGTCACCCTGAGCTACTGAACCAGCCTCACTTTCCGTAGGAGGCCAGGGGGATAATGGTGCAGGGTCCGTGGCTGTGGGCTTCATGCTGCTGGGGGCCAAGAGGAATAACCAGCGATGACATCAGAGCAGGTATGCAGGAGACGCTGCCTGGGTCGGCACCCCGTGCCTCAGTTTCTCCATCTGCAAAAGGAGTGACAACACTCCAGACCCCACAGGATGACTGACTTCAAGGGGGAAAAGGGACTCCAGCCTGGCCTTTACTCCGAATCTCCGGACAACAGCAGGCACTGGCACCAAAGACACCACCCCCTCCTGCGGAAGTGGATTTCCAGCGCGGGCAAGTGGAAAGTGCTCATGGGGGTGGGGGTGTCTGCCACTGCAGAGCTCGTTCTATGAGGGGCCTCGTTCCTTCTTCCCACCAGCCTCTGCTGTGGGCATCTGTATCAGCCCCACCTTGCTGGGGAGGAGGTGGAGCTCTGCCTGGCCCAGGAGAGGGGCTTGGCCTCCAGCACACCTGGGTCTGGGGCCCTGCCTGGGCTGCCAGGGCAGCTTGGGGGACTACGTGAGGTCACCTGTTCATTTTGCAGGAATTCATGGCCCTACGCTGTACAGGATCTTCTCTGGGCTCTGGGAACATAGCAGGTGTCAACAGCAGGTGGGAGCCTGCACCCTCCTGAGAGAATGGGGGGCTCTGTGCCCTCCACACTAGGCACAGCTCTGCGGCGCCCGCCGGCTAAAGCCACATCTTGGTTAATTCCCACCAGCTGTGGGAAGTAGGAATACCCATCCCATTATAGTTGGGAAAATAGACTATCCCTGAACATCCCTGGTGTTCAGTGCAGTGTCCCCTCCTCTAGGAAGCCTTCCTGGGCTCCCAGCTGGGGTCTCAGCCCCTCCCAGCATGTCAACTCTGAAGTCTCGTGGTGACTGTCTCCACGGAGCACTTTTGAGGGAGTAGGCTCTTTTCTAACAGACTTCTAAATATCACATCCCTTTGTCCCCTGCACTATCTCCCCAGGTAGGGACTATCAGTACTGCCACTGACAGCTGGAGGACTTGAGGCACAGAGCAGTTATTACCCTAGGTTGCTGAACTAGGAAAGGGCACAGCCAGGATGGACTCTCCAGCAGCCTGGCCTGGCGTCAGGATGCTCGACCCCAAGAAAGTTCTGGAACTTCCCTGTGCTCTCCCTCTGGCTGCTCCGTGTGGGGCTCCGACTCCCAAGAGCCCCGGGGCTGCTGTGGGCAGATAATCAGGAAGCAGACATTCAACTACAAAAGCAAACATTGACCAAGGCAGGCAGCAGGGCCTATGGCGTGGGAGCGCTACCTGGACCCCTCACAGACTGCCGGGTGGGGCTGGGGGCCGGGGACACCAGGAGCCGCCCACTGACCTGTGTGTCTGCCCTGTGGCTCCGTCTGTCCTGGGGTGCCTTTCTTTCCTCCCTGTCAGGCCACACACATGAGGAGCCAGCTCCCATGCAGAGGGCCCCCTCATCGCCCCACATGGACACACCTACTTTCCATTGTCACCTGTCAGCATGTCCGGGCTGTGCTCCAGTCCTGACTGTGGCCCTGATCCCTCTGGGACTGATCCAACCCCTCCCCCTTCTGCACCAACTACAGGAAGAAGGGCTTCCACTAGGCCAGCACCCAGGGCTCCTCAGGCCCCCACTCTGAGCCACCGTGTAGCGTGGGCTCTGAGGGAGCAGGGTCAGTGGGAGCCGGCAGGGACAGAGTGGCCCTAGGATGTGCTCTGCCGAGAGAGGGGAATTGAGTCACTGCGTGGGGTCTTCCATGGTGCCCTGGAGGGCACTTGGAGGAAGCTAACTAGAACAAACTGGGCACTGTCCACGTCGCTGGGCTCAGCAGGGGTCACCCTTCCCAGGGTGGGGACTATGAGGTCTTCACTCAACTGTGATGCCACACCAGATTATCTTGCTATCCAGCATGTCCTCAGTCTGAACTGTGCTCTGACCAGACAATCACACCAAGACCCAACTCCCCCACACAATGCGACTGAGATCTGTGTTTTTGGAGATGATTGCCTGATTTCTCCCAAAAAGGGTTTTAACTTTTCATAGACAGGGGGATTCTAGGAGCCTCATGACTTTCCCTAATTTTCCCTCCACCTCCAACACGTACCTGCCCACCTCGTCCAAGCCCCGGGCTTGACAGGTGTCCCCTCTGAGAACATTACTGCACTGACTTTGTCCCCGAGGGTGAGGTGAACCGCTGGGGACTGATGCCAGGGACTGGGGAGTGGCCGTGCCCTGAAGGAAGGTCAAGGCACAGGAGTCATGTAACGCACCTTCTCCAACCACAGCACAACCATGTGAGGACTGATGACAAGAACGGAGTGGAAAATACCCGGCCATCTGGGAATTACAAAAACAACCCATCAGCCAAACAAGAAACCATAATGGAAACCGATATTTGGAACTGAATGATGAAAAAGTACTTCACAGTAAAACTTGTAGGATCCACCTAAAATTGCATGGAAGGATAATTCTATGGATTTAAATGGTTATATTAGAAAAGAAGGATGTCTGAAAAGTAATGAGCCGAACATCCAGCTCAATAAACTAGAAAAAGGGGAACAAAGAAAGAAGGAAATAAAAAAATAAGAGCAGAAATTAATGAAATGGAAAACAATATACAAAACAAAGGAATAACTAACGCCAGAAGCTTGATCTTTGAAAGGACATCAGTTTTAGTGATCTGTTTCATTGCAGTGACCGCAGTTAATAATAATGCATTTTATGTTTTTAAATTCTTAAAAGAATAGATTTTAAATGTTTTCACCACAAAAAATAATGTGTTGATGAGGTGATAGATATGTCAATTAGCTTGATTGAATCTTTCTACAATGTATACATAGAATAAAACATTACATTGTACCCCATAAGTATACACAATTATTAATTGTTAATTAAAAATAAATAAAATGTAAAAAACCTGTAAAGCCCTGGTAAGTCAGATCAAGAAAAATGTGAGAAAGCATGAATAGCCGGTATTAGGAATGAAAAAGAGAACATCTCTACAGATCTGATAGATCTCTAAAATTTAAGAAGAGAAAAAATTATAAGTGAATATTATACTATTATTATTATTATTATTATTATTTTGAGACGGAGTTTCCCTCTTTGTTGCCCAGACTGGAGTGCAATGGTGTGATCTCAGCTCACCACAACCTCCGTCCCCCGGGTTCAAGTGATTCTCCTGCCTCAGCCTCCCGAGTAGCAGGGATTACAGGCACGAGCCACCACGACCAGCTAATTTTGTATTTTTAGTGGAGATACAGTTTGTCCATGTTGGTCAGGCTGGTCTTGAACTCCCGACCTCAGGTGATCTGCCCGCCTTGGCCTCCCAAAGCACTGGGATTACAGGTGTGAGCCACTGTGCCCAGCCATAAGTGAATAGTATTAATCGATTCATGTCAATAAGTTTGAAACATTTGATGAAGTTAACAATTTCTAGAAAGAGGCATTTATCAAAATTGCCACAACAAGAAATGGAAGACCTGAAAAATTCTTATCTATGACTATTACAGAAGTTGACTTTATAGTGTTTCTTCCCTAGAGAAAACTCTAGGCCCAAAGAGCCTTCATTCAGAACTTTGATTTAATATTTAAATAAAAAAATGCCATTTTTATACAAACCCTTTCAAAGAAAAGAGGGAGCTCTTCCCAACTTATTTTATCAGGTGAGCATAATCTTAATACAGAAATCCAAATAGGAAAGTATGAGGAAGGAAAATCTCACTCACAAACACAGACACAAGCATCTTACAACCTCAGCAGACTGAATATGGTAATGTGTAAAAAGGATCATGACCAAACATCATGACCAAACTGTCTGCATTTCAGTATTATGATTTTAGTTAAACAGAACATGGATCCAGGCAGCCATGATGAAGGTGGGAGGCAGTGAAACAGCCTCTGCACTACTGAGGGAGGCCAGCTAAGATAGCCTTTGCAGACCAGGAAGAGTTCATGGGAGGTATTCAAGGATTCAGTGATGACACATTGCCCCCTACCCTGTCCGAGGAAAGCAGATAATGACGGACAAGAACAGAGAACTCAAGAAGGGAGAAGATGGCAAGGGGAGCCCCTGAAGAGCAATGGCCTTAAAGATACTCCCCAAAATGCAAAAAAAAAAAGGAAAAATTATTTTTAAAAATGAAACATTGCAGAATGTCTTCCTTTTCTTTATTCATTCCCTTGTTCCCTCGCCCCTGCTCACTCACTCATTCCACAAGTACTCACTGACCCCATCTCTGGGCACAGCTGGCTCAGGGGCCCAGGCCCCCTCCTGAAGGAAGAAGTTCACACAGATCTGCGACTGGGGCTCCCAGACTCCCACTTCCTCCTCTCACTGTCACCCCTCTTGTGGGCCTTACTCCTTTAGGGGCAGGGCTGGGAGAAGAAGGGGCCGGGTGACACTGGTGTGGGAAGGGGAAGCAGCTAGGGGCATCTCTAAGGCTGCTCTGAGCTGGCCCAGGTGCTGCTGGTCAGCATGAAACAAAGCTGGCCTGCCCAGGCCTGCTGCCCTGCAGACAGCCCCCATTTGGGTCACAATGGCCGTGGCCATGGTGGAGGGGCCCTGCCCTTGCCACCTCCACTGCGTGCTGATCATTCCCATGCCCTTTGTGTCCTTGAGCTGCTGTTGTTCCCCAGAGCCCCACCTCCCGAGAGAGCCCCTGAGAGGTCGGGACAAGAATTGGCCAGGGGGTAATGGGTGCCCAGCCCCGAGACAGCAGGGGGTGCTTGGGCTGGTCTTCAGCCCACCTGGGCCCACTTCCACCTCCTTCAATGGTGGGACAGGGAACCCCCAGTCCTGCTGGCCAGAGCGGATCCCTGTGGGGACCTCAGTCAGCCACCCCAGAGTGGATCCCCATGGGGACCTCGGTCAGCTGCCCCCTCTTATGTCTTTCAGCCAACGCTTGCCAGGTCCAGCTCTGCCTCAGGCTGGGCGGGCAGCAGGGTGACAGGTGTAGCAGCTCGTTGCACCACATCCTGGACCCTCGAGCTTGTCCCGGGGGGCTTCTGCACCCCACGCCAGGAAGCTCTTCCCATAGGAAGCCTCAGGGTGAGTGGGCGCCCTCGGAGATAAACACGGAGCCCAAGCACACGAGCTCCGGCCTAAGTGAGGATAAATCTCCATGACAAATGTCTCCTCGAAAGCCCGGAACAAAGGCCGCGGCGTGTTTATCCACCCTAAAGGCCGCGCAGACAGCCCAGACCCCGGAAACAGCCAATCGTGTCGAAATTGATGGCCCACTCAGGATGCCTCATTTATTACCAGAGATGTGATAGAGACGCAGGCAGGCGTGACCGGGAGAGGCTGCAGGCGGCCAGGTGGTCATGGCCTCCTGCCACCCAGAGGGCTTGGGCTCCACCCTCGGCCACTCAGCCTTCCGCCCAAGGACAAATGGGGTCAGGGCAGCAGCTGTACCTGGCGAGAATGCACTCCCTTCCTGGGGGGCCACTTTTTTCCAGGAGTGCATGGCCCTGGGCTGGCTGCTGAGACCTGTGCCCAGCCCCTCCGTGGTGGTACTCTCGTCAGACACCAGCCTCTGCGGCACCCAGGTGAGAGGTGGTGGTGCTGGGGGGCCCCACCCATGCTCTTGTCCTGTGAAGTGGTCCCAGGGTCTCCTGGGCTCTCCAGGCCCATCCGCCGCCTGCCCGCCTGCCAGCAAATCAGCTGTGGGCAAAAAGGGTACTTTTGGTTCCCGTGGTGATGGCCCATGAAGATGGAGCTCTGGCCCTGCAGACCCCCTCCCACCGCCTGGGCACCTGCCTGGAGGGGCCGGGCTTTCACAGCAGGGAGGGACAAGGCGGAGGAGCGGCTCCTGTTTTTTCTTGCGTGAGGCCTGGATCTGATTTGCACAATGATTTCATTGTGTGGAAATGTGCCAGCACCTGGCTCTGACGCCAGACCACCACGAGTGGCAGCTTCTCCAGGACATGCTGACATGTGACGAGGGGGTCCTGCATGTGGAGGGGCAGTGGTGGGCTGTGAGGCTCGAGGTTCAGGCGACCAGCAGCGGGTGTGGGGGCTCCTGTGGTCCCAGAGTGCGTGACCGTCAACCAGAGCAGGGACCCCCACAGAGCCTCCCAGTTAGGGCCCCTGGCAATGGCTGTGGGGGGCTGCATGGAGGGGCAGTGGCCCAGGGTCTGTGGCGGTGTGTGCCGGGCACAGCAGTCTCGCCCCAGCTCCATCTGCTCCCCTCCTCTGGAGGAATGGAAATGGGACCCCTCCTGAGCCCAGGCCTCGCCCAGGGCTGGCACCTGGAGGGTGAGGCCCCCTGCCCTCAAGCCTCCCCAGTGACCTGCTGCCCCCAGGGCGGAGCCTGCCTGAGGGGGAGGCAGCGCTCAGCCCTGAATGAGCTGTCAACTGCTGTGTCACAAATTGCCCCAAACTTAGCATCTGAAAACAACACACATTGATTATTTCCAGTTTCTGGTGGTCAGGGATCTTGACATGGCTTATCTGGGGTCTCTGACTGGGGTCTGAGGGATCGGCAGAGGAGCAGGTTCCCCCTGTAGCCAGGAAGATGCTGCGTGGAGGTGGGGCAGGGTGCAGGTCCACTGAAAGGGAGCATGAATCTGCTCTGCACGGTGGCCCCAGGCAAGTGGGGGCTTGTTGCAGTGGGGACACAGGATGGCTTTTCCCGTGTACCCCAGAAGTCCACACTCCCCTGGTGCAATCTTCTCCAGGGAACGGGTGGATTTATCCGTGGAGATGCATGGAGCCCCGCCGAGCCAGGCCCAGCCCCACCAGGGTCTCAGGAGAGGGCTGGATGTGGGGATTGGGGGAGAGGGGCTTTTCTCTGGGACCTGCAAGTTACTGGTCACTGTCAATCACAAACGGAGCTTTCCTCCATCTCTCCCTCCCCTCACCCCACCCCCAGTCTCCCTCAGCTCCTTCCCCAGATTCTTGGCAGTGCAGCGTCTAAGCAGGGCCTCCAGACAGAGCCCCGCCCTCGAAGGGGCAGGAGGGGCACCCCGCTGTGATCCTAACCCGATCCCCACCACCAAAATCTGCAGGGTGACCCTGGGAAAGCCACTGCCCTTCAAGGAGCCTCAGTTTCCCCATCTCCCATGGGTGATGGGACCAGACTCTTTCCTTCTCTCCTTCAATCGTAAAGCCATCGACATCCTGGCCAGGAGGTGGCCTCCAGTCACCTTTATCGGTTCATTTGCCCATTCATTAAATAGTTGTGGCACCTTTCCTGTAGCGGGTGGCATGGTAGCCCCCAAACATCTGTGTTCATGGACCCAAAGCCTGAGGACCAGGCAATGAGGTCTTAGTTCAAACGAGAGCGTTTGCAGATTTAATAAGGTAAGTAAGGATCTTGGGATGAGATTACCCAGGCCCTAAATCCAAGGACAGGCATCCCCATGAGAGACACACAGGGGGAGGCCACGTGAAGACGGAGGCAGAGATGGAGGGACGTGGACACACACCACGGATGCCCGGGGCCACTGAAGCTGGGAGGGCGGGGAAGGATCCTCCCCCAGAGCGTGCAGAGGGAGGGGTCCGGCACACCTGGATTTCGGACTCCAGCCTCCAGGACTGTGGGGGAGTAAGTGCCTGTTGTTTCAAGCCTCTGAGCTACGGCAGCCACAGCAAACACACACCTTCAATGTGCACCATCTACTGGCAGCCAGGGGACAGCCACTAGAGGGACGGCTCATCTTTAGCAGAGAAATGGACCCGGGAGGGAAGGGACCTTTGGGGCTGAGGGTTCCAGGAGCTGACAGCCTCTCTGCCCTGCTCCCTCCAGGCCCCAGCTGGGCCAGTGTCCTTCAGCTGCTGTGGGACAGCACCTGCCGTCTTCACGCTCTTTCCACAGCGCGGGGTGTGGGGAGGGTGGCCGTGCATTTCAACAACCATCCTCTTGGGATTTTGTCAGGAGTGGCCTGGCGGGCCCAGGCGCTGTCCTGCGTTGGATACCGCACGGGTCCTTCAGCAACACCTGAGCTCGCGGGAGTCTCAAGTAAACTCTGCATGTCGCAATGAGTTTCAGCAAAGCCTCAAGTTAAATGGCTTGTGATAAAAATATTAAGCACATTATGACTGCAAGACGTGATCTCGTCAATGAAGGAGGCTCTTAATTATTTTTGAAGAGAAATATCAACAGTGTCAGATTTAACCGCCAAACTACTTAATATAACTTCCGCCCAATTTTGCAGATCATGATCCGCTCGATTAACGGGCAGGAGGTAATGGATGGAGCCCGCCATGCTGCTCCGGGTGCCGCTGCTGATGCTGGGGACCGAGCCAGGATGGAGGGAGGGGCGTGCACAGGAGAAACCTGGAACTTTCCCTGGGAATAGACCCTGCAGGGGAAAGCCCTGTCCCAGCGCCTTCTGAAGTGGGCTGCAAGCTGCATTCAAAGGGGCTTCTCACCCCAGACTGAGGGTGGGAGCGAGGGCTGCGAGGCTGCACCCTGGAGATGCAGCCAGGCCAGGCACTCACTTACGCTGCCAGGCGGTTCACACTCACAGCGCGTCCTGAACCGCCTTAGAGGGGCCGTAGAGGGCGGCTCTCTCATTCACAGGTGCTGAGTTTGCTGAGCCCCTCCGTGCTTCTTGCTTGCTCCCCGCACTCCAGGGTGGAGGTCCTGCTATCTCCTCTCTGCAGATGAGGAGTTCTCTCATCCGAACCTCACGGCTCAAGGAACAGAAAGCTGGACCAACGGTGGTCAAATACAGTGGGCGCTTAACTACCTCATGGGAGTGAATGGAAAGGAGTTCCCAAGGACCCCGGGTTCTAGCCCCAGGGCCCTGTGGATGGATCTCACGTGGAAAGGGGGCTTTGCCTCTCAAGGATCT
The DNA here is from genome assembly GCF_000001405.40 of Homo sapiens. Lineage (NCBI taxonomy): Eukaryota > Metazoa > Chordata > Mammalia > Primates > Hominidae > Homo > Homo sapiens. Next base: position 104,371,610 of record NC_000014.9, read on the forward strand.
GGCGATGCGGAGAGCAGCCTGGGTTATCCTGGTGAGTCTTCAATGTAACCACGAGGCAGAGGAAAATTTGACAGAGAACAGAAGAGAGAAGGGGATGTGTCCCGGAGATGGAGAGTGCAGTGATAGGGCCACAGCCAAGGACCACTGAGTGCCAAGGGGGCTGGGGGAGGCCAGGACTGACTGCCCGGGGCCTCTGGAGGGAGCCTGGCCCACTGCACCTTATTGCATCCCCATGAAAGCTGTTGCAGACTTCTACCTCGAGACCTGTGTGAGAATACAGTTCTGTTGTCTTAAACCACTAAATTTGTGATAGTTTAATTTTTTTTCAGCAGCCACGAGAATCTAATACATTCATGAAAGGAGCCTGGAGGTGGGTGGCACCGGCGTTGAGAAGGAGGTAATGACATCACCCAGGGCCCTGGCTCCTTTCCCTCAGTCATCCTTGAATGTTGGCTACTTGTTCTCTGGCTCCTGACCTCACAGTCACAAGACGGCTGCCACTGCTCCAGGCGTCCCATCCTCACACGACAGCCTCTGAAGCAGAGAGTGAGAAAGGGTGGGTGTGGCTTCTCCTTGTATGGGTCTATCTTTCATCAAGGAGGAAAGCCTTTCTCAGAAGCCCATCAGTGCACTTCCCAGGCTACATCCAAGCAAGGTCCCATAGCTATCCTGGGCCCATCCATGGCAAAGGGAATAGGTTGACCTGATGGGCTTAGACCAGTCACAGGTCATCTACTGGGCTAGGCCCACGCTCCCCAGGCACAAGCAGGTTCTGTTGGCAAGGATAGGAGGGGGATGGGGGCTGGGGTCAGTCGCGGTCATGGAGTTGTGGGGAGTGCCTGGACCGAGAGAGTGAGAGGCAGGATGGCTGCAGTGTGACCTCCTGGGTCCCCCACCACCCAGCTGCCCCCACACACACCCATAAACACCCATATTTGGAGAGGCACTGCCTAGGATGTCCTCAGCCACTACCCTACAGGGCTCCACACCTTTCTGGTACCACATAGGCAGGCACTCTGCCCACACAGGTCCCTGCCCACGGGCCCTCTGCGCACCTGCTCCTCCCTGAGTGTTTCCTTCCATGACTCCCAACAGTCTTGGGGGGAAATCAGGCCCCGTCACTGTGACATTAACACTGTAGGACTTTGAGCCCCATCAGGCCCACGGGAGAGCTTCCTCCTCCTCCTGTTTCCTGGGGCTGCCTGGGCGTTTCAGCTTCACTTTCTCTTCTGCACAGGCATGGAGTGGCATCACGGTTCAAAGCTGGCAGCCCCTGGTCCCCAGACTGCACCGGGCCAGTTCCAGCTTCTGGGGCCTGAGAGGCACGGGCCTCGGGTTCCCTGTGAGAATTGTTCCTGGTGATAGACCTGTGGGCTCTCTGGGGGCTGAGCGAGAGCCGTCCTAACGGGGAGATGGCCCATCCAGGGCCAACACGGCACCTGTGCGTTCTCCCATCCTCCTTCCCAAGGGAGTCCTGGCCAGGCCCCTCTCCTGTGTCCGAGGAGTCTTGCCAGCCCTCATGGTCTGTGTCACGATCTGCAGTAGCTGTCCCATCAGGGCTGATCTGGAAGGAGCCTTTCCTCCACATGGCTTTTCCCAAGTCAGCCCTCAAGTGCTGTGAGCCTGGACCGCGCCCCTGTCCTCCAGGCAGCTGCCTGCACTCCACACCCATGCGCGTGGCAGCTCTGCGCCCAGCAGCCCTCCTGGTGTGATTTTTATTTATTTACCTGAATACTGGAACAGCTGCTTTATTGAGATTCATTGGTCGCAAGGCTTAATTAAAATAATGCCACGCGTCTCACTCAGCGTGGGTCACCAAAGCAAATGTTTGTTTTGCTGCTGTCAGTTAGGGCCACGTGTGATGAAGCGGCGGCTCCCGGCAGGGAAGGCACGTGGGCCCTGACCCCCTGCACCTCCCTGGGTTGCACGGATTGGGGGTTGCTGAGAAGGAGGGAGGGAGGCCCCAGGGAGGGCATTTCTGGTGTCTTATCAGGCGCCTGGTGGGTGGACGAGGTGAGGGCCACGGCAGTGGGGTGGGAGGCTGTGGTACCATCCAGGGGCTGTTCCACACCCTGCACCCTCAGAGACTCGACTTGAAATCTGAGTCCCAACTCCCCAGGGGTGGGGTGGGGTCTTCTGCTGCCCTCCGATAGGGGAAGCCAGACAGATAGCCCCCGGGCAGGACACGGGAGGGCCCTGGAGAGGGTCCCAGGGCAGAGGAGCGAGGTGTCCACAGTAGGACCGCTGAGGTGGTCCAGGAGGAGGTTCCTGTTGCTGCCATAACAAGCTCCCGCCACTGCAGCACCTCCAGCTCCACAGAGCTGGCGCCTTCCAGCCCTGGGGGACGGGTGTCCAAAACGCATCCCACCGGGTGAAGGTCAAGGGTCACAGGGCGGCTCCTTCTGGGGGCTCCAGGGGAGGATCGGTTCCTTGTCTTCTCCAGCTTCCGGAGGTGCCCCCCGCCCCCTCCTCACCTTCAAGGCCAGCAGAGTGCCCCTCCGTCCTCCCCCCGACTCTGCCTCTGTCCTCACGTCTCCACCCTCACCTTCCTGCTCCCTCTTCTGAGGCCCTTGTGACAACATTTAGCGCCCACCTGGGTCGTCCGGGGCCATCTCCCACCTCGGGGTCCTTCTGTTAGTTGCATCTGCAAAGTCCAGGTTCACAGGTTCCAGGGTTTAGGAGGAGGGCGTCCTGGGGGAGACTCAGCCTGCCTCACCCCAGGCATTGGCTGGCAGAGAAGAGGGGTGTCAGGTGGAGGACAGTCCGAGGGAGAGGAGGACCCCGGACCCAGATCGGCGAGGCTGTGAGGAGGGGTGCAGCCGCCCACCCTGGAGAGTGGAATGCCGGGGGCGAAGGTGGGGGGGCAGACTCGGCCTCACGTTGGGGGCAGGGAACTCAGCTGACGTGAGCCTGAGTGTTTGCTACTGTTGCAGGGGCGGTGGAGCTAGACGGGGCCAGGTGAGGGACAACGCCAGACAGTGAGGCCACCATCAGGGAAAAGTGGGTATGGGGAGGCCGGAGGGGCCCTGCTGGCTGGGTGCTGCTGGGTGCGGGGAGTGGAGCTGCACAGGCCAGGATCGAGCCCTGGCCCAGGAGGAGAGGCCCCTGGGCAGGTGATGAGCAAAGCCCAGGGCAAAGTGAAAAGCTGGGGCCTTGCTTCAAACATTATGAGGAATTTCAGAGCTCTAACCAAGCTTGAGTTCCTCTGAGCATGGGCCTCGCCACAGCCATGAAGCCGGCCCTGGGGCTGTGCTGGCCAGGCTGAGTTTGAGAGGCTTGTGCAACCCCAGGAGGGGTGAAGAGGCCTTTCTCCCCCAGCAGCTGTGTGACCTCAGGCCAGGGGCCACACCTGGTCTGCACACTGCCTGGGAGCACCCAGTGGGGCTGTCTGCACCAGCCGCCCCCAGACCTAGAGGAGCTCAATGGGGTGAGGGTGGAAGCATGAGGGAGAAGTGGGGAGCCTCCTTATGGTGCAGGGGGAGCGGGGTACAGGAGGAGTCTGGGGGAGCTCCCTTATGGGATAGGGAGATGGGATGTGGAGGAGCCCAGGGGACCCTTTACAGGATGGGAAGACAGGGTGCAGGGGAAGATGGGGAGCAGGAGAAGCCCCTTATAGGAGGGGGAGACGGGGTGCGGGAGGAGCCCCTTACTGGACGGGAAGATGGGGTGCGGGAGGAGTCCCTTATGGGATGGGGAGACGGGGTGCGGGAGGAGCCCCTTACAGGACGGGGAGATGGGTGCGGGAGGAGCCCCTTATAGGACGGGGAGACAGGGTGCGGGAGGAGCCCCTTACAGGACGGGGAGATGGGTGCGGGAGGAGCCCCTTATAGGACGGGGAGACAGGGTGCGGGAGGAGCCCCTTACAGGACGGGGAGATGGGTGCGGGAGGAGCCCCTTATAGGACGGGGAGACAGGGTGCAGGAGGAGCCCCTTACGGGATGGGGAGATGGGGTGCTGGAAGAGTTGCTGAGCGGCAGTGGTGAAGGAGGTTGGAGGCCACTATGGTGACTGTCCCAAGAGTTACGTTGGAGTGTCCTAGGAGTAGAGGGGAAGATGCGGCTGTCGGCTGCGTGGGGTGCCCTGAGAGGGCCAGCGTGATGCTGGGGTGCCTTGGCGTACATGGGAGGTGTCATCCTATTGGCAGGGCTGGGCCAGAGCCGTGGACAGTGCAGGACAAAATGGGGGAATGGGACCTGGGCTCTAGTGGACAGCAGACGGGGCTGGCTCAGGCTAGGCCCAGGGGTCAGAGCAGGCGGGATCCTGGGGACAGCAGATGCACAGCCCGTATAGATGCCCAGGACTTGCTTCATTTGTGTTAATTACCTTCTTTTGATTTTCCTGATCAATAAATTATCCCGACGTAATTGGATTATTTGCATGGCTGGCAAGAGGTCGCTGTGATTTAGCGCCTGGCATCCTGGCAGCTGCGTGGGGTCCCATTCTCTCTGAGCTGTCGGCCTGGTCCTGTCCTGTGCCTGCAGGATGGGGCTTTGGGGCCTCGGCCTGAACCCTCCTCACCATCCACTGTACTGGCTGAGTTGGGGCTGCTCCCTTCCACTCTGACCGCATCCTTCTCTGCGGCGGCCATCCTCCGTGTGCCTTCAGGGAGCTGCCCTGCCTCCCGCCTCACACCTACCACATCCTCTGCTGGCCACTGGCCTCCCTGGACGTGAAGTGCAGGCCCTCCGGGCAGCCCTCACAGGCTGGCTGCTGCACCCATCTGGGGCTCCTCTGGTCCTTTGGAACCGGCCTCAGTGCCTCCTCCCCAGCGAGGCTACTCCCGGCCACCTGGACTCGAAGGACCCCCAACCCTCTGGCTCTCGTGATTTTACTCTTGCCATGGTGAGTGCCATGGGAACTGGTTTGCCTGTAGCTTGGAGGTCAGGGCCCCCGTAGGGGTGTAAGTTCCACCAGGCAGGGAGTCACCCAGCTCTGGCACCCCGTGGAGCACCGGCCCAGGAGGCTCCCGCTGCCTCTCCAGCCGCTGTGTTTCGAGGTGCTTCCTTCCTTAGCGTTTTTTCTTGGCTTCAGTTGGCGAGCTTGGCAGAGCTTTATCCACCCTCGTGGAGGTCAGATTTCCCTTTGCCCTGGTAAGTAAAAGGCATGCCCTCCTCTGCACTGTGCCTCTCCCCACCGCCCTTCTCACCCCTAGCGGCTTCCCTCTGACAGGTATGACCCTCTGTCCCCTGTGGTCTCTGTCCCAAACAGCCCCATTTCTCTTACCCGTGAGGCTACCGGGAGGTCACCACCCCCAGACTTGTCTCTTCCCTGCGGTCTCAGGCCCAGTGACCCGGGGCGGTCCCGAGGGCAGCCACTGTTCTCCCCGAGGCAGCGGATGAGGGCTCCGCACTTTCCTCTCTGACCCTGAGCTTTCTCATCCTTTTCATTAGGATCGGGACAGGCCTCTCCTGGGCTGCTGTGGGGACCCCAGCAGATGGGTGTGACACCGAGCCCAAAGAAAGGGGCTTGGGACACTCTCAGCCCCTCTGGATATAGAAACCACCCCACACATTGTCTGAGCTTGGCCCTTGGGGAGTGACTGAGGTGCTTTTGGCAATTGTGCAGGGACATAGGAGCCCGCAGGGGCTGTCAGGATGGGCTGGGAGGCTGGCGGCCACCTGCATGTTGACCAGCACCCACAGGGGCCCTTGGGCCTTGCCTTTGCCAGTTGGAGATTCTCTCTCGCCACCTTCCTCCTCTCTTCCAGCCTCGTCTTAGGGCTGTGGAGGCCCCTCCCTGCCTGGGGCCTTTACAGTATATGCTGTTTGATCACCCCTACCCCAACCTGCCTCCATCTCCAACCTGCCCCGCAGGCCCCTGTGTCCCCTCGTCCCTCCACCACCGTGCCCTGCACACCCCCAGCCCAGGCTTTGCCCAGAAGACAGTACACTTGTTTCCAGAACCCGGATCAAGAAATAGAATGTTTCTCACCCCCAAAGCCCCCATACCCCAACCTCAGAGGCATCCGCTGTTTCAACTTCCTACACTGCAGACAAGTTTTCTCCCGCTTTTGACTTCCGTCAGATGGACCATACAGCGGGGGCTTCCCCAGGTCTGGCTTCCTTCACTCCACGTTGAGCTGTGAGCGTCAGTCATCCTGTTCATACAGCAAATGTTTATTCACATTCGTCGTTCGCTGCATCCCTTTATGACTACACGCCGGCTTTGTATCCAGCCGCCCATCCGTGGACACTTTGGTTATTTCTGGTTTCTGGAATTGGAAGCAGTTATAAACACCTTTTACGTGTGTCTTTTGGCAAAAATGCATATGCACTTCCATTGGGTCTCTATCTAAGGGGGGAAAAGCAGGGCAATCGTACATATGCAGGTTCAGTGTAACAAATGCTGCCAAGCAGTTCCACAGGGCATGTGCCCCAAACACACACCTCATGTCCTCCTTGCACGGGACATTTTCTCTCTTCCCTTTTGGCCATTCATTTTAGAGGGGGTGTCCCATCGTCATTATAGCTCACATCTTCCTGCTAACTAAGGAAACTTAGCATTTTATTGTTCATACATTTAGTGGGCATTTGGATATCTTACTGTGCGAGATGTCAGTTCAAATATTTTGCCTATTTTTCTATCTATTTGTCTTGCTCCAGTTTTTAAAGGATTGATGTGTTGGGCTTTTTAAAATCTAGATATGAGATTTTTGTCAGAGATATGTATCACAAATGACATCTCTTAGTTGTCTTTTCCTTCTCTTAACAATATCTCTGATGAACAGAAGTTCTTAATTTTAATGTGGTCCAGTTAATTGATCGATTTTTTTCTTTATGGATAATGCTGTTTGTGTCCCATTTAAAAATGTTTAGAATTCTAAATCCTCTCAACACTGGGATGATTCTGAACTATGCTTCTGACTTGTGATGTACTTTCTGTCCTTTGTTTCAGCAGCAACTCGTCAGGCAGGGCTTTTATTTCCTCATAGAAATCATTGATCAGAATATCAGACAATACAGGACTGATGTCAGAGTCCTGGGGGATGCTGGAGACCCCCCTCCAGGGTGACACCAGGTCATTAGCTAACTCCCTTTGTCTATAATTGTATATAACAGACACATTCCACCTAACAGATCATCTGGGATGGATTTCCCATTTCATCCTCAAGGATAACACAGCAGACCTTGCAAATGCCTGCTGAAATCACAATCACACGTCCCTTGTCTGCCAGTCTAAGGACCATGACAAGGAAAGACAATGATGTTAGTCTCACATGATCACCTCTTGGAAAACCTGTGTAGTCAGAGGGGGAGGGTGCGGGGGCTTACCAGTGCTTGTGAAGCACGCTGGATTTTCCGCTCTTCTCTGGGGCTCCATGTGCTCTGAGTTCTGATATTTTAAGAAATTGGCAGGGGCACTTCAAATCCAAGAGCAGGCGCCCCTGACTCCGTGGAGCCAGTTGCCTAGCAACTGCCTCTCATGACATCATCACCAGCAATAGTCTGGGTACCCGAGACCCAGAGCAGTGAGCTTTCAGGGGAGGAAAGAGGGCCATGCAGAAAGAGAGGAAGGGAGGATCACTGCTGACTGGCCGGTGAAGGCCAGCAGGGCTTCCTAGAGGTGGTGGGATTTGCTGTGTGCTTAGGGCTGGGTTGAAACTCAGCAGAGATAAGGAAAGTGTTTCAGGCTTTTGAACATGAACAAACCCTTGCTGTATGAACAGGATGATTGATGCTCACAGCTCAACGTGGAGTGAAAGAAACCAGACCTGGGGAAGCCCCTACTGTACAATTCCATCTGACTAAAGTCAAAAGTGGGAGAAAACTGGTCTGCAGTGTAGGATGTGAAAACAGTGGATGCCTCCGAGGTTGCGGTACAGGCAGCTTTAGGGTGAGGAATGTGAAATTTCACTCTTTTGTGAAAACCCTTCATCCCTCTGGTCTGTGCATTTTTGTGTGTGTGCCTGACACTTTAATCTGAAGTTCTGTTAGGGACCGAGGAGAGCTGTTTTGACTGGGACATGTGAACTAGCACAGACTTTCCGTCATGTCACAAACAACTACAGAACTGAAGAAAAGATACAGAGTGATGTTTTTGGATAGCGGACAGCAGGCAGTGCAGGACTGAGGTCCCTGAGAAGAGGGAGGCTGATGAGGCCAGCCCTATGAGTGTCCCATTTCCCGCTCAGGGGCTCTGCCCAGAATGCACCACAGGACCAGGGGCCCCCAGTGGAGTGCAGTAGATTTGCTGAGTTGAGAAGATACAAACTCAGGTTCAGGGAAGTGGCCAGGATTTGTGGGGAAGAGCACCAAGGAGCAGGGCTGTGTGATGGAATGGCTGGGGTATCTGCACAGGGCTCCCTCGAGCCTGTTCTAATGCTAACCTGTGGTTGCATGGGGTAAAACTCTGCAAGGCCAGGCAACAGACAGAGGAAAGGAAAAGCTAAGCATTTCCAGAATGGACAGAGCTGGGAGACATTTAAGCTCTGGCCAGCCAGAGAGAGAAACACCCTTTAAAACATCTGTATTACATTGCTCAGGCTGCCATAACAAAATACCAGACTGGGTGGCTTACACAATAAAAAAATGTGTTTCCTCTCTGTTCTGGAGGATGGGAAATCCAAGATCAAAGTGCCAGCTGGGTTGGATTCTGGTGAAGGCTGTCTTCCTGGCTCGCAACTGGCCACCTTCTCACTGTGTCCTCACACAGCAGGGGCATGATGGGGAGAAAGATCTCTTTCCCTTCTTATAAGGCCACAGTCCCATCAGATTAGGGCCCCACCCTTGGGACTTCATTTAAACCTATAGGCCCTGTCTCTATGAACAGTCACATTGGGGGTTAGGGCTTCAACATATGAATTTGGGGGACACAGTTTAGTTTATAGCAACACTTGAGACATTCAGCTGAGAATTCAGAGGGCCACGACTTAGCAGGAAGATAAACCAGCCCCAGAGTAGAGGCTACACTGGCCCATCCCTAACACAGATGATGAAAAACCAGTCTTGAAGTTCTGATCCTGGCAGCAGCACATGCCTCCCTGTAGAGCAACCCTTCCAAAGATAGCAGCCGTCAACACTGAACATGAGATGTGAAAATGGCTGACGGCACTGGGGAAGACCTCGGAGAAAGCAGGCAGATTCTGGAAGGATGTCAGCTCTTAGAAGAAGGGATTGGAACTGAGTAAGGTCCCCATTTTAACAGCTTCTAGCCAAGGGCAGCCCTGTGTCTACACCATGCAGGTCACAGAGATAGCCTCCAGTCCAGTAGGAAATATGCAGCCTCCCTGGCTTGAAGACAGAGAACAAAGTTTAAGGCAGTCTCAGCCACAGAAAGGCAAAAAGAATCACTTGCAGAAAGGAAAAAGCCAAAAGGAGGCAGACCCCAAGCCCTGTGCATAAGCTACAACCCAGGACCAGGGCAGAGCCCAAGGAGCCCTGCCAAGGCTCAGGACTCAGGGCAGATTTGAGCTGCCATCCAAAGGGAGGACTTTTCAGTTCGAATCAAACCAGTTAATTACCTGTTAAAACAGTGAAAACGGGTACTCTTCAATCCAGAGGCATTATAACACCTGTTTACAAAGTCCAATATCCAATCCAAAGTAACTCAACATATGAGGAAAGAGGCAAATAGGAACCATTCTCAAACTGAAACCATCCATGGAGACTAATCCCAAAATGACCAAGATGTCGAGCTAAACAGACAAGCATTTTGAAGCTGCTATTTCTACAATGCCCAATGACATAAAAGAAAGTATGCTAACAATTACTGAATAGATTGCGCATTGCTGTAGAAAAATAGAAGCTATAAGAAAAAGCCAGGTGAAAATTCTAGAACTGAAAATGTAAATCTGAAATAGGAACTTCACTGGGCTCAGCAGTAGCATGAAAATGACAAAGAAAAGAAGTTAGTGAACTTGAAGACAAATCAACAGAAATGATCCAATTTGAAGAAGAGAGAGAAAGAAGAAAAAAATGTTAAGAGTGTTTTAGGGACTTATGGAATAATCATGGAAGCCTGGCATATGTGATCTTGAAGTGTTAGAGGAGGAGACAGGATAAAATAGGGACTTTTTTTTTTAAATTTTAGAAATCATGGCTAAAAATTACCTGAATTTGTTGAAAGACACCAGTTTACAGATTTTTAAAGTGTGGAAAACCCAAGTCAATATAAATACAGCGGAAACCATGCCAAAGGCCATTAGAGTGAAACAGATGTAAAACATGGACAAAGAAAGAATGCTGGGAACAGCCATGAAAAATGACACAGTACACAGTGGGGACAAGGTTCCAGGGGATGCTGACTTCTTGTGAGAAGGAGAGGCGGTCAGAAGACAGTGGGAAATAGTTTTATAACACCAACCTGTGCTGTGGGGTTGGAGGGGAGCCCTATAATAGTAAAAACCATTCTTAAAGAGTGAAGGTGAAAGGAAGAAATGTTCAGATAAAAATAAACAGCTCAGGAGTTTTTGACAAGCCTGACCAACATGGCAAAACCCCATCTCTACGAAAATTAGCTGGGCATGGTGGCACATGCCTGTAGTCCCAGCTTCTCAGGAGGCTGAGGTGGGAGGATTGATTGAGCCCAAGAGGCAGAGGATGCAGGAGCTGAGATCCCACCACTGCACTCCAGCCTGGGCAACAGATCAAGACTGCCTCAAAAAAAAAAGTAAACCAAAAGAATTCTTCACCAATGAATACGCACCACAAGCAGTGTTGAGGCAGGTTCTCCCAATGGATGGGAAATAGGGACGTGCTGCCAGATGGAAACCTGGCGCTTTGGTTCCCAGGACGGAGAGACCATGGTGGTTGAGTGAAAAGTACCCAGCAGGTTTAACAAGGGGAAGAATCTGCACTAATTCTCCCCTGGCTTACCTCCGGCATCACAGGGCCGGTGCCCCAGGGCTCTTTCCAATGCCCAGTTCGGAGCCCGTGTGCTTCTCATAGGTCTTCAAGGTGGAGGGAAAAGCAAGAGGCCGGGCCCCAGGCAAACCTTGGAACACGCATGTCCATGGCAGGTTGGTAGAGAACCTGGAGACAGGCTGGTCACACCAGAGGCCGGCTGTGGGGTGTGGGGCAAGGGACTCTGGGGTTTGGGCTTCCAGCGTGGAGCTGGGTCCGGGCATCAGTGCCAGCATTACCACCCAGCTGTGCCACCTTAAGCCAATGTCCTCCCCTCTGGGCTTCTGTGTAAATTATAGGGAACCGATGATGGGCTGCGCGGGCCCTGAGGCAGCTCCAGCGCTGAGAGCCCGGATATGGCCTGTTTGCAGCTCTAGGGTTCTCTGGCTCTTGGAGCCCATGCAGACGAAGGAGCTGAGCAGAGCAGGTGCCGGGCAGCCATGGTTCTGAGTCTGAGCCTCTGTCTCCTCCGTGGTACTGAGAATTGCTCTCTGCCACCTCCCCGTGTCCCCAGCTATGGTCCTGCTCTTAGGATGGGTTTGCAGATCCTGGGGGCCCAGGTTGTGGCCGAGGACTGCCCTGTGTCTGGGGTCAGGGCTCTGGCATCCGTGGCCAGCAAGAGGGGCTTCCCTGCTCCCTGAGCCTCTGCTTCTTTTGGTAGCCACGACCCACTGTGACCGGAGGCTCTTTTAGAACGTGTGTATAACCACCTTCCCTCCCCTACATGCTCACACTGGGTCTGGAAACTCCATCTTTCTGCTTCCCCTGACTTCTGCAGTCTGGGTCTGACTGTCTCGAGGGCCCTGCTTGCTAGAAGAGGTGGAATGGGATGGCTCGCCATAGCCTGAGGTGGCCGAGGAGCCAAGGTTGGTGGGGGCATGAGGGGTGTAGGAATCCCCCTCCCACCAGTGGTGCCCAGCCCAGGCACAGACCCCGTCAGTGTTGGATGGGGGTGTACAGTTCTAGGTCTCTGAATCGGACTTGGCTCTGCAGCCTCCCTCCTGGCTCAGCGCCCCCAGAGCAGAGCCTTCCCCCAGCAGAGAGGGTGTGAGGGAGGACAGTGACAGTGCAAAGGGGAGCTGGTGGCCCAGGAGTGGGGGGGGCACATGGGGGAGCTCCCCTCTCCTCCCCAGCCCCCACCTGCACCGGGCCTCGCAGCCGTTTGGTCCCTGAAAAGGCCTCCCTGCCCCAGCATGTGAATATGGATGTGTGCCTAAGGACTGGAGGTGCGGCCCTAATTAGAGCGTGATGACTGCCTCCCGCCGCTGCCGGGAGCCTGGGGCGGGCGTCAAAGGGGAGCAGCCCGCTAATCCCCCCTTCCAAGGGCAGCATCTGCTCCCCTCCCCTTGTCTCTCTGTCGGCAGCCGTGAGAGCCCTGGCTATTTAATTAGGACAGAAAGTTCCCCCAACCTTGGGAAATGATTTAATTTCAATATTTCCTTTGCTGAGCGTGAGATCCTTCCCCACTGCCTGCCCCGTCCTCAAAGGCCTTTCATCTGCAGCCCACCCTCCCCCTGCAGACCCTCGCACTCCCCTCTCATTCCGGATGTCGGAGCGTTTCCAAGGGATCGCAGGGAGGAGTGAGGCTGGGCTGGGGGTGCTCCCTGGCTGCGTGCCCGGCTTCAGCTTCGGCTGGGACCAGCTGCTCGAACCACCCCTCCAGCCTGGCCTTCCTGCAAGCACCACCCTCAATGCCGCCCGGAGTGCTAGGCAGGGCCCTCTCCAGGCATCCACCCAGGCAGGAGCCAGGCCTGCAAAAAGCCCCCATGAAGCCTTGGCCCCAGAGATTGCGCCTCTGTAGCTCTTCCCTGGACGTCGCCACCTTCACTAACGGGCCTTTGTTATCGTCTTTAATCTGGCCTGACTCATTCTGCCCCCAGCATGTGGGTGTCTGCATGTGTGTGTGAATGTGCACATGTGTGAAGGGGAGCATGCCTACGCCTGTGTGTGCATCTGAGTATGCTGTGTACACGCAAATGTGCATAGTTTTGTGAGTGCATGTGCCCACAGTCTGTGTCAATGTGCACAAATGTGCGTGTGTGCACGTTTGTGTGTGTGCATGTGTGTGCATGTGTGAGCTGAGAGTCCCCTGAAGTCTAAGCCTGCTTTCTCCCAATTCTTTTTAGACAAGTGGGCGCTCATGTCCTCAGCTGACACATCCAGGGCCAGCTCCAGGCTAGGCACATGGCAGGTGTGGGGTACACTGGCAAAGCAAACATGTACATGCTCAAATGAATGGAGTCAGCCCAGCCCAGGCCTGGCAGGTAGGCAGAGGGGGTGGGTGGTGGTGCTGGGGATGCTAAGATTGCTGGACTTGGGGACAGAAGGCCCAGTTGTAGTCACTCTGTCCCCTGCTCTTTCCAGACTCAGTGTCCCCATTTGTGCAATCACCTCAATCCCAGAGATCAGTGCCCTGTGCACAGCTGGGAAAGCCAGGTTAGCAAGGATTTCTCGTGACCCTGGGGAGCCGGCCCAGCCCCCAGGATGGTCCTCGGCCTGATTTCCTCCAGCAACGCCTCCTCACAGCCCCCTCCCTGAGCTGGTCTTCACCCTCACTCTCCAGCCACTCTCCTCCTTCGTCCTGTCCTCTCCCATTTAGGACAAAGATCAGCGTCATCCCAGCTCTCAGCTGGGAGGGCCTCAAGCCCAGGCACAGGAGGCGGCTAATGAGAGGTATCAGCTGGGCGGCTCTGCCAGGAAACTCGCCGCCCTGAGCAATTTCTTAAAAGGAAAATTCTAACCTTAAAGAGTCCTTTGAACACGTTGTGAATGAACAACGGACTCGGTGGAGTTGGTTCCTCAGAATTACTGGGAGATGGAGGTTACAGAAAAGAGAAGATTGATTTCCATTTGGTCTCCTGAATATATTTCCTGAGTTCTTAAGGAGCTGTTTATCACGCCTCACACTGAGGGCGAGGTGGGAATCCTTGGCTAACAAATTATGATCACTGTTATTCTCCCTCCCCTACCCATCCCCCACACGAGAATTTATGCATTTTCCAGACAAAACGTGCTTTCGCAGAGAGGCACTGGGTCGTCCTCACCGCAGTCAAGTATCGACAGTATTGATCAGACGCTCCCCGGCTAACAGGCACCAATGAGTCTGTGCCGCCCACGGTGATGTTCTGGCGGCTCGTGGGGACCCCACCCACCGTCAGCCTAGCTTATGGTCCCCGTGCCTCCTGACCCCACCTAAAGATGAGCCCCAGCAGGGGCCCTTTAGTGCATATTCATTCCCTGTTGGTCCACTCGCCAGCCAGGCGCTGTGCCAGCACGGGCTTAGAACACCAGTCACTCAGAGGACGCTCAATGCATGCGTGCATGAACGAGTGAGGGTGTGAATGAATGAATGAGTATAGGTGTAGTTTGAAATAGAGCTGGAAACAGAAAGCCAGGGCCACGTGAGGGGAACTGCTCCAGCTTGTTGGAGATGGCCCTTTTGATCCCCAGGACAGGAATCTGACATTGATCACCCCAGAGACCCCTCTCTGGGCCTCCTGTCAGGCTCCCGGAGGTCCCGTGGGCCAGGCGGGCCTCCTCTCTCTGTCCCCCCAGTGATGGCACTGGAAGGGCTCTGAGGACGGCTGAACAAGGACGCATGACTCTGCTGTCCAGAGGCACCGCTGGCTCCTGGTGAGGAGCTTGGAAAGCAAATTTGCATGGAACTTTGAGAATTGCTTTCTTTCTGTTTTATGAAATCCTTCTCTAAATGTCTGCATATTGCTCTCCTGAGGGATAGAGGGAGAAAAATAGCAATTAAAGTCTTGTCATCCGACTTGTTCAGGCCGTTAAGTTGTTCAATCTTGCATAAGAAATCTGCTAGTGTGCTTAAGTGGGAGGGAGCACCTGGAGCCGGCTGTAAATGTAAATCAATATGTAATGATATGCGCCCAGGCTGCACGGCCTGTCACTTGCGGGCGCAACCACCAGGGGCCCAGGTGTGTCCTCCGTGTGCGCCTGGTGGAGCCGGGCCTGGGCCCTTCTGCCCGCAGTGGTCTAAGCAGACGGAGAGAATGGTCCCATGTGGGCACACCCTGTGGCGCGGCCTCTGAGCCATCTCCCTCTTCACCAGTCTTGCTGGGAAGTCCAGATGAATCACATTTGGAAGAAGCTACTTGCTGGGCCATTGGCCTGGACAAACACAACGGCATTCCTGGGCAGCATGGCCAGGGCGTGGGGGCTGCGCCAAAGTGCCAGGCCGCCCCCTCGCAGCCCAGCAGGGTCGGGTGGTGGTGAGTCCAGGCCCCGGGCTCCGATGGGAGATCGGATGGGGCGGGCTTGCCACTGACAGACAGATGTAGAGCCGGGCAGGTGGGCAGGGGCAAGCCTGGGTCTTTGAGGTGCGGCAGATGTGAACATCCCATTTTCCAGAGGAGGAAGGGGAAGCAGAAGCGCCCTGTGCCCCTGAGGTCCCTCTCTGCTGCCTCCCGGACAGCTGTCCGTGGCAGGCTGGGAGCCAGGCCTGGTCCTCACTTTATGTCCCCATTTTATGGCGTCTCAGGAGAAGGATATAAAGCTGGGGAGATTCATCCCCTTTGCAAGAGGTTCATTTATTTTGACACTTGTGGTTTAGTTTCAATTATTTATCATAACACTAGAGAGGGCCCTGATAAAAGCACCCAAGTGTGTTTAACAGCAGCCACGGTGAGGGTGACCAGTGGAGCAGGCACTTGGGGAAGGCCCCTGGGGACCAGGGCAGGAAGGTGTGGGTGGGAGGGAGCCCCTGGTCGAGGGAGCCCGCATGGGCTGGACGGCACTGGGGTTTTCCTCTTGGCTGGAAACACAGGAGGTGAAGGAGATACGCTCCAGCGTGCTTGGAAATGACAACTTGTTCCAGTGCTGTCTGCAGAGCCAGATGGCAGCCAGGAACCTGGCGATGGGATTTTAGGAGCGAAGCTTCCTTCTCTTCAGTGGATACAGTTTTTCCACCTGCTTGAGCTTGAGCGCCAAGTGGGAAGGCCCAGCCCCTCGGCTTTGGTGAGATTCCCTCAGCCTGTGGCATCTGCACTATCTGGGCACCCACCTGCCCTCACGTCTGTCCATCTGCCCACTTACCTGTCCATCCGTCCACATGTCTGCCTCCACTGGTGACGGTGCCTGCAGCAGACGCCACATGGGGATGGCCGACATGGAGGCGCATCAGGCCTGGCACTGCCTGGGAGCTCCTGGCCTGGGGAGAGGTGCAGCTCCCAACACAGGAACAGCTAGTAAGCCCCTGCTGGGCCCAAGTACTGTTCTATGACCTGTCCACGCAAGGGCCATCCAGCTCCAGGGCAGGCCCATTGACCTGCATCCTGTATGCAGACAGGTTCAGGCCGAGCCTGAGGACGGACTCAAGCCAAGCCGCTGGGTGGTGTCCTGCCTGACGGGGCCTCCTCCTAGACACTCGCCCTCAGACATGGGGGCTGAGGTGCCCGCCTTCTCCCAGGGGCCATGCCTCCCGCCCTTCCCAAGGCTACACCCTTACTGCCTGGTTGTGGAGAGGTTCATTTCTGAGCCATACACAGCCCCTCCCTGGGTCACACCCATCAGCTCTGGGCGGAGGAAAAGTGGGCATAGGGGGAACACAGCCTGCCTGTTCCTCCCTGAGCGGCTGGGTGTGTGTGGCTCCATCTTCCAGAAGAGGCAGACTGAGTGAGATGGGCGTGCAGAACCAGCCAGCTCTGGCATTTCCTACGGCGGCTGGGAAATCGGAGGCTCCAGAGAGGAGAGGGCCTGCCCGGGGCACACAGCAAGGTCCCTGGCTCAGGAAGCACACACAATGGCTTCCTCTGGCCCCGGCAGGGGCTGGGGTGCTTGGAGGGCCCCTTATGCTTCATGGCCCCGCAGCGTCTGCCCCAAAACAAGCCAAGATGGATGAAAAATCGCTGGCGAAGGTCACTACAGGACAGCCGCGGACCGGTTGATTGCTCGGGGCGGCCCTCGCCCCGTCGGCGACTCCATCGGCAACTTCGCCGCGCTCTGATTTATGATGGGAAGAAAATGGTCCCCTGAACCGCCACCGGCTCTGGTTTGGGATTCTGTGTGACTCTCTGTGTGGCCGGCCCACCGTTTATTCACACCACTGAAGTGTGAATTCTATGAATAAATTTTATTATCTTGGGGCTTTGGGATGACAAAAACATGAAAGCCTCCGGAATTGGTGAGATGCCCGCCTCTCCTCATTACGTCGGCTGGGGCTGGGGGCGGGGGCCCTCCTGGGAGCCTCATTTAGATTTTAATTAAACTGACTTTTCCCAAACAATTTGCAATAAATTAGTGCCAACCAGGCTTGCAACATCCAGGCGCGAGGCCGTGCCAGGCTGTCACGGGGGACGCTGGCTCTCAGTTGGGGTCACCCGCATGGGAGGCCATGCACACTCTGGACAGGCCGGCGCTGGCTCACTATGCTGGCCCCAAGGTTTGCGTGGCCAGGGGTAGCCCAGGCACACACCAGACTCCCAGCTGACACCTGCTCCAGGAGAGGGGAGCGGCCATGTGCTGGGAGGGGCTGGCGTCTTTTCACTGAATGCCCACAGCAACCTGGTGACGAAGATGTCAGCATAGCGCTCAGTGGCACCCTCAGGGCAGAGGATGCTGAGCGCCCAAACCGCAGCTTTGAGGATGCAGTGTGGTGGAGGGTGGCCGGCACGGTGTGGGGGTGTCCTCAGCACCCTCCGCCCTGGACCTTCCTGTTCCAGGTGGACTGAGCATCAGTGGGGTGCAGGGTCCAGGACAGACGGAAAGGGAGGCTGGGCCCCGGGTGCCAGCCGAGAGATCCTGACATCCCAAGTTCCCTGAACCTCACCTTGTGTTAGACATGTGGGAAAAACCGAGGCTCAGAGAAAGGGAGGTGATTTGAACCCCGGGCTTCTTCCACTGCAGGCCCCTGTTGCCATCCCCAGCCTGCCCAGGGAGCACTCCCTCAGCCAGCACATGGCCAGCCTCCAGTGGCCATCCGTGGGAAGGAGCAGAGCTGCTCTGCTGATGCCCAGAGAGATGTGGGGGGAAAACCTGCTGCTCCTCGGCTGGGAGAAACCCCCAGAGTGGCTTGCCTCCCAGTGACAACACTCAAGGTCCCCAGGAAGAGGGCGTGTTCTTAAAACCGGAAAACAGCCCAGTGCAGCCCTGGTGTGTGTCTGAAGGCTTTAGGATACTGAAGCTTGGCCCACAGGCCCTGGCCTTCCTGGAGAGAAGGGGCAGGGAGGAAGGGAAGGGGCCCTGGAGGGAGGCTGTGTGACCTGAGGGCTGGGTTTGGCCAGGCTGGTGCAGGCTCCGACAGCAGCCTCTCTCCAAGGGCCTGACCCTGACCTCCAGGATGCGAGGCCCACCAGGAAGCCCCCACCTGCCTTGGCCCTGCCTGCTGCCCACGTCGGCAGCTCCCACCTGGCTTCACCACGGCCTCGGGGAAGGGGGTCCCTGCATTTGTGTGCCCCAAATCCCCGAACGGCAGGTATGGAGGTGACAGCCACAGATGACCTTGAGGTGGCCCCAGGGACCTCTCTCCCCATCAAAGGCTGTGCAGACAGGCATCCTCCTGCTTTCCAGCATCGACGTCTACGTCACAGGTGGAAGGCACATCACTCTTTCTAATATTCACACCGACAGTGGTCCCTTTGTTCTTGATTTTCCTGTCCCGTGGATTTGTAAAAATGAATCTGCGTCTTTTATTGTGGTCAAATATACATAACGTACAGCGTATCACGGTAACCACTCTCGGGCGTAGTCAGCGGCGTTCAGCACAGTCGCATTCGTGCAGCCGTCACCACCATCCACCTGCAGAGCATCTTCATCTTCCCAGTCAAAGTGCCGTTCCCATTCAACACTGACGCCCTGTTCCTCCTCCACCCCAGCCGGGAGAGGCGTTTATGTTTTATAAGAGGCTTTGGGGCTGCGGAGACGAACCCCCAGGTTTGCCAGGCCCAGCTGTGGTTAATTCAGGTCACATATTCCAAGTTCCCGATGAGGAGGATCTCTGTCCCAGTGAGGCACCGGGGACAGGGTGCAGGGGACACAGGCCCTTGCCAGGGGCTCGGGGAAGAGGTCGGCACAGGTAGCCACCGTCAAGGGCCACCGCAGAGCTCAGGCAACGATGACGATCCTTCCGTTTTGCTCAATGCTCCACAGTCGACAAAGAGCGTTCTGGTCCACACACGACTGTGTGCTCGTGCGAGAGCCTTGGGGATGACATTACACAGTGTCTGTCCATCAGGCCCACAGGTATCCAGCAAGGTGGCGTCTGCACATGCTGAGTGAGGGGAAGGTGCTGGTTGAGGAGGGAGCGAGGCTGTCCCCGGCCCTGGCCAGCTCCCAAAGCGTCCCTCAAGGCCAGCGATGTCCCAGGTCTTGGCTCCCTCGTGGCTGGATTGGTCTGGGGACTGGTGCATCCTCACTCTGAAAGGCTGCTGGGGCCTGGACTGGGCACCTGAGGATGAGAAAGTCAGATGCATCTCCCTGGGTGCCTGCTGCCGCCCTCCTGGGAGTTTGTGGTCATAAAATAGGATCCTGGGAAGAAGCGACTCCAGAGGGAGGGCTCCGGGAGAGCTGGTGGGCTGCTGTCATGGCCTTGTGGGGCTCTGCAGCTCTTGGGGCAGTTATGAGCACAGCGATATACGGGGCCACTGGGGCTCCATGTAGCTCTCGGAGACTCTGAGAGAAGGAGCTGGCCCTTTGGAGCTGGAGAGTAGAACCAGCCTGGCTCCCCAGTGTGCCGGCTCCAGGGAGGCCCTGAGGCGGGCCCAGCAGGCCAGTCGCTGCTGCCATGGGTGGGCGTGCAGTCGGTTCTGGCAAGTCCTGCCTGCCCGGGAGGCCTGGTGCACACACTGGGGATATAGGACAGCCTCACTGCTTCAACTGTGGGGTTGGTGGCGGGGGTCACCTTTCCTGCTTTACAGATGAGGGAGCCGAATTGCACTGGGGAGAGCCCTGGCCCCTAGTCTGTGTGTCCAACATTCTAGAGCCTGGGTTCTCGAGGCTGGTGGCTACAAGGTGGCTATTCTAGATTCCCTGTGTCTGGATGGTGTGGCCGCAGCACCCAGCCTGAAGGCTGATGGATCCCACTCAAGAACCCGGCCTCCTCATGCTATGTGCACACAGAGGGGCAAGGTTGGGGAGGGAGAGGGGCGAGTCCCAGGCTGCAGGTGGAGCGACCCCAAGCTCCCACCCCAAACAGCACAGTCCAGGACGCCCACCCGGAAGGAAGCTGCCAAGAGCTTCAGCACGTGGCTTTGAAATAACACAGTGTGATTTAACGGCCCGGGTGGTGTGGAACAGCGGCACGGTGGCTCCTCAGCAGTGGAGGCTCCGGTCCTGGCTGGTGCATCTGCTCCGGCAGCTGGCCGCCCCTCCATCCGCGGCCGTAACATTTCAAGACAGTTTTGCTTGCAAGGAGTCACAGTCCATTGGTTTTATGGAAACACTCTCTGAGTTTACTTCCCGCGCAGGGGAAAGACAGCTGTTTTATATGCACTTGGAGGAACACCTAAAGGGTTTTAGTGTTAATTAAGTTGGGAGGACGGTTCTTAACAAGCACCTTTTTGTAAATGTCAAGCTGCTCTGCTGTTTCACTGTTGTTATGGAAGGTGGAAATTAGGCAGCGCCCCCTACTCCCTCCTGCGGCAGGAAAGGGGGCACCACCTGTGTGTGCTGGGGCAGGTGTGCTGACACCGGCTTGCTCAGTAGAGCCACTTCCTGGAATGATCCGGAAAGTATAAGGGCAGCCCAAGAGGGCAGAAAAGCCGCAGCATCCAGAGAGTAATGGGGAGGCTCTGAGTGTTGGGGGCTGGTCTCAGGGACTGGCTCCATCTGGGGAGAGCTCACAATGTGAGGGCTGCAGACACAGCTCCCACCCAGAGCCCTGGCAGGACCCCCTCATGGGCAGGTCCGGGCAGCACATGGGAATCCCTGTCTCAGATGGTGGATGCCAGCTTGAAGCTCCCAATTTCATCTTTAGATTTGGGCCTGGACGAAAAGTCCGACGTGCGGGGCGGTCAGCGCTTCGGCTGCGGTGGGTTCCCGCCCCTTGCTGCCTCCCCAGGATGGGTTCTTGGCCTTCTGGAGCTCCAGGCCCTACCCGGTTTCCCCCTCTCATCAAAACATGCGACCAGGCCATGTTTGCGGGGAGGCCAGTGCCCCACAGCCCCTGACTGTCCCCGGTGGGGCCTGAGGTCGATCAGGAGCAGGGAGAGATGAGGCGTGAACACCTGGCTGTGAGCTGGTCCTTCCACGTGGAACACCCTGGATGGATGGGGGCTGCAGATGGGCCCCGGGGCACACGATGGGGAAGGGGAGGCTCCCAGGAGTATCTTCAGGGCCCACAGGGAACCCCCAGGGAAGGGGCTTGGACGGGTGGGGCTGTGGTTCCCGAGGGCCTGGAAAGCTGTGTGGACCTGAGGGTGTGCTGGGTCCAAGCCCAGCTGATTCCAGCGGGTGGGAAACCGTGTGTGAGGCTCTGGACGGCCTGTGGACAGGGCAGAGGCCCGGGATGTCTGGGAGGCCGGGTGGGGACACAGCCTTTCCCTGTCGGCTCAGGAGTTGGCACCGCTGAGGAAAGGGGGATGTTCAACAAATGAGCTTCAGAGAAACCCCCCAACACCACTACTCCTGGAGGAGGCATCCTGAAGACTGAAATGTTCCCGGGTCTCCAGAAAGGAATCCTGGGGCCAGCACTGTGTGGGGGCAGCTGACCTCCCAGGGCCACTGCTGTCGCTGCACCCACTGGCAGTGGGACAGGAGCCTGGGCCAGGACCCAGAGACCTGAGTCATGTCAACCCCACCCCCTACCCCCAATTTCTTGACCACCGGGGCCTTCACCAGACCTGCCTGGCTCCGGCCTCTGTCATGTGGAGACTGGAAGTTTCAGGGCTCAGCCTGGGTGAGCACGTGGGAGCCCTGCGGTGAGTGGGGGTGGAACCCCGGACTCCAGGGACGGCGCTCCAGGAGGGGTCTCAGGCACACCCCAACCTCCCAGCGGCCGTGACGGGCTTGGAGGCCTGTGTCAGGCCACAGCAGGCCAGGCCCGGTTTCCGGACCCTGCTGAGAGCCACAGACCCAATGACTTCTGCAGCTTGCCCCGTGAATGGAGCTCCATGCCAAAGCTTGGTCTCCAGGGTGCTGCTTCTCCAGCACCAGCGGCTCCCAGGCTTGCAGGGGCGGCGTGGCCTGGGCCAGCTTTCCCAGCCATTGTTCTCCCTGTGTGAAAACCCCAGGGCTCCCCAGCCGGCACCACCACACCCCTTTGCCTTTCCCCTCCTGCGGCCCCTCTGCTGGGTCACAGCCTTGGAGATGGGCCTGCAGAGGCACCCACACACCCTGGCCAGAGCTGACATCCTAAGCAGGCTGACAACCAGCCTGCAGGCTGAAGGACCCTGGAGAGACCTGGCCAGGCTGGACCCTGCAATCAGAAACAGAAGGCCCTTCTAGTGGGGGAAACTGAGGCCCAGAGGAGGGTAGAAGACTGCCCACAGCTGCCCGAGGGGGCTGAGTTCTGAGTCTGGGCTCTGGGTGGCCTGAGCAAGAAATCTGCTCCTGGGCACCCGCGGCTGTGACGGCTCCTGTGGCTGGGTCCTGGAACTCCTCCTGCCTCAATCATCGATTGGGCAGAAGGTCTGGAGCATGCTGGGCCTGGCTGCTGCCTGGGCACGAGTGGGGATAGCTTCAGTGTCACCTCAGTCACCCCAGGAGCCCTGCGGGATGGCTGCCCCACTTCACAGATGGAGTCTTGAGAGAGCTGATCAAGAACGGGGTGTGGGCCTCTGTGGTTTCCGCCTCCCGGATGCCCCATGCCTCTGTGTCTCAGAGGTGCCTGGGCCTCTGGGCTGCTGCCAAGTCCAGGACTAAGTGTTCTTCCAGAGCCCCAGATGCATCCTTCTGGTGTGTGTGTGTGTGTTTGTGTGTGTGTGTGTGTGTGTGTGTGGTCTCTGGGGGCAGTGGTAGGAGCCTGGGTTGCAGGGGCTGTCTTTGCTAGATCTCAAACTCAAAGGGGACCCTCTCTCTGGTTGCCTGGGGAGTCTGCTGCCCCGCCACCCCCCCGCAACAGTCCTGCTTGCTGCTCCTGTGCCTTCCTGCCCCCGAGCCCCGTCCCCAGCCCCTTTCCCTGCCCAGCCCTCTCTGCTGCCTTCCAGGCCTGCTCTCTTGACTTCAGAGGATGAGACTCGGGTCTGCCTTCAGGCTCCCAGGGGAAGGGTCCCAGGAGCTGCACTCTCCTCCCTGCCTGACAGTGCAGGAGGAGGTCGATGCCGTAGGAGGAGGGCAATGCCCCGGCAGCAGGTGCTCTCTGGCTCCAGCTCCCCATTCGTGCACCGCCTCAGCCCTGCAAAGTAGGTTGGTGCAGTCTTACGGGGGGATGTCTGCAGCCAGGCATCACCATCCGCAGCCAGGCAGAACGTGAGGCTGGTGCTGTGACCTGGGCCAGCACTTCCCTCACACTCTCCTTGTCCTTCCATGCCTGGCCTCAGTGAGGAAGGGTCCTCCTGGAGATGGGGCTGGGCAGACGTCCCTGGAGGGTCCCAGGAAGGCTCTGAAATCTGGCACATTCTGCAACCTATGTTCCAACCACTGACTCCAGGAACTGGTGCATGGGCTGAAGCAATGAAGAAAAGTCACCGTCCCATGAGGCAAAGCTGATTTAAAAGCTCACTTATTCTTAGTGGGAAAAATGGGGTTAGCAACCATAACATTTGAAAACCAACTGGAAATAGGCTGGTAAATAACTTTATGGAATTGTTGGTTCGGGAATTATGTTAGGAACTTGGAGTCTGTGATTATCAAGCAAAAAATGTCTCAGCATTTCAGGCCAGGGTCAGGGAGAGGGTAGGGGTGGGAATGGGGTCTATAGAGGTTATAGGAAAAGAAATCTGAGTGGTTGTTTAGGAGACTGAGGAGACTGAAAAGACCCTGAAACCCCACGGAGGTGATCAGGGACACTGGCCTGCCCTGAGATGCCTCTTCCAGTGTGCCTTCCTCCCCGCTGCCCTGCCCAGGCCAGCTCCCTGGAAACCCACTAAGAGGAAGGGTGTCTTGTGACCAGCCACATCACGAGATGTCCCACATCGCAGATTTCAGGTGCAAGGATTGAGGTGTCACAGCAAACAGAGGAGGGGCTGGGGTAGGTGTGGTTCTACAGCAGCTCTTAAAACAGAATAAACAAAAACTACAAGCGGTCTGCCACGGTGGCTCACACCTGTAATCCCAGCACTTTGGGAAGCTGAGGTAAAAGAATCACTTGAGCCTGGGAGTGTGAGGCTGCTCCCTCTGGTGAGCTGTGATCACACCACTGTACTCCAGCCTGCGTGACAAAGCGAGACCTTGTCTCTAAAGAAAACAAAACAAAAACCAAGTGTAATCAACCTTGCCCTTGAAAATGCGTTAGTCCACCCACCAGGTCATCTGGAATCTATCTTGGGATAGGTGGTGACCTGGTAGGACCAAGGGTCTTCCGAGGCACTGAAGAACTTGGGTTTTGCTGTAGATCTGAGTGGGGAGTTTTGGGAGGAAGGGGCGGGAAGTACCTTGATCTCACTGCCAGGGCCCCTTTGGCTGCTGAGGGGACAGCAGCTGAAACAGGACGGGCAGTGCACGTCCAGCGAGGACACCCTGGCCGCAGGTCTGCCCAGCGACAGGAGGAGGGCTGCATCTGGGGTCCGTGGTGGAGGTGGACACAGCGGCCAGCTTCTGGGAGCGTTTTAGAGTGAAGTCCACAGGACGTGTGTGAGGGAGTGAGCCGGCATCCAGGGCAAGGTCCTGAGATTCAGACGGTGGTGCTGTTTGGCAGTGACCCTGGGTGTGGGCGTCCCGGGTGCCGGGGAGAGCTCATCTTCAGAAATGAGGAGGCCGGGGGTGGCACAGACTGTCCACACAGGGGTTCTGTGGCCTGGCGTGCTGCCAGTCCAGAGATCCCAAAAAAACCTGTGTCCCGGCTGCTGTCCTTGGCCCTGCTCTGACCCCTGCTCTCCCCGCTGCTTTTCAGAATTGCTGCTCCGTGAATTTCTGAATTGCAGTACTCGCTGTGCACCTGTCTCTTCCTTCGGGAGCCATTGTCAGGTGGGATTGCGTAAATGTCCTCCATGGCGTGAGGCCCTGACTCACCTGAACAACATTCCCCAGTGAGCACGGAGCAGCAGCCCGCCCGGCTCAGCAGTGCCTTGCCCTGGCCCTTTCTCTCCTCGCTGGTTCATCTGCATTAAAGAAACAGAAAGCTTCCTTCGCTGGCCCGCTCATTGCCTGTCTTCTCTCCCTGCCTCAGCTGCGGTCAGGCTCCAGGTGAGCTGCACCTGGCCGTCTCAATTACACTGCTTCTCTGGCATCGGATAGGAACTCTATGGCCAACTTACCCACAAGGTGGTCTGCAATATCTTTGAATAAATTAATGATTGAATGAATGTCTTAGTCCATCCAGGCCACTACAACAAAACAACACAGATGGGGCAGCTTAACAGTGGACATTCATTCCTCACATTTCTGGAGGCTGGGAGTCCAAGGTGAAGGTGGCAGCAGGGTTGGCTCCAGAGAGGGCTGCTTCCTGGTCCCCGGACAGCCTCCTTCTTGCTGTGTCCTCTCATAGCAGAGAGAGGATGTTCTGTCACGGGCCCTCATGACCTCCTCTAAGCCTCATCAGCTCCCAGGGGCCTCACTTGCAAATACCATCGCATTGGGGTCAGAGCTTCCACATAGGAAACATTTGGTCTGTAGCAACGAGTGAATGAATCATTACAGATTTCTCTATAAGACCACCAGGTCTTAATGTATTCAAAGATATTGCAGACCACCTCTTGGGTAAGTTGGCCATAGAGTTCTTATCCAATGCCAGAGAGGCCGCGTAAATGAGACGGCCAGGTGCAGCTCACCTGGAGTCTGACCGCAGCTGAGGCCGGGAGAGAAGACCGACGACGTCTGAGTCGTCAATGTTGTGAAAGATCTCCAGAGTGATGAAATTAAGGGTATTTATTTCTTTAGTTGTTGCTTTTGTTGTAGCAAACAAAATGAAACAAACACACATGCACACAAAACGACCAAGCAAAAAGTGTCCGCTACTTGTTAAAGTGAACCTCTAGTAAAGTTGTCTCTCTTTTTGTCACCGAGGATGAGAAACAGAGATGGGAATTCTATCCTCATGGAAAACAGGAGGCACCCACAACTCTGAGCCCCTGAGAGTGTGAAGGCCTTGCCGAGTGACCTCGCTGCTCCAGGGCGAGGCGGAGGCCAGGCTGCGGGGCTGCACAGCCAGCCAGGGAAGCTCCCCGCCCCAGGACTGCCCTCCCACACACTGCAGACAGTTGTTTCGGGAAGAACTCACTTTATATGCACAAATAAACAATGACAGAAAGGAATGAAAATAGTGTCCACTGAAAACATTACAAGAAAAAGGAAGAAAATAATAGAAAAGGTAAAAAGCAAAGACACAAAAAATCCTCGCATTGGGGAAGATGATGGAAACCTTCTTAACAATCAGAAACTTAACGATCTAAATGAAAATGTCTTTCACGTAAAACAAAAGCCAAGACAGACTTCAATAAGAAACAAAAAGATGATAGGAGATTTCAAAAATAGGCAGGCAGAGCTCAAGAAAAGAAGCAGAATTTTAAAAATCACAAAATGAAGGCCACACTAGAATCAAAGAAAAAGAGAATAGATTCTCCTAAAACCATTGCCAGGGATGTGGAGTCAAGCTTGGAAAAAGTGAAAAAAATTCACCAGAAAAGAATAAAGAGTTGCGATGGTTTAGAGGAAAGGATAGAAAAGGAAAACACAAAATGCCGACACAACACACACATAATTGGTGGCCTTGCAGGAGAAAATCAAATATAAAAGAAAAATAATTCAAATAATTCAAGAAAATGTGGTGAAACTAAAAAAGATGAAATCTATGGATTAAGAGGGTATATCATGTTTCTACAAAAATTGGTGCACTTGATCAGCACTGAGACTTGGGGGTCAAACACGAAGAATTTGTTTGGCACCGAGGCAAAAATATGAAGGCCCTGACATGAGAAGAGAAGTCCAAGCTGGCTTCAGATTTTCTACGGCAACACCTCATCTTAGAGAAGAGGGAAATAATGCCTGCAAAATCTCCAGGAAAAGAAAGTATGAACCAAGAATTTTATATCAGAGTAAAATTTTAGAACAGAATAAAGCTGTTACTCATGCTGAATCATAAAAAAGCGCTTCTGAAAATATTCACAAATGGAGGAACTCTTGTCTACTGAAGTTCCTTTTAAATAAATAAATAGAGAATGAATTTTAGTCCACCAAAAGGCAAATGAACAGGCTGTGAAGGACTAGGTCAAAACAACTGAGAGACTTAGGCCGTGGAGCGTTAAGTAGTGTGGAGTGTGTCAGTGGAGACAGGCGGCAGAGCTTTGGTGGCCTGTGACAAATAAATCCGGACAGCTCCTCCTCTCCCTGTGGGTGCAGCCACTCACCCAGGAAGTCCACTTCCCTCCACCTGACTCTAGGCTGGCCTCATGGCTTCTTTGGCCAATCCAATGAGGCAGAAGGGGTGTCTTGTGAGTTCTGGAACCTGGGTCTTAGGGCGTGGTAGCTTCAATTTTCACTGTCATGGCAAATCCTGATGCCGGGGCGCCTTCTGATATGGTTTGAATAAAATCTCACCTGAAATGTGATCCCCAATGTTGGAGGTGGGGCCTGGTGGGAGATGTTTGGGTTATGGGGGTGGATCCCTCATGAATGGCTTGGGGCTGTCCCCATGGTAGTGAGTGAGTTCTCACTCTTAATTCACACAAGAGCTGGTGTTAAAAAGAGCATGGCACCTCCTCCTATCTCTCTTGCTTCCTCTCCCATCATGTGACATTCTTGTTCCCCTTCCACCTTCCATCATGAGTGGAAGCAACCTGAGGCCCTCACCGGAAGCCGAGCAGATGCCAGTGACATAATTCTGTACAGCTTGCAGAACTGTGAGCCAAATAAACCTGTTGTCTTTATAAATTATCCAAGCTCAGATATTCCCTTATAGCAACACAAAACAGAGTAAGACATCTTCCCTGCGCTGCTCCCGCCACCCCTTCTCCCCGGAGAGCAGCTTCTCGGAAAATCACCTGCACCTGAATCTTTGGCTCAGCATCTGCTCTGAAAAACTTGATCTAACACGGCATCTAAGATCCAAAGGAAGTTAGCTCAGCCTGACGCCAGCTTTCTCTCTAAAAGCACCCAATCCAAGCACATGGCCTGTGGCAGGATGTGGAAGCAATGCCCCTGGGTCTCAGGACACTCAGGGTAGGCAGGTGGAGAGCTCTTAGTATGGCAGGAGTGATGGGGGTGGGGGTGGGGATGCTGGAGGTGGTGCTGAGAACACAGGTGGCACAAAGACCCAGTCCACTCCTCCTGTGACCTTTGCCCTCCAGCTCCTGCCAATCAACTTCTCAGTCAGTGTCTAGGCCCAGCCCTCTATTGCCTCCGTGCTGCCATGGCCTCCCTGTCCATCTCCCAGGCAACAGAGGAGTCGGTCTGAGGCCTCCAGCCTCACAGCCAGTGTAGTTGCATGTTAGGTACCACTTCCATCCTCGGCTGTCAAAGAACAATGCTCCTTATCTGAAGAATGTGGTCTGGAGATAATTAGTTCTAACGGGACACAGCCCTGTGGCTGCTGTGGATGGGGCTTTGTTGTGGCTCAACAATGCCACCATCAGCCCAGATGTCGTGCACAGGCTTGGGCAAAAGGCAGGTGACTGCAGACTCACAGGGGCTCAAGAAGCACACCACATGGGAGAGCTGTGGAGATTCACTAAAGGATGGAACTAAACAGATCGACAGAGACAGACTAAAAAACAGCCTCTTCAGCCTTTGTCTGCAGTGTGCCTAATGCCTCCAGCCACCAGCAAATCAATAACAATAATAACAAAACCATCACCAGTGACGACAGGGGGCCCTCATCAGGCACTCCACCCATGAGGCACTCACAGTAACTCGATAAAGATGATGCAAATTACATATATCCCTATTCATAGGTGAAGGAAAGGAGGTGGGCAGTTTACCTGACTTGCTCCCAGTCCTGGAATTCTGAGCAGTGAAGCCGAGATTCAAACCCAGGATGCCTGGCTGCAAAGCCCACACATGTGCACAGCTGGCACCATACCCACCCGGTGCTGCCCACACATGTGCACCTGGCCCCATACTCACCCTGTGCTGCCCACGCAAGTCCCCACTGATATGGTTTGGATTTGTGTCCCCACCCAAATCTCATGTCAAATTATAATCCCCAGTGTTGGAGGAGGGGCTTGGTGGGAGGTGACTGAATCATGGGAGCAGATTTCCCTTTTGCTGTTCTCACGATAGTGAGTTCTCATGAGATCTGGTTATTTTAAAGTATGTTGCACCTCCTGCTTCCCAGTCTTCCTCCTTCTCTGGCCATGTAAAATGTGCCTCCTTCCTCTTTGCCTTCTGCCATGATTGTAAGTTTCCTGAGGCACCCCAGCCATGCTTCCTGTACAGCCTGCAGAACTGGGAATCAATTAAACTCCTGTTCTTTATAAATTACCCAGACTCAGGTAGTTCTTTTTTAAAAATTTTTTTCCTTTTAATTTTTCTTTGTCATCCTTGTACAGGGACCATGCTAATGTTCTCTGTACCATTCCAATTTTAGTATATGTGCTGCCAAAGTGAGCACTCAGGTAGTTCTTTATAGCAGTGCCAAAATTGGCACCAGGAAGTACCAGGAAGAGAAGAGAAGAGACCTGAAAATGTGGAAGCAGCTTTGGAACTGGGTAACGAGAAGAGGGTGGAAGAGTTTGGAGATCTCAGAAGAAGACAGGAAGAGGAGGGAAAGTTTGGAACGTCCCAGAGATTTGTTGAATGGTTGTGACCAAAATGCTGATAGTGATATGGACGGTTAAGTCCAGGCTGAGGAGGTCTCATATGGAAATTAGGAACTTATTGGGAACTGGAGTAAAGGTCATTCTTGCTATGCTTTAGCAAAGAGACTGGTGGTGTTGTAACCCTGCTCTAGGGATCAGTGGAACTTTGAACATGACAGTGATGATTTAGGGTATCTGGCAGAAGAAATTTCTAAGCAGCAAAGCATTCAAGATGTGGCCTGGCTACTTCTAACAACATATGGTCATATGCATGAGCGAGGAGATTATCTAAAACTGGAACTTATATTTATTAATAAAAGGGAAGCAGAGCATAAAAGTTTAGAAAAATTGTAGCCTGACCATGTAGTAGAAAAGAAAATCCCCATCAGGTGCAGTAGCTTATGCCTGTAATTCCAGCACTTTGGGAGGCTGCAGCGGGTGGATCACTTGAGGCCAGGAGTTTGAAACCAGCCTGGCCAACATGGTGGAACCCCATCTGTACTAAAAATACAAAAATTAGCTGGGCGTGATGGTGCACATCTGTAATCCCAGCTACTTGGGTGGCTAAGGCACGAGAATCACTTAAACCCAGGAGGCAGAGATTGCAGTGAGCCAAGATCACACCACTGCATTCCAGCCTGGGTGACAGCATGAGACTCCTCAAAAGATTTAAAAACAGAAAAACCCATTTTCTGGGGAGGACTTCAAGCCAGCTGCAGAAATTTGCATGAGTTGCTGAATGTCAACAGCCAAGACAATGGGGAAAATGTCTAAAAGGCACTTCAGAGACTTTGGCGGCAGCCCTCCGATCTCAGGCGTGGAGGCCTAGGAGGGAAGAATGGTTTCATGGGCTGGGCCTAGGGCTCCACTGCCCTGTACAACTTTGGGACACTGCTCCCTGTATCCTAGCCACTCCAGCTTTAGCCATGGCCAAAGGGCCCCAGATATGTCTTAGATGATGGCTCCAGAAGGTGCAAGCCATTCAGTGTTGGTGGCTTCCATGTGGTGTTGAGCCTGTGGGTACACAGAGGGCAAGGGCTGAGGTTTGGGAGCCTCTGGTTAGATTTCAGAAGATGTATGGAAATGCCTGGATGTCCAAGCAGAAGTCTGCAACAGGCCTGGAACTCTCACGGAGAACCTCTACTAGGGCAGTGTGGAGGGGAAATGTGGGGTTGGAGGCCCCACACAGAGTCCCCACTGGGGCACTGCCTAGTGGAGCTGTGAGAAGAGGGCCACTGTCCTCCAGACCCCAGAATGGTAGATGTACTGACAGCTTGCACCACGCACCTGGAAAAGCCACAGGCACTCAGCGGCACCCCATAAAAGCAGCCAAGGGGGCTGTACCCTGCAGAGCCACAGGGCTGGAGATGCCCAAGGCCTTGAGAGCCCACACCTTGCGTCAGTGTGGTCTGGATGTGGGACATGGAGTCAAAAGACATTATTTTGGAGCTTTAAGATTTAATGACTGCCCTGCTGCGTTTTGGACTTGCATGGGGCCTGTGACCCCTTTGTTTTGGTGGATTTCTCCCTTTTGGAGTGGGTGTATTTACCCAATGCCATTACCCTCATTGTATCTTGGAAGTAACTAACTTGCTTTTGATTTTCCAGGCTCATAGGTGGTAGGGCCTTGCCTTGTCTCAGATGAGACTTTGGATTGTGGAGTTTTGAGTTAATACTGAAATGAGTTAAGACCTGTGGGACTGTTAAGAAGGGATGATTGTGTTTTCCCATGTGAGAAAGACGTGAGATTTGGGAGGGGCTGGGGTAGAATAATATGGTTTGGATTGTGTCCCTGCCCAAAACTCATGTCAAATTGTAATCCCCAGTGTTGCAGGAGGGCCTGGTGGGAGGTGATTGGATCGTGGGGGCGGATTTCCCCTTGCCGTTCTCATGCTAGTGAGTGAGTTCTCAGGAGAGCTGGTTGTTTAAAAGTGTGCAGCATCTCCCCCCACCCTTCCTCCTTCTCTGGCCATGGAAGACATGCCTCCTTCCCCTTTGCCTTTCATCAGGATTGTAAGTTTCCTGAGACCTACCCAGCCATGCTTCCTGGACAGCCTGCGGAACTGTGAGTCGATTAAACTTTTCTTTATAAATTACCCAGTCTTGGGGAGTTCTTTATAGCAATGTGAGAACAGGCTAATACACCCACCTTGTAGCATGCCTATCTAGTGCTGCCCACACACATGCCCACTTTACTGTATGCCTGACTGGTGCTGCCCAGACATGTGCCCACCCTGCTGCATTCCCGCCCTGGTACCACTCAGACATGTGCCCACCTTGCTGCATGCCCACCTGGTACCAGGCCCATGCCGACCCTGCTGCATGCCCACCTGGTACAACTCAGACATGTGCCCACCCTGCTGCATGCCTGCCTGGTGCTTCCCAGACACGGGCCACGTTGCAGCATGTCTGCCCAGTGTTGCTCACACACATGCCCATCCTGCTGCATGCTCACCCAGTGCTGCAGGCACAGAGACAAAAAGCTCAGTCCTGCATTCAGAAGTTTCTGGTCCACTGGGGGCCAGTGTGGTTGCAGAGCTGTGAATAGCGCATGGGACCCACGGGGAGGTGGCAGCTCAGAACTTCCGTGGAGCCAGGGATGTGGGTGGGGATGGCTTCCCTAGAGGATCGCATCCAATCGTGTCCATGAATCTGAGCAAAGTGAGGGGGCCCCAGGAAGGGCAGGACAGGTGGGGGCATCCAAGCAATGCCAGAGCAGAGAGGGGACACAGGGCAGTTCTGAGGCACCTGCGAATGAGAAAGGAAGAAGGAAGAACCACATTCAGCCTGGGCGAGCACAGAGGTGAGAGGATTTGCTAACAGTGAGCAAAGGACATGGAGTCAAAAGGCCTTTGGTTTTGTTTTTCCTTCAGATGCAAAAGACTCAAGCATGTTTATGAATTGAGGGTAAAAGCCAGAGGAGTAAGTAAGAGGATGCTGGGGGAGCAGGGGCTTGGCACAGGTTCTGCTCCATGGCAGCAGGAGGGCAAGACTTGGATCGCATTAGAGCTCAACTGTGTGTTATTTACAAGGGACACTTAATACATTTTGATGTACGGCTTAAAAATAAAGGACTGATGTAGGCATTTGCAGCGGCAAATGTTGACAAAAAGTGCCAAGGAGTGACAATATTAGTATCCGCGGAAAATAAAGCACAAATCATTAAGAAGGACAAACAGACCAATTTATATTAATAAGAGTTATTATACCCCATAAAGTTGTGATGTCTAATACACAGCCGATACACACGTTAGATGTTTATGTGTCCAACATCGAATACCGAAATATATCAAGAAAACCTGTTAGATATATTAGGTAAATAGACAAGACCCAGCTGTAACGAGAAATTCAACACGGTACTGTTGATTCCTGTCAAATCAAGTGTACAAAATAAATAGGACTATCAAGAATGTGAATCATATAATTTGTAATGGAGATTCTATAAGTATTGTATATATGTCACACTTTACCCCTCCCTGTCATGAAATACTGCTTTTCCCCCATGAACCCATAGAATATAAGAAACATATGAAAAGTCTGTTTATCTCATTCGTTAGGGAAATGCAAATTTTTAAGAAATAAGCTATTGTTCAACTATCAGATAAGCAATATTAAAAGTATTCCAGTTATCAAATTTGGTGAAGATATGTAGAAAACATACTCCTCTCTCTGACGGTAGTGCTCATCACAGGCCTTCCCCCAGCCATGTGACCATGACTTGCTCTAATCAGTGATGGCTGAGCAGGAGTGGCAAGTGTCACCTCGTTACAGAGAAGCCAGCATGTGGTCCACTGTGCTTGCGTTTCTCCCTGTCACAGTGACCAACAGTGGCCCAGAGAGAGCGCCCTGCGTCTTCCGGGGTTCTGGAGTGAGGACTGTGTGGGGCAGAAGCACAGCCAACCACATGGACATGAAGCACGGGTGAAAAAAATGTCCTTGCTGTTGTGATCACTGGGGCTTGGGGGCCATTTGTCACCACAGCATCACCCAGCCCTTCATGATGGATACAGAAGACCATTGGGTGTTCCTATTAAAAGTCTAGATGCTTATAAAGTGCGACCCAGCAAATCTACTTCCTAGCAAACACCTTTAAGAACACCCGATGCGATTCTCCTCTGAGCAGCTAACTCCCATTGCCCACTGAGAACACACAGAAGAGCTAGTCAACACACAGAAGCAATCTGTTTAAAGGTGTCGGAGAACTGTGGAAGCAATGAGACTAGAGGGACTAAAGTTCAGAGAGCAGGGACCTCTGAGAGGTAAGGTGACGATCACAGCCACACTTTCCTGGGGCCTTTGCCAACCTCCCATGGCTGGAAGCTGAGGATCCAGGCATGGCCCAGCCAGAGGAACAGTGCTAGGGACAGGAAAGCAAGAAGAGCTTATAGCATCACTTGTGCTGGAGAGAGAGGGGTGGAGACTTAAAGAGCCCAGGCACACAGTCACTTGACATTTGCCAAGTTCTGAAGCTGCACCGTGTGAAAAGCTAAAATCTAAGCAGAAACCCTCTAACAGCAGAGCGGAGTGTCCCGAACACCACGTGTGCCAAAGAGACCAAGACCCTGGGCAGGAGGCTCCAGGGAGCCCGCCAGGCTCGCATTTGAACTCACTGAAGCGTTCCATGGTAGAGAAGAGGTGAGCCCAAGAATGTCCCCAGCTGTGGTTCTCAGCCACTCACTGGATCTGGAGGGTCATCTTCCCATTCTGTCTGCCTGCCAGAAGAATGGGTGAATATTTCCTGATGCAGGACATCATGTGTTCCTTGTATAGTTTGTGTTTATACATCATGTCCCACAACCAATAAAAAAAATTGCTAGGCATGCCAAAAGACATGTGGCTAAAAACCAAGAAGGAAACACACACACCAAGAACAGAATCAGTGGTGAGATAGTGGAGTAACAAATAAGGACCTAAAAATAACCAGGATGAAAACATGCAAAAAAATAAAGGAAAAGATGGGGAAAATAAATGACAACAGAAAATAATTTTACCAAAGAAATTGAATCCATAAAAATAACTAAATGGAAATTCAAAAGCCAAAAATTATAATATCTGAAATTAAGAACTCCATGGCTGGATCTAGCTGCACTTTAGATATAGCAGAACTCTGGGTTAAAGAACGAAATGAACAGTGAATTAAAAAAATCTAAACTAAAGCACACAGAGGCCACAAATGAACAGAAGAAAAGACACGTGACACCCCGTAAAAATGTCCATTCTATATGCAGTTGTACCCCCTAAAGGAGAGAAGGCACATTTGAAGAAAAGGGGATTAAGAACATTCCAAAATGAATGAAAGTCATCAGTCCACAGATTTAGAGAGTTCTGCAGCACCAAGCAAGATAAGTGCAAAGGAAACCACAGTTTGACACATGGTGGAAAAACTGTGGAAAAGGAAAAAGAGAAAACTTTAAGAGTGGCTGGAGAAAAATGATGTGCTGCCATCACAAAAGCAAAAAATAACATGGAGAGCTGAGTCCTCACCAAAACAGACAGCCAGAGACAGTGGGATGACAGTTCTAACGTGCCCAAATAAAAAGAGAAATGCAACTCAGGAGTCTATACTGGGGAACGTATGCCTCAGAAATGAAGACATTTCAGCAGAAATACTGGGAATTCATCACCACAGGCTTGAATGAAAGACATTCTAAAATGAGCACTTCCGATGGAAGGAAAATAACCTCAGACAGAAACATGGAAATAGAAAGAATGAGAAGGCGGGGGGATGTAAATCCTGGTGTAAATATAATAGACATTCACTATGTGCGACAGTAGCAGTGATGAGTACATTTAAATGCAGGGGGAGGGTGACGCACAGGCTGGCAGTAGCTGGAGCTCCGGCACCTCAGTTCTGGCAGAGCAGGAAATGGGCAAAGTCTCCATTCACATTGAACCCTTATATGCTAGTCAAGGATGAATGCTGAAATCTCTAGGATAACTGTGAAAAAAATAGTGAAGGAATGTATACCTAGCAAGATGAGAGGGGAAAAAGGAATAATGGAAAGATTTCAGTCATCTTAAAGAAGGCAAGACGTGGAACACGAAGCAGATGAGTCAAACAGAAAACAAGTAGCAAGGTGACAGCGAACCAAACACAAAGAAATTGTGTTAAAGACAATGGGTGAAATACCTTGAGGAAAAGGCTAATAATGTCAGATGGCATGCAAAAAATAAAACCTAGTTGTAAGGCACTTAAAAGACACAGTCCTTGATATGGTTTGGCTGTGTCCCTACCCAAATCTCACCTTAAATTGTAATAATCCCCATGTGTCAAGGGCAGGGCCCTGTAGAGATACTTGAATCATGAGGGAGTTTCCCCCATACTGTTCTCGTGTTGGTGAATAAGTCTCACAAAATCTGATGGTTTTATAAATGGGAGCTCCCCTGCACAAACTCTCTTGCCTGCTGCTATGTAAGACGTCACTTTGCTCCTCATTCGCTTTCCACCATGATTGTGAGGCCTCCTCAGCCATGTGGAGCTGTGAGTCCATTAAAC
Organism: Homo sapiens; assembly: GCF_000001405.40. NCBI lineage: Eukaryota > Metazoa > Chordata > Mammalia > Primates > Hominidae > Homo > Homo sapiens. The sequence continues at coordinate 104,407,732 of NC_000014.9, forward strand.
CTCTTTCCTTTATAAATTACCCATCCTCGGGTATGTCTTTATTAGCAGCATGAGAACAGACTAATACACTCCTTATATACTTACATAAGGGTGTCAATGAGAAGAGTCAAACTCTGTAAAATATTTGAAGAGATTTATTCTGAGCCAAATATGAGTGACCATGGCCCATGACACAGCCCTCAGGAGGTCCTAAGAACATGTGCCCAAGGTGGCTGGGGCACAGCTTGGTTTTATACATTTTAGGGAGGCATGAGACATCAATCAAATACATTTAAGAAATACATTGGTTTGGTCCAGAAAGGTGGGAGAACTGAAAGTGGGGGGAAGGGTGGAGGGCGCAGGCTATAGGTAAATTTAAACATTTTCTAGCTGACAGTTGCTTGCATTTGTCAAAAGACCTGGGATCAAATGGAAATGTTCTGGTTAAGATAAAGCATTGTGGAGACCAAGGTTCTTTTAAAGTCTTACAGAGGCTGCCCTTGGAGGCAATAGATGAAAAATCTTTCCTGTTCGCCTTTAAAGGGTGCTAGACTCCCAGTTAATCTCTTCAGGATTGGGAGGGCCTGGAAGAAAAAGATCTAGCTATGTTAATAGAGATTCTTTACTGATGCAAATTTTACCCCCACCAAGGATGACTTTGCAGGGCCATTTCAAAATACGGCAAACAAACATGGTTTAGGGTAAAATATTTTGATTTTCTACTTTGTCATGTAATGTTATGCCAGAGTCAGATTGGAAAGTAAGTCACTCACGATATGTACGGTTAAATAAATTCCATCTGATGAGAATTTATGGTTTGTAGGGCATGACTCCCCAGACTCCTTAGATAGATAGGAATTTGGGCAAGTTAAAAAAATCAGAGCTTAGTCCTCAAGGGCACAAAGCAGGTTGAAAGGACAATAAATGGGAAAGGTAGAATATGTAAACACCAACCAGAAGAAAGCAAGTAGAGTGATAGAAATGTCAGACAAAACAGGTGTGAAGGTGAGGTGCCTTGCTCAAGACCGACATGGGCATGTACTGAAAGAATCAACACTCCAGGAAGCTATTACAGCCCCAAGTAAGCATCAATGCATACATTATGTGAAACAAAAATTGACCAAACTTGAAGAAGAAAGAAATCCATGTTCATACAGAGAGACTTTAACCTGCCTCTCAATGCCTCAATGGCTGATTTAATAAGCAGACAGAAATATCAGTAAGGATATGGAAGTTCTGAACGACGCAGTTGACAAACCTGACCTAATTGACAAGTGATTCAGACCGCTGCACTGGCAACAGCAGAACCCACGGTCTCTTCATTAGCACACAGGACATTCACCAAGATTGTCGCGTGCTGGATCGTGGAGCAAGTCCCAACACATTTCACGGGATTGAAATCATTCAGAGTTTGTTCTCTGTCCACCATGGAATTAAGCTGGATATAAAAACATAAATACAACTAGAAAATCTCCAAGTGCTTGGGAATTAAGCCATATGCCTCTAAATCATAGGCCACAGAAGAAATCACAAAGGAAATTAGAAAACACTGTGGACTGTTGGATAATGGAGATACAGCATATTGAAATTGACAGGTGCAGTTAAAGCAGTGCTTAGAGGGAAATTTATAGCCTAATACGCACATAGTTAAAAAGAAGAAGGCTGAAAATAAATGATCTAAGCTTCTATCTGTAGAAGCTGAGAAGAGCTAAGCCTAGTAAGAGGGGAAGGAAGAAAATAATAAACATATGACAAAAAACCCAGTGAAATGGAAAACAGATGTACATTTTGGGAAATTCACAAGCCAAATTTGGTTATTTAAAAAGATTAATAAAATGGATGTATCCCTAATAAAAGTGATCAAGGGGAATAAAAGAGAGAAAACACAGCCAGGCGCAATGGCTCATGCCTGTAATCCCAGCACTTTGGGAGGCTGAGGCGGGTGGATCACGAGGTCAGGAGTTTGAGACCAGCCTGGCCAACATAGTGAAACCCCATCCCTACTAAAAATAAAAAAAAAAAATTATCCGGGCGTGGTGGCATGCGCCTATAGTCCCAGCTACTCTGGAGGCTGAGGCGGGAGAATCACTTGAACCCAGGAGGCGGAGGTTGCAGTGAGCCAAGACTGTGCCATTGCACTCCAGCCTGGGTGACAGAGTGACAGAGTGAGACTACGTCTCAAAAAAAAAAAAAAAAAAAGAGAAAACACAATAAATAATATCAGGACTAAAAAGACATTAACAAAATAATGAGAGGATATTATAAAAATTTGAAGTAAATACAGTTGACAATTTAGATTAAAAGGGTAAACCCTCTTTCTCCCAAAAACACAATTTATCAAAAGTGACAGACAATATTTAATGTGAATAGTTTGATATTTCTTAAATAAATTGTATCCACTAGTAAAATGTTTCTCATCAGTAAAACTCAAATCTCAAATTTTATCAGTGTATTTTTCCAAACATTTTGGGAAGAAATAACACTGATCCTACACAAACCATTTTATGGAATAAAAAAATGAAAGAATGTGTCCTAATTCATTTTATGAGGCCAGTATAACCTTGATATGAAGGCCTCACACAGACACGAGAAGAAAGGAGAATAATAGGCCAATGTCCTTCGTGAACATTCACAGGGAAATATAGGCAAATTAAATCAAGTGATACATAAAAATAATAGTATATCGGAACCATGGAGGAGGGTTTAATATAAGAATGCAAAATTAATCAATGTAATTCAAATTATATAAAACAGAGACATTATAAGTCCATCCCAATAAATCCAGGATTTGATAAAATCTAATTTCATGAAAAAATTGTTTGCAATTTGGAATAGATGTCATTGATCTTCCTTAAACTGATAAGAGAATACGCTAAAATCTTACAGTAAATATCATGACAGCAGGAATGGGGCAAGAATGTCCACTATCGATATTTATTTCTCTTCCACATAATAGTGTAGTTTGTAGCAACTGCATTCAAGCAAGAAAAATAAATTAAAATATAGGAAATAAAAAAATCAAATTGACGTATTTTGCAGATGCCATGGCTAGTACATCGAAAAGCCAAACTAATGATACACTTTTTAAATTAAGAAGTAAATTTAACAGTCACTAGTTGAATTTTTATGTATTGTAACAAAAGTTGGAAAATTAAAAATTAAAGCCCACTATTTACAATAGCATTAAAAAATCTAACATCTATGACATCTATGAGTAAATGTAACCAGAGATGCATAAGACCTCTACACTGAAAATTACAAAATAGATTTTTTTTTTTTTGAGACAGGATCTCGCTTTGTCACCCAGGCTGGAGTACAGTGGCCCAATCACAGCTTACTACAGCTTCGACCTCCCAGACTCAAGAGATTCTCCCACCTCAGCCTCCTGAGTAGCTGAGACAATAGGTGTGTGCCACCACACCCTGCTAAATTTTTTTTTATTTATTGTAGAGAAAGGGTCTCTTCGTATTTCCCAGGTTGGTCTTGAACTCCTGGGCTCAAGTGGTCCTCCTGCCTTGGCCAAGGTGCTGGGACTACAGGCATGAACCACAGCGCCCAGCCTTGAAAATTACAAAATAGTTTTGAAAGAAATTAACAAAGACATAAATAAATGGGAAATTATATTATGTTCATAGATCAGAAGAGTAAATGTGAATTCTGAAAATAATTTACAATCAATGTAAGTTCTGATCAAAATCAAAGTTTTTTTCATAAATTGATAAGGCTGCATCAATCATGAAGAACAAAACTGAAGGATTTGCTCTACCAGATGTCATAACCTGCATTGTCAGTAGATAAAATGGCCAGTGTTTGGCACAAGAGTGGATTGATTTACCACTGTAATAAATTAGAGTCCAGAAAAAGACCTAAAGGTATACAGTCACCTGAATCGTGGGAAAAGTAAAAGTTCACTGAGTAGAAAAAAGGTAGTCTTTTCAACATAGGGTGCTAGATCAATAGAATTTTCATACTTTTAAAATATATTTTGACTCTAACCTTATACCATATGAAAAATGAATTTCAGATGGATGGCAGATCTAAATGTGAATGGCCAAACAAAAACCTTTAGAGGAAAACACAGGGGTACATTGTTGTGACCTTAGAGTAGGCAAATATTTCTTGAATAGGAAACCCAAAAACAAAATGATAAATGTTTGAGGTGATGGATACGCTAATTACCCTGATTTCATCATTACACATTGTATACATGTATTATTAAAATATCACGTACAATTATTACATGTCAACTAAAAATAAAAGGGGAAAAGAGAAAACACAAAAACGCTAACTACCAAAAAGAATGATAAAGTGAACCATATGAAACTTTATTTTTTATTTTTATTTTTATTATACTTTAAGTTCTAGGGTACATGTGCACAATGTGCAGGTTTGTTACATATGTATACATGTGCCATGTTGGTGTGCTGCACCCATTAACTCATCATTTACATTAGGTATATCTCCTGATGCTATCCCTCCCCCCTCCCCCTACCCCATGACAGGCCCCAGTGTGTGATGTTCCCCACCCTGTGTCCAAGGGTTCTCATTGTTCAATTCCCACCTATGAGTGAGAACATGTGGTGTTTGGTTTTCTGTCCTTGCGATAGTTTGCTGAGAATGATGGTTTCCAGCTTCATCCATGTCCTTACAAAGGACATGAACTCATCCTTTCTTATGGCTGCATAGTATTCCATGGCGTATATGTGCCACATTTTCTTAATCCAGTCTATCATTGATGGGCATTTGGGTTGGTTCCAAGTCTTTGCTATTGTGAATAGTGCCACAATAAACATATGTGTGCATGTGTCTTTATAGCAGCATGATTTATAATCCTTTGGGTATATACCCAGTAACGGGATGGCTGGGTCAAATAGTATTTCTAGTTCTAGATCCTTGAGGAATCACCACACTGTCTTCCACAATGGTTGAACTAGTTTACAGTCCCACCAACAGTGTAAAAGTGTTCCTATTTCTCCACATCCTCTCCAGCACCTGTTGTTTCCTGACTTTTTAATGATCGCCATTCTAACTGGTGTGAGATGGTATCTCATTGTAGTTTTGATTTGCATTTCTCTGATGGCCAGTGATGACAAGCTTTTTTTCATGTGTCTGTTGGCTGCATAAATGTCTTCTTTTGAGAAGTGTCTGTTCATATCCTTTGCCCACTTTTTGATGGGGTTGTTTGATTTTTTCTTGTAAATTTAAGTTCTGATATTAGCCCTTTGTCAGATGGGTAGATTGCAAAAATTTTCTCCCGTTCTGTACGTTGCCTGTTCACTCTGATGGTAGTTTCTTTTGCTGTGCAGAAGCTCTTTAGTTTAATTAGATCCCATTTGTCAATTTTGGCTTTTGTTGCCATTGCTTTTGGTGTTTTAGACATGAAGTCCTTGCCCATGCCTATGTCCTGAATGGTATTGCCGAGGTTTTCTTCTAGAGTTTTTATGGTTTTAGGTCTAACATTTAAGTCTTTAATCCATCTCAAATTAATTTTTGTATAAGGTGTAAGGAAGGGATCCAGTTTCAGCTTTCTACATACGGCTAGCCAGTTTTTTCAGCACCATTTATTAAATAGGGAATCCTTTCCCCATTTCTTTTTTTGTCAGGTTTGTCAAAGATCAGATGGTTGTAGATGTGTGGTATTATTTCTGTTCTGTTCCATTGGTCTATATCTGTGTTTTGGTACCAGTACCATGCTGTTTTGGTTACTGTAGCCTTGTAGTATAGTTTGAAGTCAGGTAGCGTGATGCCTCCAGCTTTGTTCTTTTGGCTTAGGATTGTCTTGGCAATGCGGGCTCTTTTTTGGTTCTATATGAACTTTAAAGTAGTTTTTTCCAGTTGTGTGAAGAAAGTCATTGGCAGCTTGATGGGGATGGCATTGAATCTATAAATTACCTTGGGCAGTATGGCCATTTTCACGATATTGATTCTTCCTATCTATGAGCATGGAATGTTCTTCCATTTGTTTGTGTCCTCTTTTATTTCATTGAGCAGTGGTTTGTAGTTCTCCTTGAAAAGGTCCTTCATATCCCTTGTAAGTTGAATTCCTATGTATTTTATTCTCTTTGAAGCAATTGTGAATGGGAGTTCTCTCATGATTTGGCTCTCTGTTTGTCTGTTATTGGTGTATAGGAATGCTTGTGAATTTTGCACATTGATTTTGTGTCATGAGACTTTGCTGAAGTTGCTTATCAGCTTAAGGAGATTTTGGGCTGAGATGATGGGGTTTTCTAAATATACAATCATGTCATCTGCAAACAGGGACAATTTGACTTCCTCTTTTCCTAATTGAATACCCTTTATTTCTTTCTCCTGCCTGATTGCCCTGGCCAGAACTTCCAACATTATGTTGAATAGGAGTGGTGAGAGAGGGCATCCCTGTCTTGTGCCAGTTTTCAAAGGGAATGCTTCCCGTTTTTGCCCATTCAGTATGATATTGGCTGTGGGTTTGTCATAAATAGCTCTTATTATTTTGAGATACGTCCCATCAATACCTAATTTATCGAGAGTTTTTAGCATGAAGGGCTGTTGAATTTTCTCGAAGGCCTTTTCTGCATCTATTGAGATAATCATGTGGTTTTTGTCTTTGGTTCTGTTTATATGCTGGATTATGTTTATTGATTTGCGTATGTTGAACAAGCCTTGCATCCCAGGGATGAAGCCCACTTGATCATGGTGGATAAGCTTTCTGATGTGCTGCTGGATTCGGTTTGCCAGTATTTTATTGAGGATTTTTGCATCGATGTTCATCAGGGATATTGGTCTAAAATTCTCTTTTTTTGTTGTGTCTCTGCCAGGCTTTGGTATCAGGATGATGCTGGCCTCATAAAATGAGTTAGAGGGGATTCCCTTTTTTTCTATTGATTGGAATAGTTTCAGAAGGAATGGTACCAGCTCCTCCTTGTACCTCTGATAGAATTCGGCTGTGAATCCGTCTGGTCTTGGACATTTTTTGGGTTGTAGGCTATTAATTATTGCTTCAATTTCAGAGCCTGTTATTGGTCTATTTAGGGATTCAGCTTCTTCCTGGTTTAGTCTTGGGAGGATGTATGTGTCGAGGAATTTATCCATTTCTTCTAGATTTTCTACTTTATTTGCGTAGAGGTGTTTATAGTATTTTCTGATGGTAGTTTGTATTTCTGTGGGATCAGTGGTGATAACCCCTTTATCATTTTTTATTGCATCTATTTGATTCTTCTCTCTTTTCTTCTTTATTAGTCTTGCTAGCAGTCTATCAATTTTGTTGATCTTTTCAAAAAAACCAGCTCCTGGATTCATTGATTTTTTGAAGGGTTTTTTGTGTCTCTATCTCCTTCAGTTCTGCTCTGATCTTAGTTATTTCTTGCCTTCTGCTGGCTTTTGAATGTGTTTGCTCTTGCTTCTCTAGTTCTTTTAATTGTGATGTTAGGGTGTCAGTTTTAGATCTTTCCTGCTTTCTCTTGTGGGCATTTAGTGCTATAGATTTCCCTCTACACACTGCTTTAAATGTGTCCCAGAGATTCTGGTATGTCGTGTTTTCGTTCTCATTGGTTTCAAAGACCATCTTTATTTCTGCATTCATTTCGTTATGTACCCAGTAGTCATTCAGGAGCAGGTTGTTCAGTTTCCATGTAGTTGAGCCGTTTTGAGTGAGTTTCTTAATCCTGAGTTCTAGTTTGATTGCACTGTGGTCTGAGAGACAGTTTGTTATAATTTCTGTTCTTTTACATTTGCTGAGGAGTGCTTTACTTCCAACTCTGTGTTCAATTTTGGAATAAGTGCGATGCAGTGCTGAGAAGAATGTATATTCTGTTGATTTGGGGTGGAGAGTTCTGTAGATGTCTATTAGGTCCACTTGGTGCAGAGCTAAATTCAGTTCCTGGATATCCTTGTTAACTTTCTGTCTCGTTGATCTGTCTATTGTTGACAGTGGGGTGTTAAAGTCTCCCATTATCATTGTGTGGGAGTCTAAGTCTCTTTGTAGGTCTCTAAGGACTTGCTTTATGAATCTGGGTGCTCCTGTATTGGGTGCATATATATTTAGGATGGTTAGCGCTTCTTGTTGAATTGATCCCTTTACCATTATGTAATGGCCTTCTTTGTCCCTTTTGATCTTTGTTGGTCTAAAGTCTGTTTTATCAGAGACTAGGATTGCAACCCCTGCTTTTTTTTGTTTTCCATTTGCTTGGTAGATCTTCCTCCATCCCTTTATTTTGAGCCTATGTGTGTCTCTGCACATGAGATGGGTCTCCTGAATACAGCACACTGGTGGGTTTTGAATCTTTATCCAATTTGCCAGTCTGTGTCTTTTAATTGGAGCATTTGGCCCATTTACATTTAAGGTTAATATTGTTATGTGTGAATTTCACCCTGTCATTGTCATGTTAGCTGGTTATTTTGCTCATTAGTTGATGCAGTTTCTCCCTAGCATCAATGGTCTTTAAAATTTGGCATGTTTTTGCAGTGGCTGGTACTGGTTGTTTCTTTCCATGTTTAGTGCTTCCTTCAGGAGCTCTTATAAGGCAGGCCTGGTGGTGATATTAAACTTTAAAAATTCCTGCTCATCAAGAGACATAATTAAGACAGGGAAGAAGCAAACCACAGAATGGGAGATGCTATTTGCAACATGTATCTGACAAACTACTTATGCCCAGAATGTGTTAAAACCCCTATAGATCATTAAAAGAAGGACAGATAAACCAATAGGAATATCAGTCAAAGATTTAAATAGACATTTCAGAAAAGAGGATATTCAAATGGCCAATAAATATATGAAAAATGCTCAATGCCACTGGTTGGTAGGGAAATGTAAGGGAAAACCAGTATTAGGTTAGCATTATACCCACCAGAATGACTGAAATGGAAAGATGAAAAACCACATTTTGACAAGGCTGTGATGCAACTGGAACTCTCACACACTGCTGGTCGGCATGTAAAGTGGTACAAAACTTTGGGGAAATATTTGACAAAGTCTGTTAACACTTGATGCAGCACTTACACTTCTAGGTATAGACCCAACAGAAATGGGTAAATATTTTTTACCAAAAGTATAAACAAGAATGACCATAGAAGCACTATTTATAACAACCCAAAACTGGACATTAAAATGCCACCCCTCCGCCAAACAGTAGAATGGGCAAATAATTGATGGAATGCTCACATGGTGGATGCTGGGTGTCAATGAGAGTGGTGAGCCACAACTACACACGACAGCACGTATGGACCTTACAAGCAAACTATTGAGTGAAAGGACCAGATAGGAAAGAAGGTATGTTGAATGATTCCATTCTTTAAAGCTTGAACCAGGCAAACATAGTTTAATATGTGCTGTTAGACGTCAGGATTACAGTTGCTCTTGGGAGGAGACACGGTGAGCAGAAGAAGATACAGGAGAGGTCTCTGGAGGAGGCTAGCAGTATTCTGTGACTTTATGTGAATACTGCTTTCACAAATGTATTTACTTTGTGGTGCTTCTGTGAGTTGTAACAGTATGATTTGTGCACATTTTCATTTGTATGGTATATTTCAAAAAAGTTTACCTGAAAAACATAGTGCATGTGCATGTGGAAGCATGTATGAGGATGTTCATTGCAATGCTGTTTACAGTAGAGAAAAATTGGGAACAGCCTAAATGTCCATCAACAGGGAAATGATTAAATCAATTACTATCTATTAATATTGTGAAACACTAGGTAGAACTTTTAAAGAATAAAGTAGATTTAAATAAACTGGCAAAAGGCAAATATGGAAGCTATGTTGACAGCAACAAAACCAGGCTGCAGAACAATACATATAATTGTTTAGACATATATGAGTCAAGTTATAGATTTTTGTAGGTTATATATTTATATGCAAACACATAGAAAAGTGCCCTAAAGAAAGCACAACTGTGCTATGGTTTAAACGTTGACATCCCCCAAAATTCATATGTTGGAATCTAATACCCAATGTGACAGTATTAAAGGGTGAGACCTTTAGAAAGTGATTAAGTCAAGGGAGCTCTACCTTTATGAATGGGATTAATGCCCTTATAAAAGAGGGTTGAGTGAGCTCCATGGCCCCTTCCACCAAGTGAGGACACAGAGAAAATGCCATCTGTTAGGAAGAGCAAGGCCTCACCAGACAATGACAATCTGCCAGCACCTTGATCTTGGACTTCTCAGACTCTAGAACCATGAGCAATACATTTCTGTTGTTTATAAATTACCCAGTCTAAGGTATTTTGTTATAGTAGCCCAATGGACTATAACAAACTGTAATAGTGATTTTCTGGGGAAAGCAGACTAAAATTAGGGGTGGAGGTCAAAGTTATTTTAGGTTTATTTTTGTTTGTGTTTTATTACAATGACAATATAATCATGATTACTTGAGTAATTAAAAATAATATTTCAAATGGTAAGTGAAAGATTTCCAACAGGACATTTCCTAGCAAGAAAATGCATACATATACACATACAACTTCAATATATTCAAAAAGTTAAAATTGTACAAGCAAAACTACTTTACCTTGAACCACTAGAACTAGAAATTATTAATAAGTCTAAATAAAAAACCCTTACCAACTGGTAATTTAAAGGTACTTCTGTAAACATTCGTAGAAAATGAAAAAATATTTTTCAAACTCTAGAATAGCAGAGAAATAATGAAATTGTTAAGAACAAATGGGTTTCAACAAAGCTGTCCTCAAAGATGAAGTCACATCTTTAAATGCTTTCATTAGCACAAAAAAAAATCAAAACTTTCAAGTCAATAAGTTTTTTAAGCAGTTCCAAGGAAGAACAAAATAGCAGATGATAGCAGAAATTATTGAATTAGAAAAGGGAAAAATGAGGATTAGTAAGTACATTAAGAGCTAAGAGATAAGTAAATTAAAAAGTTAAGTCTTTTAAAAATCTAACACGACAGACTCAACTCTGGCTAATCTATTAATAGTTACTACAAAGGGGAAAGCATAAGAAATAGCAATTAAGGAACATTTAAAATCCCATAATAAAGACAGTAAATGTGCATGCAATTTTAAAAATGAACAAGGCATTATTTGCATGGTTATATGATGATAAATCTGAATGGAAATAAATACATGATCAAAGTTAACATTAAAAGAACTGAGCAACATGAATAAAGAATTATTCTTGGAAAAATGTTTAAATAGAAAGGAATTACATCCAAAAGAGGTACCAGACTCAGGCGTTCTTGTTGGTGAGATGCTGTGAAATTTTAAGGCATAATTAATTCCAAAAGTATGTATCAGTTTTAGAAATGTGTAAATTTGGAAAAGTAATTTTATAAAAGTAGAGTAACCCTGAAACCAAAATCTGACAAATATAATCCACCATCTGTTCTTCAGTCTACAAGAAATAGCCATTACATTAAAAGAAGTTTCCACTATCTCATAAGATTTACCAAAGAATTAAACAAAGTCAATAGAATCTTTAAAGCAGAACTTCTCAGAGCCTTTGATATGCAAATGTGCATTGTGGTTCTTAAGAAGGGCAGGAATACAGCCTGCAGTGTTTCCCAATTTTATTCGTCCAAGCAAAAAACCATTTCTACCTGGAAGCATCTCTTGGGAGTGGTGATCTGGGGTACATCCTTTGGGAAAGCCTGCTATGGAATATAAAACTGCATGCAAAATCAAAAGTGAAATATAAGCAAGTAAAATTCAGCTGTGTGTTTAATCAACAATCTATGACGGTTTAACATGGGAAAGGAAGAATGGTTTAATATAACACATTGTATTATTTTATTTATAATACAAAATACCAATAGGCCTCAAAATAGAACCTGAATAAATGTTGAAATATTATTCAGAAAATTTAAAAATACATTTCTGATAAAACATTTAGTAAATAGTAAAGTCTCTTACATGCATAAAAGCATTGTCTACATAACTACCTGTTCCGTGTATCAAAATCATAAGCAACAGATTTGAAAAGCAAATAAATGGTGAAAATTTATGCAATGAATATCATGAACAAAGAGAGATCTCTTTAAAATCATCAACAAAAGCATTATTATCCCACATAAAATTGGCAAAGGTCAACTCATAAATGAAGGAATACAAATCACCAAAAATTATTAAAAAGTGTTCATATTATAATCAAAGAAATACAAGATTAAGATATTCTTATTTTTATCTTTCAGGTTAAATAACATATACATTGCAAAACATCAGAAGAGTATATATCAGACCAACATTTTTACAAATCACAAATATAAACTTAGACAAAATATTTTAAAAATCTATGTGAAGACACCAGAGAATAGCCAAAAGCAAACAGAAACAGAAAAAGATAAGAGTCCAGATACTAAACAACAGAGGTCCCCAGTCCCCAGGCCATGGACCAGTACCAGTCCGTGGCCTGTTAGGAACCAGGCCACACAGCAGGAGGTGCGTGGTGGATGAGCAAGCATTACAGAAAGAAAAGCATTACAGTTGAAAGAAAAGAACTGCGTTGATTGAGTTCATGTTTCTACGACCTTTTGGTGCAGAAAAATCCCCAATTTTTATGACGTATAGCAACTAAAACTTAAACAGAAAGTTGCAAACTTACTGGCTGAAGGGGTGAGAGAACAGTGTTTGGAACTTCCAGGCCAGCTAGAAATAGAAGAAAAATCCCAGAAAGGAGAGAGCCAGAGAGAGAGAATCCCCCAGATCTGCACACAAATGCTGCTCAAATTTTTGGCTGACAGCTGCACTGCACGGGCACAAAGGAAGCTCCAGGAAGCCCAGCACAAAGCTACTGCTGAAAGGCTGGAATAATCCAGCAGATAGTTCAGCAGAGGTCCACCAAAGGAGAAACATGGTTTGAAGTCTATGTCTAGCAAAACTTCAAATTTATGTTTATATTATGTTATGAAGTTTATGTCTAGCAAAGTTGTGGCTTTCAAGAACAAATAGCAACACACTTCAGAAGATAACAGTCCAGATACTATACAACAGGGGTCCCCAATCCCCAGGCCATGGACCAGTACCAGTCCGTGGCCTGTTAGGAACCAGGCCACACAGCAGGAGGTGAGTGGTGGATGAGCAAGCATTACAGCCTGAGCTCCGCCTCCTGTTAGGTGAGCAGTGGCATTAGAGTCTCATAGAAGCACACACCCTATTATGAACTGTGTATGCGAAGCACCTAGGTTGCATGCTCCTTATGAGAATCTAATACCTGATGATCTGTCACTGTCTCCCATCACCCCCAGATGGAACCATCTAGTTGCAGAAAAACAAACTCAGGGCTCCCACTAATTCTACATTATGGTGAGTTGCATAATTATTTCACTGTATATTACAATGCAATAATAATAGAAACAAAGTGCATGATAAATTTAATGTGCTTGAATCATCCCGCCAGCCTGCCACGGAGCACCTGTGGGGCTGGAGCCTCCGACGCAGCCTGGCAGGGAGGGGTGTTGGTGAAGAGTCAGACTCTGCCGGCCCCCCTGGTCCGGCACCCGCGGGCATCTGCCTGGCCAGAGGGCAGCTCCGTAGCCAATGCTTCTCTAAGCAACCTGTGGTCCCTGAATCCGGACCTGGTGCCCTTGGGTGAAGGGAGGTGACGTGCCTGTTCTCAAGATGCTGGATGCTGGGCTACCCCAGGCTCCCTGGGGGTGGAGGTGGGGAGGGCCACTGAAAATACTGAAGAGCATCCCCGGGGCCCCAGATGGAAAGAGAGTAGCGGTTGGGCCTCTGTGCATAGGATGGAAGGGGGCCCTGGGGCCTGTCCCCCACTCCATTTCTCTTTCCTCATCTGTGAAATGGAGGAAAGCATGTATTTCTCCAGCTCAGAGATGCCCGGGAGGACCAAGGGCCTGGGGGAGGCAGGGCTTGGCCAGGGTGGCTCGTGGCTGTGAGCAGGTCCCAGAGACTGGCCTGTCTCCCTGGGTCCACTGCAGCATGATGGGTTCCTGCTGATGTGAATAGGCTGACTGCTGCCCTCCCAGAGGTCCCCTTAAATGCCGTACCACACCACCCCGGGGAAGCCAGGCCCAGGTGCCCAGGAGCTGCCCAGAGCCAGGCCCACATGGATCCCAGCTTGCTTTCTGCCCCTCCTTGTCCTGAGCTACCTAAGCCCAGGTTAGGCTGAGCAGCCCCCTCCCCACACTCCCACCAGACTCTAGGGCATTGTGGGGGGTCCCTTCATAGAGCAGGCTTGTGGCTCCGGCCTCTGCAGCTGTCCTGGTTTTGAGACATTTTACTCCACTTAATAAAGATTATTTGTTGAAAGCAGAAATGAATGTGTCTCATTTGTGTGCTGCAGGAATTCATAAGCATCACCTCCCTGATCCCCCTCGCTCCTGTGGGACCTGGTGTTTCCCCACTGGATTCCAGCCTGCCCTCCTGGCACCACCCAGGCCGCCCCAGCCACCGCAGCCACCCTACTCCCTCTCCCTCTCCCTCTCCATCTCCCTGACGCAGCGACTGAGTCGGCTTTTGACTCTATGTGATGTCTCTCAGCTCCGTGGCCTCTAAATGAAAAGATTAATTAGTTCGGGGAGCCCAGCACAGGACTGCCAGGGGCACTCTGCTGTTCTGCAGACAGGGGGACCGTGTCATTGCCGTTTTGAATTGAAACAGGCCTCTTGGAGAGAACCATGCTTAGGAAAGTGTCGAGAAACCTCCAGCGCTTTGGGGCAATAAGGGTGTAGTGCTGTCAAGATGCTCATCAGAGCCTAGTAAGATCACCTAACTGCTAATAGCTGGTGGGAGCGGGAAGCCAGCGCCTCTGATGGAGCAGAAAGGCCCACGTGTGAGGAGGAGGCAGGAAGGGCTTCGCTTCCAGGAGGGCCAGGGCGGGAGGACTGGAGACTGTGTCCTCTGAGTCCCTGCTCAAGGACCGTGTGAGGAACTCCATAAAATTTTATGGAGTGAATGAACTCGCCGTGTTTGGCTCGAGCAAGTGACAGGCTTGCCAGCTCTGAAGGTCTGTTAAAAGGCAGATGGGAAGATCCGCCTCTATTCTGAGACAAACTTGCCTTGTGTGGTGCGAGGTGAGGTGTGGGGACCGGCAGCGGGCCTGCCGCGCTTCCCGGGCAGCGGAGCCGGACTGCGCACCCAGCGCCCCGCTCTGTGGTGTGGGGTGTGTGGTATCTGAGCCCGGGACGCGGCTCAGTGACTGTGATGGGGGCTGTTCAGCTGTTGTGGGACTGAGTTACACGCATCTCACTGGCAAAGCCACATCATCTCACCCCACAAAATACGGAATTTGGGGTGTCATGGGTCAAGAGGCTCTGCGCTGGACAGTGTGGGGTATGGTGGGTGTGTGTCCGTCTGGACGTGTGTCCCTCTGCCTGAAGGGATGCAGGGCCGTGAATGGACCCAGCAGCCCCCGCATCAGCCCTGCCCTCCCACAAGCAGCCGAGGAGGCTGGTCCTAAGCCGGCGTCTGCACAGCTCCCTGAGGGGGAACAAGGGGGAGGGTCTCAGAATGGGGCTGAATTTTTCTCCACATTCAGTCCCCGGCTGGACCTGCAGAAACCTAGGACGGCTTTGACCCTGGTTTACAGCTTTCGGGAACCCCAGGGAATGCTCTGGCCTCTAGGCTGGAACCCTGCCCCTCTGACCCCAGCCCTCCGGCCATTCCTACAGCGAAGGCCCAGGGATGTTAACCAGTGCAGAGGCCGGGAGCAGTCCCGGGAGGCGCCCCTGTTTAGATCTCATGGCTGGTCTCTGTCTCCACGTTCTCAGAGGCCTGGGAGGGGCAGGCTGAGGGCTCTGCCAGACCCTCCTGCCCAGAGCCCCTCCCCAGGGTCTGGCCCAGCGAGGGGATGGCATCACTCCCTGGGGTGGGTGCCGGGGATTACGGCAGGTTTGGGGAGGAGGCTGGTGGGGCCTGAGCACGGGCTGGTGTGGGGGCCAGGTGAAGGGTGCCCAGGTGTGTCAGGATGCGGCTGGGAGCTCACTCGGCTGGGGGGACGCCTCCCCAGCGCCCGGGTGGTGAAAGTGGGTTTCCCCCTCCAGCAAGTTCTTTCCTCAGCCCATAAAGCGGGAATCCTCCCATGTGGAAATATGGAGACAGGCCCCTCCCGCTGCCTGTTCTCCCCACGGCAGGTGAAGGGCCTCCTTGGAGGGCCTCTGCTTTCCAGTCTGTTAACACGAAGCCTGCCAGAAAGTCCCCAGGACCCCAACCCCCACTCCTTAGAGAAGCTGCTCTGGCCTGTCTTTGTCCCTCCCCGACACTGCCAACTCCAGGCCCCCGTTACCCCACTACTTATGGGCTTGGTCACCTGTCACCTCCCCCAGGAGGCTCCTTGGGCCCCAGGCTGCCCTCCAGCTGGGCCCAGCGGCTCTCCTGCCAGTCCCGCTGGCTGGGGACTGCACCTGCTCCCCAGGCGTGGCCTGGTGCCATCACCCGGACACCCAAGGACAGGTTTGGACTGCCCATCCTAGGCTCCCATCCAGGAGAGGGTTTGGCGGGGGCAGCCTGGACCTGCCCATTCCTTGCTGTCCTAGCTGCCCAGGACTGTCCCAGTTCTAGCCCCAGAAGCCCTCAGCCCCAGAAAACTAGGGGTGACTTAGGCTTGGCGGGGCGGGTCAGGATGTATCCCCACTAGGGAGACAGTCCGGCCCCCCAAGCCATGTGCAGAGAAGCCCAGGGCAGTGGGATGGAAGGAGGGGTTCGGGGAAGAATCCTGCTGGGGGGGGTGTCCAAAGGACAACCCGAAGGAGAGGTTCAAGGAAGTCCTGGCTGAGCAGAGATGCTGGCGGGCAGCGGGGGCAGTAGGGGAACCGGTGGATCGAGGGCTCTTCCTCTAGGACCTAGTGCTTCCAGGAGCATCTCAGGAGCTGAGGGGCATCTGAGGCCACAGACGGGAGGCTGCATGGGTGGCGGGGGAGGCGTCTGCAGCAGCAGGCGTGGGAGCCCCTGAAAGCTCTTGGCAGGGGAGGGACGGGCAGCTGGCATCCACGAAGCCCCCTGGGCTGTAGCCTGGAGCCCAGCCTGGAAGGGCAGCTGGGTGAGAGGAGGCTGGGCACACAGATGCACAGTATGGGCAAATGGCCAGGTGGGGCTGTGCCGCCCCGGACCGCAGGGTCCCACTTGGCTTCTGTCTGTCACAGTCACCGCCCCCACTTGGAGAGCGTTTGCTGATGGAGCTCAGCTCCAGAAAGTGCTGTTTAAAGATTGAAGAGCTCCAGGCAGGCGATTACAGAGCACGTGGGTTGACTCTCTCTGACCCACAGCTGGTGGAGGGAGGGGAGGAGCTGGGGGCGCCACAGCTGGATGTGCTCCTCCCCCACGAGAAGCGCCCAGGGCACGTGGAGCAGAGGGAGGTGCTGGCTCTCATTTTCCTCCTCACTGGAGCGAGGCGCTGGAAGGCCACTCCGAGGGTGGGGGCGGCACGCTGCCTGTTCCCCACTGGCTCTGCCCTTGGGGCACCTTAGCTTGGGTCCAGCCCACCTGCCCCAATACCCCTTGCCGGACCCTGCCCTGCTGCCTGCCCCTGCCTGAACCCCACCCCCCACCCAACAGTGCTTCCCGCCCAGTCTTTCCCAGTTGCAGGCTGAAGCCCCCCACTCCCTGGGCATCCCCTAGGAGCCCTCCCTAGCACCGCCTCCCACACCCATTTCCCAGATAAGATTCTACCGTTGAGAACATACCATGGGGGGGCCACCCAAGGCCCCTGAGCCACACGTCCAAAGCACAGACACCTTCGGAACAAAAGCCTCTTGGTGCAGGGGATGGCGGCGGCCGAAGTTCACCCTGCCCAGGGCAGGACACCCTGCAGCACCGGGAGGGTCTTGGTCTGTGTTTCCAGGACTGTGAGCGGGGCCTCTTTGGCCTAGTGGGGAAGAGGGCACGTATGGGGCCCACGACCTCTCCTGTGCCCAGGGGCTGTGGTCAGGGCACTCGTCCTGCAGCCACAGACAAGTAAGTGACCAGGACCTGCGGGGAAGATAGGAGATGAAGCCCCCCCGGACATCCCCGGCCCTCCCCAGGAACCAATTTACAGTTGCTGAGCTCTACTCTGGGCCAGGATGAATCAGGGACACGACCTGGGAAGGGGCGGAGAAGAGGACCTCACGCAGGTGCCAGGACTGGCCCTGCCCCCACTGCCCCAACCTTCATGATTCTGCCCCAGAGTCACCTGCCCTGGGCCTCAGTGTTCTCACCTGGCGGCAAGGATGTTCCTGAGCATTTATTTCTGAGTGGGTTTGTGTGTGAGGTCTCTGCATGGGGGCTCTGTGTGTTGGCACATGTGTTTCGGCTCAGAGTTTGGGTAGGGGGCTTCTGTATGCACATGTGGGTCTGTACACGTGTGCGTGTGTGTGAGTGCATGTATGTGTATGCACAGGCATGCATGGCCTGTGTGTACGTCAGAACGTGTGAGTGCACATGTATGCATCTGTGTGTGTTGCATGTGCGAACAAGTACACACGTTTGTGTGTGTGCACCTGCACGTGTGTCACTTGCGTGCCCTTGCCTGGGTGGGAGAAAGGACAAAGGCGAATGCTCTTGTCTCCTGCTGCTGGGTAACAGCTCACCACAAGGCAAGGCCTTGGACAGCACCACATTCGTCAACTCAGTTTCCCTGGGCTGGGGGCAGGCTTTGCTTAGCTGGACTCGCTGCCCCGTGTCTCACATCCGGGTGCTGGCTCCTGCATTATTCCAAGAGCATCCAAGCTGGTGGCAGAACTGGGTGCCTCTGGGTTGGGACTGAGGCCCTGTTTCCTGGCTGTTGGGGCCCCTCTAGAGCCCTGGGCCTCTCAGGATGCCTCACGCACACCCCTCACTCTCCAACTCTCTCTGCCTCTTTTTCTGCTCTCGGCTTGTAATGGGCTCACCTGACTGGGCCAGGCTAAACCCATGACCTCCACGTCATAAGGGGGCCTGACCTGGGACCATGACTCCATCTGGAGAGTCCCCTCACAGCAGAAAGTGGATTCCTGTTTAATTAAAAAGCTAGGCCAACATAACGAACCCCCGTCCCTACTAAAAATATAAAACTTAGCCAGGCATGGTGGTGCACGCCTATAATCCCAGCTACTTGCGAGGCTGAGGCAGGAGAATAGCTTGGACCTGGGAGGCAGAGGTTGCAGTGAGCTGAGATCATGCCACTGCACTCCAGCCTGGGAGACAGAGTGAGACTCCGTCTTAAAAAGAAAAAAAAAAAAAAGGGCCAGGAGGCAGGAATCTTGGGCGGTAACTGCTAAGCTCTGCCTGGGTGCACCCATCTGAGCCCCATCTCTGTCAGGTGTCTGCTGCACCCGCCGGTGACTGTACCAGGCATAGCAGCAGCACCTACCCCTCTCCTCCCCGCCCACCCTCCTCCTCCCCGCCCACCCCTCTCCTCCCTCCCTGCTGCCTCTGGCCTCTGGCATCCCCAGCCCATGCAGTCACCGAATCCCCTTGTTCCTGGACATGGTCCAAGGGAGATTTATTACTCAGCCCATCCTTAGTGTCGAGGGAGCAGCCCCAGACACAGCCTCTGCTCCTGGGAAGCCATGGAGGGGGATAGGGGAGCCTGTGGCTTGGAGACGGAGCTCTGGCTGGGACGAGCTCCTTGCACAGCATGGTGGACCCTCGCTGAAGTGAGGAGGAACCCACCTCACCGATTGCTGTGACCTCCCAAGATGAGTCGGGCCACGAGCCTGGCCTGGGGCTCCAATCACTACAGCACGCTCCTTCCCCGAGTCGGCCTCCTGGGCCTCACTTTCCCCAGCTGCACAACAGAGAGTGAGGCCCTGAGCGTTGGGAGGTTGGAAGCCAATCTACAGCCTTCCTCCAGTGCACCCTCCCATCTTGGGCAGAGGCCAGCAGCACACACGGGCTCTGGAAGATGGGACTGCCCCGTCCATGCAGTGCCCACCTCCCATACAACCAACCTGGGCTGCACTGCGGGCTGCTGCACCACTGCCCAAGTAGCTGACTAGGGAGGCACCACCCCCGGCCACGCAGCCGAGGCCATCGTCTCCCTGGAGGTCGCCTGGTGGTTTTCTCAGGTTGTGCCCCCAAATGACCACGAACCCAGGGCACCTTCCTCACTCCCCCTGCACCCCAGGGCCTGGCCTTCCCTCACACCAGGCCCCAATTTCCTCCTCCTACGGGAAGCCTTCCCTGATGCCACCAACCTGTTCTGTTCTTCCCAGACATGTTCTTGGGCCGAGCCAGCCAGAGGGTGGGGACCAGCACTCAGGCCATGTGTGTAGCTGGGGACTTGGGTATAGAAAGATAGGGTCTCTGGCCGGGCACAGTGGCTCACGCTTGTAATCCCAGCACTTTGGGAGGCTGAGGCAGGCGGATGATGAGGTCAGGAGATCGAGACCATCCTGGCTAACATGGTGAAACCCCGTCTCTACTAAAAATACAAAAAGAAATTAGCCGGGCGTGGTGGCGGGCGCCTGTAGTCCCAGCTACTCGGGAGGCTGAGGCAGGAGAATGGCGTGAACCCGAGAGGCGGAGCTTGCAGTGAGTCGAGACTGTGCCACTGCAGTCCAGCCTGGGCGACAGAGCAAGACTCCATCTCAACAAAAAAAAAAGAGAAAGAAAGATAGGGTCTCTGACTGCCATGGGAGGACCCCAGCTCCCACATTCTCCAGCTATGTGACTTCCTCCAGTCTCAGTTTTCTCATCTGTAAAGTGAGGTGCCTGATTGATGCCAGGTCATATGTGGGGAATTAGAGAAGCCAGCCTGTGAGAGGCGCCCCTGAGGCCTGGCGGCTTCGTTCCTGCAGCCCCTTCTCACCTCCCTGAGTCTCTGCACCCCCACCCTGGCCTGGGGGCTCCTTGAGGGCGGGGGCAGGGGTGGGCCAATGGGAGAACAAGTAAGGGCTGAGCTCACCTCCCAGCTGGGACTCCCAGAACCTTCCCTTAAGAGCAGTGACCCTGCACCACCCACCCCATTAGCTGTGTCCTAAGTGATCCTTTAGAAACCCCGCAGGAGGCGGCTGGACAGAGCACCTGGGTATCAAATGTCCTGCAGCCATCACACAGGTCACACATGGGGTCTCACCACCCAACCAGCCAGGCCCCGAGACCCGCCCCTGCAGCTGCCCCTCCCACCCACTTGCCGACCTCTCCTCTCTATAAAATGGGAAGGGCTCCAGGGTCAGCGGGTGGATGTCAGGGTGAGACAAGTATTGTGACGCAGACTCCGTGTTCAGCACGGCCGTCGGGTGTGCCTAGGGGTTCCCAAGCACTGCCTTGCACAGCAAGCCCATGTTGCTTATGGAAATTTCAAACCCCCACGAAAGCAATAAGGACGCACAATGCACCTGCACACTCAGCACCAGCCGAACAACGACCCTCTGCAGACCTTCCTGTCATCTGCACCCACACCCCCAAAGCATTTGTTAACATGCTGCTGTCTGGAACAGTTTTGGATTTTTGCAGACAGCACAGAGTTGCCACGTCCCCACAGGTGGTTTCCCTGTTGCCACCAACCTGCATCAGTGTAAGCGTCTGACAACTAAGGAGCAATATTGACATGATTCATGACAACATCACTTTATTCAGATTTCCTGGTTTTCCCTGATGTCTTTTCCTCTCCCAAGACCCCATCCAGGATCCCAGGTGACATCTGTTTTGTTTTTGTGTTTTTGTTTTTCCCCCGTTCCTACGGTGTTGACCACATGGCGTTTGGTCGTTGTGCCTCCTTGGACACCTCCTGGCTGGGACAGTTTCCCACTTTCCTTGTTTTGATGACCTTGACAGTGGTGAGGTGCCCTGGGCGGGCACTTTGAAGGATGCCCCCGCGGGGATGCGGCTGGTGTTCTTCTCACAAGCAGCCTGGGGTTGTGGCCGTGGGGAGGAAGGGCCATCTGCTCACACCCTCTCCAGGGTGCACGCCGTCAACACCACCCCGCTGCTGGCGCTGACTCCACCCTCCTCATGTTTCAGGAAACTTGACTGACAGTAAATCTTCATGGAAAGCACATTGGGGTGATGGCGCCCGGACAGCCAAGACATCACCGCCCTGAGACTCCTCCCGAGCCCCTGGAGCTGCTACAGCCCCCGTGGGTGCTCCCTGGCCGCATCCTTGCCCCGCTCCAGCCTCTGTAACTTAGCACGCGTGCTCGTCCAGCGGCCTTTGCTCTGTGTGTGACTGTCCGTGTTGCTGCTCAGGTTGCCCTGCGTTTAGGCAGCACCCTATCCGTTCATCCGTCCCACTGCGGGCGCAGCACCCTAGCCAGTCATTCGTCCCACTGCGGGCGCAGCACCATATCCATTCATCCGTCCCACTGAGGAGGCAGCACCCTATCCATTCATCCGTCCCGCTGCGGGAGCAGCACCCTAGCCAGTCATTCGTCCCACTGCGGGCGCAGCACCCTATCCATTCATCTGTCCCACTGCGGGCGCAGCACCATATCCATTCATCCGTCCCACTGGGGAGGCAGCACCCTATCCATTCATCTGTCCCACTGCGGAGGCAGCACCCTATCCGTTCATCCGTCCCACTGCGGGCGCAGCACCATATCCATTCATCCATCCCACTGCGGGCGCAGCACCATATCCATTCATCTGTCCCACTGCGGAGGCAGCACCCTATCCGTTCATCCGTCCCACTGCGGGCGCAGCACCCTATCCATTCATCTGTCCCACTGCGGGCACAGCACCATATCCATTCATCCGTCCCACTGGGGAGGCAGCACCCTATCCATTCATCTGTCCCACTGCGGAGGCAGCACCCTATCCGTTCATCCGTCCCACTGCGGGCGCAGCACCATATCCATTCATCCATCCCACTGCGGGCGCAGCACCATATCCATTCATCTGTCCCACTGCGGAGGCAACACCATATCCGTTCATCCATCCCGCTGCGAGAGCAGCACCCTAGCCAGTCATTCGTCCCACTGCGGGCGCAGCACCCTATCCATTCATCTGTCCCACTGCGGGCGCAGCGCCATATCCATTCATCCCTCCCACTGCGGAGGCAGCACCCTATCCATTCATCTGTCCCACTGCGGAGGCAGCACCCTATCCATTCATCCGTCCCGCTGCGGGAGCAGCACCCTAGCCAGTCATTCGTCCCACTGCGGGCGCAGCACCCTATCCATTCATCCATCCCACTGCGGGCGCAGCACCATATCCATTCATCCATCCCACTGCGGGCGCAGCACCATATCCATTCATCTGTCCCACTGCGGAGGCAGCACCCTATGCATTCATCCGTCCCGCTGCGGGAGCAGCACCCTAGCCAGTCATTCGTCCCACTGCGGGCGCAGCACCATATCCATTCATCCGTCCCACTGCGGAGGCAGCACCATATCCATTCATCCATCCCACTGCGGGCGTAGCATCATATCCATTCATCCGTCTCACTGCGGAGGCAGCACTCTATCCATTCATCCATCCCACTGCGGAGGCAGCACCCTATCCATTCATCCGTCCCACTGCAGGCGCAGCACCATATCCATTCATCCGTCCCACTGAGGAGGCAGCACCCTTTCCATTCATCCGTCCCACTGCGGGCGCAGCACCATATCCATTCATCCGTCCCACTGCGGGCGCAGCACCATATCCATTCATCCGTCCCACTGCGGGCGCAGCACCATATCCATTCATCCGTCCCACTGCGGGCGCAGCACCCTATCCATTCATCCGTCCCACTGCGGGCGCAGCACCATATCCATTCATCCGTCCCACTGCGGGCGCAGCACCATATC
The DNA here is from genome assembly GCF_000001405.40 of Homo sapiens. Classification (NCBI taxonomy): domain Eukaryota; kingdom Metazoa; phylum Chordata; class Mammalia; order Primates; family Hominidae; genus Homo; species Homo sapiens. The sequence continues at coordinate 104,431,285 of NC_000014.9, forward strand.
TGTTCATTCATCTCACTGCGGAGGCAGCACCATATCCATTCACTAATTCCACTGCGGTGGCAGCACCCTATCCATTCATCGTCCCACTGCGGGCTCATCTGGGTCTTCGTGGAGCCACGGTCCTGCTTCAGTAGATCCAATTTTCCAAAGCTGCTCTGTGGATTTTCAGCCCCTCCCACCGTGTGTGGGGGCCACTGCCTTCTCTGTCCTAAAGCGGCCCTGCCATCGCCGCTCTGGAGAGCAGGATCCAGAAGCTCAGTGGGCTGAGCGCATCCGTAGGTGCCCCACCTCCACCCCAGGATGGGCCCAGTACCCACCTCAGGCTGCGTCTGCTGCAAGTGGACCAGCCAGCTCCAGGTGGAGAGAAGTCCCAAGGACCCCACAGCAGAGGTGCCTAGGGTGAGGGACATGGGGGGTGCCCCGTGCCAGCTTCTGCCTGGGCCAAGGGAAGGGGCAGTGGCAGAGCTCTGACAGCCTCAGGAGTTTGAGATGGGTCCTCCTGCAGCTCCAGAAGCAGGAGGGCTTGGGCAGGGGTGGGGCTGCCTGCCGGGCTGAAGCTCCTGAGGTGGCGGTGGAAGAGCACACTTCACCCTCACAAGTGTCTTGCAGAAATTTCCAGAGACAGTGTCCTGGAACGGTCACCCAGCTCTGCCTGCCCCATGGTGGTGGGATCTGCCTGCCCAACCTTGGCTCATAGCGACATTGGAGGGGCCGGGACAGCCAGACCTCACCTCCTCGAGGAGCTTCCTCCTCCAAGGAGGGGCTCAGGTGAGCATCCGGTCCCCAGAAGGGCCCTGGCCTTCCAGTTTGCACACTAAACTCTCCCTGCTGTCTGTGGGAGGAGCCGGCTCCTGTGGGAGGAGCACAGGCTCCTCTCCCTGCTGTCTGTGGGAGGAGCCGGCACAGCTCTGGAGCTGCCCCCACAGGGCACAGCCTTGACCTGGGCTCAGGGAGGGCCAGGGGTCCCTTCTGGCCACCCCATGTCTCCAGAGGGCCTTGTAGCCCATCCTGGGGTAGGGGCTCAGTCTGGGCATGGTCCTTGCACGCTCCAGTGATGTGGAGGGTGGTCCCTGGGGCAGGCCCCAGCTTGAGGTTGGGCCAGAGTGGGGTGAGGCCTGAGGAAGGGTCTGGGCCACACCAAGCCCGAAAGGAGCGAAGAGAAATGGGTCCCCATGCCACCGAGAGCAACCACTTGCCTGGCCCTCTGCATCTGGCCAGGCTGGCTGGGCCTCCCCATACCTACGGTCCCCATTTTACCTGCACTCTGTGGCAGGGCTGGTGGAGACCAGGGCCTGCCTGGGACCCACAGCAGCCAGCCCACCAGGGCTCTGGCCAGGGTCACCACCCTGGGTTCCACCAGGGTCTGGGACCAGGGACCAGAGAGACCCAGAGCTGGGGACACAACCAAGGAGCCTCGGAGTCTATGAAGCACCAAGGGTCAGCCCTGGGGACATCCTTGGAGATGCCCAACCGGCTCCTGGCCCAGCAGTGGGGAGGCCGATCCTGAAGGGGCCGGAGCCCGTGGAACACACGGACGCAAACAACGCTGCACAGACCCCTTTCCCAGCCTAGGATGTGGCCGCCGGGAGGGTATCTCTGAGGCTGGTGCTCAAGCACCACCCACACCTCCTCATCCCCCTCACCTCACCTCCCCTAATCTGCAAGCTGCGGCCCGAGGCGCACCTGGCTGTCCCAGCCCTCCCAGCAGCACCTGGCGGCTCCCTGAGCTTGTCCACAGCAGCAGTCGTCTTCAGGGTGGCTCTGCACTGGCAGGCCCCGGGTGCCCTTCCCACGGGGGTGGCAGGGAGCCGGCTACTCCAGACGGGCCCCGCACTGTGGACAGGCGCTGATGCTTCGGTTTCCGTGGTTGCCCCGGCCCCGTTGTTTGAGGGCCCCGAGCCTGGCCCACCTGCCCACACCCGTGAGGAGGCCTTCAGGAAGGTGGGGCACAGCAGCGGTGCCCAGTTTGGAGCAAAGCCTGGACTTGGAGCTTGCAGAAGGAGCTCTTAGCCCACACAGAAGGAATCACAACTGGGACCAGAAGCACCTCCTCCATCTTGTGGAGTTGCTGAGGACAGATGGTCAGAAACTGAGTTTGCTGTGGTGGCAAAGTGTCCCTGCCACCCCGGCCCCTCTAGAGAGGGCAGCGCCCGCCCCCTCCAATCACGGCATCCACAGGGCTCCTGGAGCCCCTCCAGCCAGTCGGGCCAGCCATGGGGGCACCCTGTGCCTGCTCCGCTCCGAGGTGACCTCCACCCACAGCTGCTCTGAGGAGCACGGCCGGGGTTCCCCGAGACTTCCCTGGTCCACTTTAGAGCCACGGGGCTAACGGGTTTTGTTTTCAGTGGTATCTCTTCCTCGGTGATGTCCTGTGGGCCAGGTCTCAGCCCAACCCCTCCTTCACAAGCTGGTAGCCACCCTGGAGCCCGCCAGTCCCCAGCTCCCGGATGCTCACGGTGGGCTAGGCACGGTCACCACACCCTGGGCTGCCTGTCACAGAAGTGGCCCCAGCCTTTGAGGATCACGGAGAGACCAGGGTGACAGTCTCTGTCAAGAGCACCTGTGGCACCTGAGGTGGCCCCTGCTACCTCCCTGGAGGGTGAGCTTCAGGCAAGGCCTGAGGGTGTCTAGAGGGACCCTGTGCAGGGCCACCCCGCCTGAGCTCAGGCCCCGTCCTTCCTGCCCTCCAGAGGGGGAACCAGCCACAGAGCCTCGGCCTAGGGCTCACGTGGGCCCGCGCCTGCAGTGAGTGGCTGCCCTCTGCAGACAGAGCGGGCTCAGGCGCCCCGGAGCTGGAGGGGTCTTCTCTGTAAAAGTGACCTCAGGAGGTCCGGGTCCTGCATTCTTTCTGTCCCCAGCCCAGAACCTGATTTCTGAAACAAAGTTTCCTGGGCCTCGGGGAGTGAGGTTGGGGCTACTGGGAGTTCACAGGGCTCATCCCTTCCCCTGGAGTCTACCAGCCTGAGCTTTCCTGCCCCACACTGTCCCCGAGGGGCCTGGGATGCTGACAGAAGTCTCACGGCTGCTAATGTAAGGTCAGGGCTTTAGTGCCCTGTGCCCCTGCTTGTCGCCACCCGCCACCGGCCTCCCCACACCTTTGGAGCAGGTGGGGACCAGCATGGATGGCCCTCTGGACTGGTGTGGGGGGCCCCTGCTTTGGAGGGGCTGCTGGCCAGTGGCAGGGGTTGGATTGGAGCCAGGCGGATCTCACCAACCCCCATCCTTCAACACAACAGAAAGGGGCGGGTGGGAGGTTGGAGCCCCGGCCGTGTTAGCTGCTGTGGTGCCTCCAGCCAACCCTATTCCATCCCCAGGACCACCTGCTCAGGGGTGCCCTGATCCCAGCAACCAAGGACTCCAGAAGGTAGGTATAAGTTCCATGGGCTTTGCAGGGAGGGGCTGAGCAGTCCCACACAGGCACTCATTTGGAACCAAACAGAGGGCTGGGGACTGAACAGAGGCATTCTGACCCCACAGCAATGGGGAGCCATGGCGGGTCCTTGAGCAGAAGGGTAGGCTCTGGAATGTGTTTGAAGTTGATGCTGACAGCAGGTGTGGGGTGGACTGAGGGAAGATGGAGACCAGGGGTTGCCAGGGCAATGCCCAGGAGCAACGTAAGGAGGCCCCCAGGGTGCAAGGGAGGGCCAGGGGCAGGGCAGGAGGTGGGAGTCTTGGCCAGGAACATGCTGTAGGGCTAGGAACTACCCGGAAAAGGGTGAGTCTCAGGGGCTTGGACCCCCTCCCGGAGCAGAGGACTCCAGGGTCCCCAGCTGTGTGCCCTTCACTGTGAGGCAGTGTGAGTGCTGGCCCACTCACGACATGCCCAGACCTGCAGAATGGGAAAGGCCTTCCTGGTAACGGGGCCTCCAAGAGCAGGCAGGTGGCCTGTGAGCGGCATTTCCAAACATCAGACTTCGCAGGGCTGACTTGATGGCTACCAGCAAGCAAGTCCCACCATGGTTCCTGTGGGGCAGTCGGGGTGCTCAGGGAGGTGGGCTCCAGGCAGGGGACCTGGCCCAGCCTCACTGTGACCCCCGGAGGCCCAGCAAGGGGTGACTAGTGGGCACAGTGCCTTGGAGTGGGAGGAGGAGAAACCCTAAAATGAGGCCCACGCCCCACAGCCGAGTGGCTCCCTGGAGCCAGCCCTGGCCCCGTCGTGCCCCAAGAAGGCCTGGCTGGCCAGGGCCTAGGGCTCCTGTGGGGTTGCCAGCACCACAGGGTCAGTACAGGCTGTCATCAGGCAGTCCAGCCACCCTGAGGGCAGGTGCTGGGGAAGGACCCTGTCCCACTCCCTCCATCACCTGTGCTGGGGCCACTGGCAGTCATAGGAGAGCAGAGCAGGCCCAAGGTAGGCGCCAGACATGGCGCCCTTGCAGCCAGCGTGTCCACGCCCATCCTCAAGCCGAGCCTGGTCACCAGCAGTGAGAAGGGAGGGTAGGCCCACGGCCCTGGCTCCCCTAAAGTCCTGTTTCCACGGAACGATGGCCCAGCATCTACTCCTCCCCAGGACCCCCGCTAACTGGGAAGGGTCAGCCCCTGCCCTTTGCACTCTACCCCCAAGACATGCGGCCTCCTTGACCTCTCTATGCTCAAGCAAGTCTTGCCAGAACTAGGAAAATCTGCCCCAAGCTATGATCCCAGCTGGTGCAGATGGTCCCAGGCTGTGGTGGGCCCTGTTCTATTCCTCCCAACAACCCTGCAGTCCATCCCACAAATCGGGACAATGCGCTGGGACAGCTGACATTCCAGAGGTGTCCAGGGACGCACAGTGAATCCGTGTCCACTGGGGAGCGCCCACTAGGAGGGAGGAAGCCCAGGAGAGTGGGCGCTCGCAGGAAGCCCTCTGGCCTGGCCCGGTAGTCCTGGCGGGCTTCCAGGGGGAGGTGGAGCTGAGCCTCCTGCAGATGGGCGGAGCTGAGGGAGGCAGGCCTGGGGCAGTCGGGGTGAAGGCTCCAGGACTGCCAGGGCAGGAAACCACACAGGATGTTATGGAGAAGCAGGACGGCAGCAAGGGTGTACAGCTGGGCCTGGTCACTCTGCCAAGCCCCTAGCCCGGCGGCTGCCTCCCCGCAGTGGCCTGTTTTCTCCGCGGCCATGCCAGGAGACGTGCCGGGGGCTGACCGTAAGCTTCCCCCAGGAACTGCTGACACAAGCTCCTCCCACTGCATGCCTGTGTCTGGCTGGCCAAGCTCTGTCCCAGGACTTCCCTCCCACCAGGGCCCTGTTCCCATTCCCACCACAGGACCAAGGGGCCCTACTTAGCCTCCAGCCTCCCGGGCACCCCCTGGTCCTTACTGCAGCTGCGCTGGTGTCATTCTCCGTCCTGTGGGGTGAGCTCCAGCATGGCCGTGCGTGCTCTGCTGGGCAGTGCCAGGCCCGTCTCCACTGGCCTCAGACACGGCAAGGCTGGACCCCTACCCAGGGTCAGAGCTTAGGTGTGGGAAGGAGGGCGATGGAGCAGATAATGAGTCAATCAGACCTGGAGACGCTGGGGGCTGGTGAAGCACCAGGCAAGGAGTTTGGGGCTGCCCCTGGTACAGGAGCCGTATGGTCCTCACCCCACACCCCAGGGAGTCACCCAGCCAGGGCCAGGGGAGAGGCAGGTGACTGCCGTGTGCGGACTCTGCACTGGCTACTACACTGCCTGTGGGGCTGGAATGGGGGCTCCCAGAAAGGGGCTGGACTCCAGCCCCTGGAGGACAGGGTGTTAGGCAGCCAGCAGTGGGTGAACCCAAGGGCCAGGCCAGCACAGCACGGGGGCAGGGTGAGGGTCCCAGGTTGTGGCTCAGCCTGACGGGCCTTGCTGTGTAAGCTGCTCTCAGAGAGGGAGGTGGCTGGTCTCTTTCTTCCCTTGTGGAGATGCAGCCAGACAGGGGCCAGAGGCCCAATGAATTAATTATGGAGGGAAGGCAGCCCTGCTCTGAGCAGCGGGGCTCTGGATGAGGCGGTGGCTCCAGCTGCTGCAGGGCCCTGAAAGCACACTGCCCACCTCTGCCGGCCCCACCCAGCTGCAGGAGGCCCAGCCCCACCTGCCCTGGAAGCCTTCCAGGACTGTCAGGCAGGGGGATCTCCTGTAAGCGCCCACTCTCCTGGGCCTCTCCCCTCTGACAGGGCACTCCTGGGGCAGGTATCGCAGAGGGGGAGTTCCTGGGCCCTGGCCAGCTGCTCAGTGGGCAGCTGTGGGCCCTTCACTGGCTTCAGGTTCCTCTGAGCTGGTGCCCTCCCGCCTGCCTGTGGGTGGTGACACTGGGCTGGGACACATGAGTCCTCCCCACACTGGCCCCAGGGCACAATCAATACCCAGTGAGCCTTTCATTACCTGGCTGTTAATTATTCAGCGCTCACTGGGAAGGCCACATGCCACATCCGTGCCCTCACCCCGCCCCACCCCATGGGAACACAACAGAAAGTGCCTGGGAGTGGGCAGGGAGGAGACGCTAAGCACACAGTGAGGAGACCACCCCTGGAAGCCCCCAGACCACAGCAGAGAGAAAGAGAGAGACAGAAAGAAGTCTTCCCTGGTGGGTGAGAGCCCAGGCTGTTCTTCCAAGGGCAGGAGGGAGGGAGGCAGGGAAGGAGGAAGGAAGGGGGGCCTGACCACCCAGGCCAGCCCCGGGGGCCAGCTCCACTGGCATCACAGCACTTAATTTGCACACAGCGCAGGAGGTGAGGCCTGCCTGTCTGCTCCCTCCAGGCCCAAGGTCACAGTGAAGGGACGCAGGGGATCCAGGGCAGTTGGATGCCCCGCAGGTGGGGGATGAAGACTTGGCCAAGCCCCCTCAAGCGCCAAGCTCTTTTACTAGGCAGTGTCTAAAAGCCCCTTGTGAGTGTCCCACCAGCCACATCCATTCTGTATCCTCTAAGAAAGCAAAGCAAAGGAAAGAAAGAGGGGAGGGGAGGGCAGGGGCAGGTCCTGAGGGCTGCAGGCCCCCGGGTCCCAGGTGAGTTTGTGGGTCAGCTCTCAGAGGTGTGAACACAGCCTTGGTGGGGCACCCAGATGCAGACTCTGGCCTCAGACCAGCCCCCACCTTGTTTGCGTCCCCCAAGTCAAGTAGCCGTCCCCCTGGCATGGGCCATCCCATGGCAAAGGGGTTGCAGGGAGGAGGTGTCCCTGTGGCCTGTGTCGGGGGTACACGCCAGCACAGAGGCTGAGCAGCCCAAGCCACCAGCTCCAGATGCTACAGGTGGAGTTTGGATGTCGAAGCCCGAATCCCCAGTACACAGAACGTGATCTTATTTAGAAATAGGGTCACTGCAGATGTGATTAGAAAAATGAGGCCACCCTGCAGCAGGGCAGGCCCCTCATCGGACATGACAGTTGTCCTTATAAAAAGAAGGAATTTGGATACAAACACGTGCACAGGGCAAACACCGAGGGGGTGAGAGCAAGGGTCGGGGTGATGTTTCCACAAGCCGTGGACCCCAGAGACGGCCAGCAACCTCCAGAAACGAGGCAAGAGCTGTGGAACAAGTTCTCCCTCACAGCCCCGGAAGGACCCAGCCCTGTCAATGCCTGGATCCTGGACTTTCTGCCTTCAAAACATTGCGGGAAAAAATCTCTGTTGTTTAAGCCACCCACGATCTGGTACAGGCAAATCTCAGAGATATTGTGGGTTCCATTCCAGACCACTGCAATAAAGTGAGTTTTACAATACGGTGAGTCACATGAATTTTTTGGTTTCCCGGTACATATAAAAGTGACATTTTCACTGTACTGTAGTCTATTCAGTGTGCAATAGCATCGTCTAAAAAACAATGTACTTACCTTAATTAAAATACACTTCATTGCCAAACAATGCTAACGACCATCTGTGCCTTCAGTGAATCATCTTTTGCTGGTGAGGGTCTTGCCTCCATGTTGATGGCTGCTGTCTGATGGAGGTGGTGGGTGCTGAAGGCTGGGGTGGCTGTGGCAATTTCTTAGGACAACAGTGAAGCTGGCCTCATCAATAGACTTTTCCTTTCCTGAAAGATTTTGCTGTAGCGTGCGATTCTGTTGACAGCATTTTATCCACAGTAGTTCTTCTTTCAGCAGTGGAGTCAATTTTCCCAATCCTTGCCACTGCTCCATCAACTAAGTTTTGATGGAATATTCTAAATCCTTTGTTGTCATTTCAACAGTGTTCACTTTCTTTTCTCATCCGTAAAAAGCAACTCTTCATCCATTCGAGTTTCTTCATGAGACTGCAGCAATTCAGTCACATCCTCAGGCTCCACTTCTAATTCTAGTTCTCTTGCTATTTCCACCACATGTGCAGTTCCTGCTTCCCTGAAGTCTTGAACCCTCAAAGTCATCCATGCGAGTTGGAATCCATTTCTTCTAAATTCCTGTCAATGTTGATATCTCAACCTCCTCCCATTCTTCACGGCTTCTAGAATGGAGAATCCTTTCTGAAGATTTTCCATTGACTTTGCCTAGATCCATCAGAGAAATCACTGTCTATGGCAGTTACAGCCTTACAACATGTATTTCTTAAATAGTAAGACTTGAAAGTTGAAATGACTCCCTGATGCGTGGGCGGCCTGATGGATGTCGTGTGAGCAGCCATGAAAACAACGTTCGTCTCCTGCGAGTCTCCAGCAGAGCTCTTGGGTGACCAGGTCATGTCAATGAGCAGTCATATTTTGAAAGGAACCTTTTTTTTTTCTGAGCAGTAGGTATCAACGGTGAGCTTAAAATATTCAGCCAATCGTGCTGTAAACAGATGTGCTGTCATCCAGGCTTTGTTGTTCCATTTTCAGAACACAGACAGTCGACTTTGCGTAATTCTTAAGGGCCCTAGGATTTCAGGAATGGTAAATCAGCACTGGCTTCAACTTAAAGTCACCAGCTGCCTTCACTCCTAACAAGAGAGGCAGCCTGTCCTTTGAAGCTTTGAGGCCAGGCATCGACTTCTCCTCTCTAGCTATGAAAGTCCTAGATGGCATCTTCTTCCAATGGAAGGCTGTGTCTTCCACGTTGAAAATCTGTTGTTTAGTGTAGCCACCTTCGTCGATGATCCAAGCTGGATCTTCTGGATAACTCGCTGCAGCTTCTCCGTCAGCACTTGCCGCTTCACCCTGCACTTTCATGTTCTGGGGACACACATTAAGCCTCACGAACCGACCTCTGCCAGCTTCCAGCTTTTCTTCTGCAGCTTCCTCATCCCTGTCAGCCTTCACAGAACTGAGAATCAGGGCCTCGCTGGGGGTGAGGCTTTGGCTTAAGGGGAGTGTGATGGCTGCTTGGATCTATCCAGACCACTCGAGCTGTCTCCACATCAGCATTTTTAAAATTTTTAAAATTTCCTTATAGAACTTTTCCTTGGCATTCACAACTTGGCCAACCGGCACCAGATGCCCAGCTCCCAGCTTTCGGCCTGCATGGGGTCTCCACCTGCCTTCCTCACAGAGGTGAATCACTTCTAGCTTTTGATTTAAAGTGAGAGATGTGGCATGGTTCATGGTTTCCCCAGTTACACTAGTAACATCGAAGATCACTGACCACAGATCACCATAACATACAGTAATGATGCAAAAGCGTGCGATGTTGTGAGAATTACCAAAGTGTGACACAGAGATGTGACATGAGCAACGTGCTGTTAGAACAACAGCTCTGATTGACTTGTTCAACACAGGGCTGCCACAAACCCTCAATTTGTTAAAAAAAAAGTACAGTATCTGCAACGTGCAATAAAGTGAAGAGGAATAAAACAAGGTGTGCCTACACCTGGGTACGGCAGCCTAGGACACTAATGCCACAGACGTGGGAACTGAATGGTGGGGTTTCGAGTAGTGTTTTCTGGGATTTGTACCACCAACCCATCCCTTTCTGATTATACAAGGCTTCAGTGACAGATGGGGAAACTGAGGCATTGAGATTGGAAGAGATTCACCCACAACACCCACAAATCCATGGTGGGGCTGAGCCAGAGTCCCTAGCTCCCCTACCCCTGCCCATTCCCTATTCCGGGCCCTGTCCTTCCTTCCAGCTGCAACACAAAGGTGGTGTCCACCTTATTGATGGAGGGGCTGAGTCCCAGAGTCACCTGGTGCCTGCACAGAGGGAGACGGAGCTGGACCCCTGCCGGGGGTGGAGGCCCTGGACAACGGGCACAAGTGAGGCTCCAGACAGCATGGGAGACAGCCCAGTGGATGGTGGGTCAGGGAGGCTTCCTGGGGGAGGGTGCTCCAAGGGGCTGGAGGATGGACATGGTTTAGCAAACCTCGCTGGGGCAGAGACAGGAAGGACACGGGTGAGTTGGGAGCTGAGCAGGCAGGCACTGGGCATGGGGCAGCAGCTGGAGACGGAGGGCTCAGGGCTCACTGGCACCAGGATGCCTCAGCTGGAGAGGAACAGCCAGCAGGATGGTAGGCCAGGAGGACAGCAGGACAGCAGTGGCCACACCACGTGGCCCACCGTCTGCTGGATGCCTGGGTGGTACACAGGCTTCCACTCCGCGGTGAATGCCCAAGGCCCTTTTATTCATGTTCGTAATTACAGAATGCAGGGCGCATTATCCACAATTTGCTTCACATGAAAAAGCAGGACCATTTGCTGAAGCCCTTCCCCGTGAAGCTCAGCACGCTGCTATCAATGAACCCGGAATCCTCTCCCGGCTGGCAAATGGAATCTTTTCTGCTCCTGACAAAGAGGAATGTCCTCAAGGTGAATCTTTTCATTCCTGCTCCTTTCAGCCAGCAATTTTGGTGGCTGACAGATTCTTCTGTGAGAAATGGCGATTTGATAAAATGCAAAGTGGATGCTATCGAGCTCACGGGCTTTTCAGAGGAGTTGGGAGCCATGGCCCTGGGCTCCTTTCCGCCCTCCATCCGCCTCCTCTTGCTCCTCCAAGCCCAGCCTGTGCATCCTGGAAAGCCAGGAGCAGGACTCCAGCCCCAGCCGCCACAGCAGGCAGCAGCTGACCACTTCGAAGCTACCCGCCCCGACCCCACGAGGCCACACAGCCTCCCTCACCGGCTGGGCCTGGCTGAGACCCCGGACTTGGAGCAGGAGCAGACCTCAGCCAGTGCCCAGGAACTGCTAGGTGAGGCCTGCACTGGGCAGCAACACCCCCTCACGAGGCACAGGAGCAGGACCTGGGCCTGGGCAGGGCTGGGGGGCAGACACCTCTGTCCACAGCACATACGGCTTCTCCCGGCCACCCCGGGGTCCGTCGGAGAACCTGGGATCACGCAGGGCCCAGAACACGGCCAGCCAAGCCTCCTCCGAGCCCTCCTGGGAGTGCCCCCACCCTTACACCGGGCACGAGGCGACCAGAGTTTCAGGCCAGGGCTATGGAATGCTGTGGAGTCAGGCGAGTCTTGGGAGCAGGGATGAACACAAGCCTTCCAACCATGTGGCTTTGGGCAAGTGATCTCTCAGAACTTCTGTTTTCTCCTCCATAAAACTTGCATGGGTTTATCTGCCGCTCCCAGCCAACCACATGGCCAGCTCTGTGCTCCAGAAGCATCTGAAAACAGCAGTGGGATGAGGGAATGAAAGAGCAAATGAGTGAATGACGGGGAGCAGCCATGGTGAGGGATGAGAGCCTGGCCTGCCCTTCCCCCACTGACCCCAGGACAGGATGGAACTAGCCGTGGAAGGTGGATTTGGGAAGACCCAGCTGTAGGGGCCTGGCAAGGGCTCTTCCGGCAGTATCCGCACGGGTGAGGGAGTGTGGATGGTTGTCATTCAGGAATTACTCAGACTGCAGGGTGAGGGATCACAGGCAGCTCTGGGACCCTTCCACAGAGGTGGTGCCTAATCACTGGGCTGAGGCTGTGATTTGCCTGCCTGCAGGGGAGCCCTGCCTGCTCCGACTTAAGACTCTGCCTCAGCACTAACTTTTAACGAGGGGGTGCCCCAGAGGGCCCCACCCACCCCAGAGTCAGAGGCCCGGCCGCAGCTCTGTCTCAGCACATTACAGGGAACCCAGGAGTTCTGATCCTGATTCCAGGCCAGCCGCCCCAGCACTGTCCCCCACGAGAGTCCTCAGGGGACAGCTCAGCCCAGCCACTCCGGCCCTCCCCACTCTGGACCCTGAGGGTCACCTCCCTGCAAATGAGGCTTTCCCAGGCAGCAGGCCCCTTGCTTTCCGGGGCCCAGTGGCAGCTGCAGAGCAGGGCAGGCTCAGGCTGGTCTGGAAGCCCCTGCCCCTCACCTGCTGGAAGGCTGCTCTCCTCCAGAGCAGATCTGGTCCTTCCAGAAGCCTCCTCCTCCCCACCCAGCAGGGCTCTGCAGGCCTCCCCCTGCCTCAGGCTTCCCTCACTCCGCGCCACACTCCACTGTGCCACCCCCTTCAAGCCTGGCCCTGCTCGAGGCTGCAGCCGAATGCACCTCCTGGAGGGGCGCTGCTGATGCCCCTATTCCCCTCTTGTTCCTCGAGCCCTCTGCTTCCCTCTGCAGCAGCGTCTGCTGCTGGATGTGTGGTGTGTGGTGCATGGTGTACGTGCTGTGTGTACTTCCCATCCAGCTCGGGCACCGCTGTGGGGATCCAGGCCAAGGATGACCTGTCCAGTCTCCCACATGTGGCTCCAGCAAGTCCGTGTTTGAGGAAGAAAGGCCTGAGAATTCCAGTCTCCAAAGCAGGGAACCCTGGGCTCGGGGCTGGGGCTCAAGATCACTCACTTCTGGGGCATGAGGCTGATCCCAGAGCTTCATGGAGCTAAGCAGCCTCCACAGTGGGTCAAAGTGGCAGTGGGGGCAGGGAGAGGAGCCAGGGACGTGTCTCATCCCCCCCAAGGGCCTAGAGAAGAGCCCAGGGGCCTGGAGTAGATGAAGCCTTACCAGGTTTGCCCAGGCCCTGGGGGAGGAGGGGCTGTGGCTGACCAGCCAGGACACCTGCCTGATGTCTGGGCCTCTGGTGGCTGATGAGTACATCAGTGCATTTCACACTGAACTCCTAGCAAGGTGCGTCCACACAGGGAGAGTCCTCAGGCAGCTGGAACCATGCACCTGTGGGAGTTGAGAAAGCATTCACCCACTCACTTACTCACCCACTCACTCATTCACCCACTCACTCACCCACTCACTCACCCACTCGCCCACTCACTCATTCACCCACTCACTCATTTACCCACCCACTCACCCATTCACTTATTCACCCATTCACCTATTCACCCATTCACACATTCACTCCTTCACTCATTCACCCATTCACCCATTCACTGATTCACTCCTTCACTCATTTACCTGTTCACCCATTCACTCATTCACCCACTCACTCACTCACTATCTCACCCATTCACCATCTCACCCATTCACCCATTCACCCTTTCTCCTGCTCACCCATTCACCCATTCACCACTTACCCATTCAACAGTTCACCGGTTCACCCATTCACCCACTCATTCATTCAGCCACTCACCCATTCACCCACTCCCCCATGCACCCATTTATCCCCTCACCCATTCACTCCATCAATTCTTTGCACATTCACCCACTCGCTTACTTACCCACTCACGCATTCCGACATTCCCACAGCAGGCATGTACTGAGTGCTCATGGCATGGTGTGGGCACCTGGGCTGTTCAAGTGCACAAGGAGGAAGCTTCCCATTTCCAAGGCAGCTGGGTGCGGGAGAAAGGGGGAAGAATGAACCCAGGATCAGAGAGATGGGGCATCCTTCAAGACAGTGGGATGGGCATTGGCCCAGAGGAATCAACCCCAAAGGTGTATCAAGGCCCTGCAGACCGGAGCTCCTGTCTGTTCCCTGTGCAGAGGAAAGCCGGGCAACCACCTGCCTCCCTCCACGTCAGAGGGAAATGTCTTCATTAAATATTGATTGGTTTGCACAAGCCTTGGGTTGTCTGGAGGGAAGGATAGAGAGACTTTTGCATGTAAATTACATTTTTTTTCAGCCCTTCTTTAATCCTTTCCTGCCTAGGCACCTTGACACCTGTTTTGATTCCCCACAACACCAGCAGGAGGTCCCTGTGGGCTCAGGGCAGCCCCCGGGACTTGGGACTGGAAGCATCCAGCATCTCTTCTCTGCCATGGCCTTGAAGGTCTTCCAGGTCCGCTCTGCCTCTCTCCACACTGGGCACTGCCTGCTCCCTCTTCTGCTGGATTGGAGATGCAAGGATGCCAGCACCCCCATCCCCTGGCCCAGGCCAGGGCAGTTGATCTCTGCAGACACAGACTCTAACCACTCCTCAGCCAGGCCTTGGCACCAAGTCTTCTAGGAAAGAGCTCACCTCTGGGACCACCAAGAGCTTCCATCTTGACTTTTAAATGTTATAATCCTGCCTTGCTGAGCAAGCTAAGACCCACAGAGGCACCTTCCAATTGGGTTCCAGCACTTGGGATCTGTGTCCTGGGGGACGGTGGGCTGGGGGGAGGGGAGAACAGCTGGCACCACGAGCCTAGGTTTCCACATTTGTAAATGGCAGGATTATTGTAGCTTCCCTTAAAATTGTGACCAGGATGAAATAAAGCCATGTGTGGCTAGCACAGTGCTGGGCAGATGACTGGTCAAGAAGCAGCATTTTCCCGACTGTGTGTGGAGAGAGGGAAGGATAATAAATGAGTGAGTGAGTGACAGATGAGTGGGTGAGGAGTGGATGAGCACGTGAATAAATGAACGAATGAACGAACGGCCCAGTGGTCCTGCATGGCCTTGGCTTTCCTGCAGAGGCTAATGAGACTCCTTCATTCAGGAGCCCTGGCCTCCAGGAGCAGCTCTGGCTCTCTTTGGCTGTCCCTGGGATGCTGGCTCCGGGTCGCTGCAGGTCCAGCCTCCTGTCCGGCTCCTGAGCTCCCTCCGTGCTCCTGGTTCTGCAAGTCACTCTGCTCCCTCTTGAAGGTCTGAACCTATCACAGGCCTGTATGTCCCTGGATGCCCTGCTGTGCTTGGGGCCCCTTCCCTTCCTACCCCTCTGGCCTTTTTGACACCCTCACTGATACCAGGGGGGCTCCCAAAGCTGCTTCCAGGGATGATGCCTCCTTCTCACTCAGTGACGTGGACCCTCAGTAACCCGGGAAGTAGGCAGTACCTGCCCCGCCACCACTGTGCAGTGCATGGGGGCTCAGGGCAGTCACAGCTGGGAGGCTTGCTAGCACCTCCCAGCCATCTGTCCATTGTCCATCCACTCCTGCCTCCACTGCCTAAACTCAGCCTGGACTCCCCCTGTGATTGGATTTGACTGACTTCTGGAGTCCTTTGCAGGACTTTGGTTTGTTTGTTTGTTTGATCTGCAGTATCTAGCTGAGATTGCCTTGGAATGCTACAGGTTCTGGTCTATTCAACAGGCACAGTGAGATTGGAGTAAAACGAGTTCACACCCACTCTGTCAAGATGTTAATTCTGCAGCTCCCACGGGCAGGTAGTGAGGGAGGCCCGGGCCCTCTTGTTCCTGCAAGGGACTAACAATAGCCAGACACGCTGACCATCATCCCTCACCTCTGTTCTGTGTCTGTTCTGAGAGCCTTGGCCTGTTCTCACTTCCTTCCACCTTGTTTCCACCACACCTGCCCCTGTCTACAGCAGAGGCCCTTGCAATCCTGCCAGGGCTCCCAAAGCAAGGCCAGGACATGGATCTGAGTAGAATGCTGTATGTGCACACATGTACGTACACATGCGCAGACTCACGTGCCTACATGCACACGCATGCATGTGCTCACACCAACTCTGGCTGACTGGGTCACCAGATGGTCCTCTCCGGGTCAGTCCAGTTCCCTTCCTTTTGTGGTAAAACTTTGGAGGAAATCTTAAATAAGGTTTTGGGGAGCAAGAGCTTTGCAACTTCTTATGTGTGAGCTCGGCTGAGCCCTCCCACCCTGGGCTTCATTTTTCCCAGATGAAAAACGGAGGACTTGGACCCAATGACCTCTTCTATATCTTCCAAGTCAAACTTGCCAGGAGCCTGGGACTGCTGGGTTATCTTGGGCTTCAGCATCAGGTTCTGTGGGTAACAGGTGAGTGATAAGTGTCACTTCTAAAAGCAGTTCAGATGACACAGTGGGAGGAATAGAACTGTGCAGGATGACCTCTGGGAGCAGGACTTAGAAGGCTGTAAGTGACAAAAGAGGCCATTCCCTCTGTGCTCCCTCAAACCTACCACCCGCCCACCTATCCATCCATTCTTTCATTCACTCATTCAGGTGCCAGGCACCAGGCATGAAGGAGGTGAGGAACACACAGACTTGCCTTCGGGAGCCAACCCCAGAATATGGCAGCTCCGCTTTTGGCTATTAAGCTTTCTGTTAATAGTCCTAAGAAACTCTAAATAAACAACACAAGCCTCCATTTCCCAATTTCTTAGCTTTAGACAGAAAAAAATATCACTCCTCACTATGGAAGTTGAAAAAGATGAATACCCCCAGCATCCACTGACCGCTCAGCTCCTGAGGCCCATGAGCGGTCCTTCTGCTCTACACGGACAAGGTTTACGGTGTCCAGTTCTGTTTCGTAGTTACAATGAAGTCTTTCATGCTTTGTCTCTTTGCTGAGTTTTAAAATGGAAAACAAATAAATAGCATTCCACTAAAATGCAAATATTATACAGGGCAGACTTCTGCTTCTGCTTCTGGCCATGCTAGAGTAGCAGAGACTGGATTTACCCTCCCATTTGAAACAACTAAGACACCAAGTAAAATGTATAAAATAATGATGTTGATATGTTGAAAATCAGGCAGTGCAGGAGAGTGACTCCTGAGAGAGGAAGTGAAAGAGATGATGCCTGTGATGGTCAGCTTATTGCCTGGAGAGTATTTAGGGCTCAGCCCAGAGCCAGTGGTTACCTGAGTTGAGGAAGCAGAGTTGAGTGTTCAGAGCGTAAGGCATCTAGAATCCTGGAGCAGAGGATCTGGGTGGAGAAAATGCATAGAAAGGAGAGAGCTGCACAGAGAAAGAGCTCCAGATTCTGCACCAATTTCCCTGACAGCCTTCCTGGTCAGTACATGTATATGTAGAAGGCATCAAGACCAGGGAAAGATCCACCAGAAAGGAACAGGGAGGAAAATCTCTGCAGTTGACACAGGGCTAGGAGTAGCTCACGTTTCCACCAGCCAGAATGGCAAAATCTCATAGTACACAAAACACGGTTAGAGTACTTGGCAGGGCATGTCTCAGATGGGGCATAATTAGCTCTCCTCTAAAGGCTGCTGTGGTCCCAACTATCAAAACTGACGTACAAGCCTCAAAAAAGAATAGTCAAAATAGTAAAACTAACAGTGCCCCATAACAAAGTCCAAGCATGTTTACAGGAGTAAAAAAAATACCCAGCAACCAACAACATAAAAATCACAATGTCTGGCATCCTGTCAAGGTCACCAGACATGCATACAAAGAAACAGGAAAATACCAGTCAAATGAGAAGAAAAAATCCATCCATAGAAACAGACTGAGAAACAACACGTGATCAAATTAGTAGAGAAAGAAATTAAAACAACTATTTTAAGTATGTTCCATGTGTTAAAGAAGATAGAGGAAGGCATGAGCAGGTTAAGGAGAAACATGGAGGATGTAAAAAAAGATTGATACAAAACTTCAGCTGATGAGAATGGCAATTCTTGTGATGGGAAAAGCACTGAGTGGGATTAACAGGATATTTGACACTGGCAGAAAAGATCTGTGAACTTAAAAACATAGCAATAGAAACTTTCCACAATAAAACACAGACAGAAAAAGTGACCTGCAGGAGAACCACAAATGGATTAATGTATGTATAATTGGAGTCCTGAAGGAGAAGTAGGGGATGTAAAATATTTGGAAAAGTAATGGCTGAAATTTTTTCAAGATGCTAAATAAACCCCAGGTAGAGGTAAACCATGAAGAAACGCCAACAAGGCACACCACAATCAAGTTATTCAAAACCAGTAATCAAGGGAAAACCTTAAAAGCAAAGAAAAAAAGACATATACACAGAACAACTGTAAGAATGATACCAATTTCTTATCAGAAACAATGAAATCCAGAAGATAGTGGAGAAACACCTTTAAAATACAAAGGGGAAAAGCAAATTGTCACTCTAGAATTCTATACCCAGAAAAAAAAAACTTAAAAACCACAGCAAGATGAAGACTTTTTGAGACATAAGAGAGGTAAGAGAATTCATTGCTGTCAGACCTGACTTATAAGAAATGTTAAATAAAGTCCTTTATGCAGAAGAAAAATAATAGCAAATGGAAATCTAGATTTGTTCAAATGAATGAAGAGCACTAGGAGCGGTAAACTTGTGGGTTTAATCATGAATGCACATAAAATATAGTCAAGTTCTTTAACACATAAATAATTGACTAAAGGAAATGTGATAACAACATTGTGGGGCTTATCACATGTATAGAAAGAAAATGTATAATTCAAGAACACAGACCCTGGGACAAGGGAACTAGATTATTACTGTTATAGGAATTTTATGCTACACATGAAGTGGTGTAATATTACTTATAGGTAGAACATAAGCTAAAGATGTATCCTATAAAACCTAAAGCACCCACACACAAAAATGATGTATAGCCAATGAGCCCACAAAGAAGATAAAACTAAATCATAATAAATACTCAGTTAATCCAAAAGAAGTTGGAAAAAGAGGAAAGAAAAAAAAGCAGATGAGGGAAAAAAAGCAAGTAGAAAACAACAAAGTGGAAGATTTAAACCCATCACATCGATAATCACATTAAAACTAAATACTATACTTGAAAGGCAAAGATTGTCTTATTGGGACAAAAAGGCAAAAGCAACTATATGCTAACTACCAGAAACCCACTTTAACTGTAAAACTATAAACAGATTAAGTGTAAAAGGCTAGGAAAAAATGCACCATGCTAATACTGATCAAAAGAAAGCTGGAATGACTATATTAATCACAATATAAGTAAATTTCCTGGCAAATAATATCAGTGATAGGTAATTTCATAACAGAGGGTCAATGTATCAAGAGGGCATAATAATCCTAAATTGTATCCACATAATAACATATATTCAAAATACATGGAGCAAAAACTGATCACCCTGCAAGTAGAAATAAATAAATTGAGAATTAGAGGTGTCAACTCCCTATTCTCAGTAATTATTAGAAAAATGTAGATAGAAAATGGGCAAAAAAAAAGGAGGCTTGAACAACACCATCAATCACCTTGACCTAACAGACATTTATAGAGTCCTCCACCCAATAACAGCAGAATACACAATCTTTTCAAGGACACACAGAACATTTACCAAGATTGACCATATTCTAGGCCATAAAACAAGTCTCAACAAATGGACTAGATTCATATCAAATTCTCAGCCAAAATGGAATTAAATTAGAAATCAACAACAGAAAGATATCTAGAAATTCAAAATATTTGGCAACTGAACAGCACACACCTCTAAATAACCCATGACTTGATGTGTTAGTCCTTTCTCACGCTGCTATGAAGAAATACCCGTGACTGGGTAATTTATAAAGAGAAGAGGTTTAATTGACTCACAGTTTTGTACGGTTGGGGAGGCCTCAGGAAACTTACAGTCACGGTGGAAGACACCTCTTCACAGGGCGGCAGGAGAGAGAATGAGTGTCAGCAGGAGAAATGCCAGATCCTTGTAAAACCATCAGATTGCGGAAACTTCCGAGCTCTACTCTGCGTCTGCAGCCGCCGCCGTCCTGCAGAGGAGCACGCAACCCAGGCGAGGCCGGAGGACGTGTCCATAGAATGCCCAGGGGTGACGAGCTGTCCTGAGCCCCTCTGCTGCAGCCACCTGCCTGTCCCATACACCCTGCCCACCACGGAGTCCAGAGGGAAATCGGCCAGCAGCCCCAAGCCCGACACCAAGGTGACCCAGGCCACCACCGAGGCCAAGGTACCCCCGGCAGCCGATGGGAAATCCCCCTTGACCGAGCCCTGGAAGAAGGAAGCCCCGGCAGAGAAGCAGCAGCCACTGGCAGCCCCCACCATGGCGCCTGCCAAGAAGACCCCGGCCAAGGCAAACCCCGTCCTTCTCAACAACCACGGCAACCTGAAGCCAGCCCCCACAGCCCCCATGGTGCCCAGCAGTCCTGATGCAACCCCGGAGCCCAAGGGTCCTGGGGACGGGGCAGAGGAGGACGAGGCTGCCAGCGGGGGCCTAGGGGTCGAGGTCCCTGTTCCTGCGAGAACTTGAACCCCCTGCTGGTGGCTGGAGATGTGGCTGTGGCAGCCATAGCCCTGATTCTCGGTGGGGCCTTCCTGGCCCAGAAAAAATAATACCTTCGGGCCAGGCGGGGGTCACAGAGCCACTTCCTGTGCAGATCTCAGGAAGCCAGCGCATGCAGAATTCACCCTTATCTACGTGTACACACGCACATTCATTACACATCTACATATGCCCCCAACACACGCACACAGTGGAGAAGATGCTCGAGCCCACCCTTGCTGATCCAGGACTTCCCCAACCTCCAGGGCAGAAGGAACCTAGGCTCCGGGGCCCACAGCGCCGGACTGGGGGAGAGGGTCTAGCTGGGGGACTGCAAGAAAGGAATGGACCCTGTGTGTGGCCCTCCAACGGCTGGGTGATCCTGGGCCCCCAGGGCTGGTCTCTGAGTGTAGGTGGGGGTGCTGGGATGGGTTCTGCCTGGGCCCAGCCCTCTTGGGGAGATTAAAGGGCGGACATTAATTGTTGAAAAAATAAAACACACCAAAAAAACGTCAGATTGCATGAGACTCACTTATTATCAAAAGAACACCATGGGGGGAACCACCCCCATAATTAAATTACCTCCACCTGGTCCCACCCTTGACACCTGGAGACTATGGAAACTGCAATTCAAGGCGAGATTTGGGTGGGGACACAGAGCCAAACCATATCTCTCAAATAAGAAATCAAAAGAGAAATTGGAAAGTTATTTGAGCTGAAAATGAAAACACAACATACCAAAATCAGGGAGATGCAGCTAATGTATGCTTGGAGGCAAATTTAAGCACTAAGAACCTATGTTATAACAAAAAAGAAAGGTCTCAAATCAGTGACTTACATTTTCACTTAAGAAACTGAAAAGAGAAGAGCAGATTAGACACAATGTAAGCTGAAAAAGAAAATAATAAAAAGAACGGAAATCAATGAAAGAGAAAAGTAAAAATTATAAGAAAAATCCAAGAAAGTAAAAGCTAATCATTTTAAACAATCAATTAAATTGTTAAACTTCTAGTCAGTTGATAAAGAAAAAGGTAAAAAGGCACAAATTACCAATATCAGGAATGAAAGGGTGGGTGTCACCAAATATTCTGCAGTCATTATAAGGAAACAATGGACTATTGTGAGCCACTTTTTTCTAATAAATTTGATAACTTAGATGAAATAAGCTAATTCCTTAGAAGCCATAAATTATCAAAGTTCACTCAAGAAGAAATAGATAACATGAATATCTATTAACTAAATCAAGTTTTTAATTAAAATCCCAATGACAAAGCAAACTATAGGCCCAGGTGGTTTTCATGGTGAAGTCTAACAATATTTGAGGAAAAAATAACAATTCTACACAAATCCTTCCAGACAATAGAAAATGAAGAGGTACTTTTTTTATTCGATGAAGAGAATGTTACTTTCCTACTAAATCAAACAGATATAAGAAACGACAACAGAGACCAATATCCCTCATGAACAATGATGAAAATATTCTTACCAAAATTTTAGCAAATCTAGTTTATCTAAATCATGACAAAGTGTAGTTTACCTCAGGAAGACAAAGTTGATTTAACATTCAAAAATCAATAAATGAACTTTATCTTATTAGCGGACTAAAAAGAAAAATGCGCATGATCATCTCAATAGAAAAAGCACTTAATAAAACCCAACATTGAGTCATGATTAAAAACCCTCAGAAAACCACGGATAAAAATGAAAAGTCCTCATAGAATAAAGGCCGTCTACACAAACAGCAACAACAACAACAAAAATCTATATCTTCCTAAAATTGAGAACAAGGTAAAGATATCTACTCTCACCACTTTTATTAAACATTGTACTGGAGGTTCTATCTCATGAAATAAGGCAAGGAAAATAAATAAATCATCTAGATTGGAAAGAGTAACACTTTCCTTATCATCTGTGTAGATCAGCCCATGGAATCCATGAAATAAAAGCCACTAGAACTAGTAAGTGAGTTAGCAAAGTGGCAGAGTTCTAGATTAATATACATAAACTAATGGTATTTTTACATATAACAATCAGAAATTGAAATTTTAAAAATGTTATCATTTCCAATACCATTAACAAATATAAAATTGTTAGCCATAAACCAATAAAACATGTGTAAGACTTGTACATTTTAAACTACAAAACATTGCTGAGAGAAATTAAAGAAGACCTAACTAAATGGAACATGTACCATGTTCATGGATAGGAAGACTTGAAGTTGTTAAGCTATCAATTCTCCCAAGTTGAGTTATAGATCAATGGAATCTCAATCAAAATTCCAGAAGGATTTTTAAAATGAAAATCAATTATTGAACTTCACATTTTATATGGAAAATAAATGAAGGACCTAGAAAATAACTTTGCAAAAGAAGAACAAAGTTGGAGGACTTATTTATCTGATTTGAAGGCTAAATATAAAGCTATATTAAAACAATATAGACAAATAGATCAATGAAACACATAGAGTTTCCAGAAATAGGCTCACATATATATGGCCAATGGATTTTTGACAAAAGTACAAAGACAATTCGATGGAGAAAGTATAGTCTTTTCAACAAATGATGCTGAATCCCCAAAAAAGTGAACTTTGATTCATACCTCACAGCATATACAAACTTTAATTCAAATGAATCATAGACCTTAAACTATAAAATTTTTAAAAGAGAGCAGAAATCTTTGTGACTTCGGATACAACATCAAAAGCATAATTCACAAAAGAACAAATTGATAATATGCATTTCATCAAAATTAAAAACTTCCACTCTTCAAAATACACTGCTAAGAGAATGAAAAGACATAGATCAAGAGAATGTATTTTTAAATCACATATCTGTAAAGGACTTCTATGCAGAATGTATAAAACTCTCAAACCTCAATAATAAAATTCAAACATCCAATAAAAAGGGGAACAAAAGATTTGAAAAGACACTTCACCAACAGAAATATTGATGGCAAGTAAGATCATGAAAAGATGCTTCATATCATTATTCAATAAAGAGATGCAAATTGAAACCACAAGGTGACACCACTACACACCTGCCAGAATGTGTAAAATTAAACAGACTGGCAAACCAAGTGATGGCAAGGATGTAGAGAAATTAGAAACCTCCTACACTGCTGGTGGGAAGGTAAAAATGGCACAACCACTTTGGAAAACAGTTTGGCAGTTTACTAAACAGCTAAATACACCTGCCATATGATCCAGCCATTCTACTCATAGAGAAATAAAAGCATATGTCTATATAAAGGTTTGTATGCAAATGTTTATAACAGCTTTATTTGTAATAACCAAAAGCTGGAACCAATCCAAATGTTCATCAACTCGTGAATGCGTTAACAAATTGCGTGTATTCATAAAATTGAAGACTCTTCAGCCATAGAAAGAAATGGGTTGTTGATACTGCCAAAAACATGGATGAATCTTAAAATAATTTTGCTGAAGGAAAGAAGCCAGACCCCACAAAAGTATGAGGACATACACTATGCTTCCAGGTACATAAAATTATAGAAAATGCAAACTAACCTATGATAACTGAAAGTAGGTCAGTGGTTGCCTGGGGACAGGCTGAGGGTGGAGAATTGCAGGGAAGGATTACAAAGGGCACAAGGAGAGACTGGGGTGATGGATATGTTTATTATCTTAACTGTAGTGATGGTTTCACAAGCATAAACATACATCAAATGCATCAAATTTTGCACTTTCAATATGTGCGGTTTATTGTATGTCAATCATCCCTCATAACACTGTTTTAAAAAGAAATATTAAAATTAAATTGTAAATTATCAAAGAAAAAGATAACCACTGAAAGCACTTTTTAAAAACGTATAACTATAAAGACACTCGGATTAGACTGAGAGCAAACTTCACGATTGCAACAATCACGACCACACACAATGGAACAATATATTCTAAGTGCTAATGAAAATAATCATCAATATGGAATCTATATCCTGCTGAACAGTGTTCAAGAGATAGTATAAAATGACTGCATTTAAAAATTACTTATTTTTAAAAATTCACACATAATACTGTATGTATTTATGGGGTATGTAGTGATGTTTCTGTACATACAATGTATAGTCATCAGATCAGGGTAATTAGTGTATCTGTCATCTAAAATACTGATCGTTTTTTGTGTTGGGAACATTCAACACCCTCTCTTTTAGCTATTTGAAAATATATATTGCTGACTATAGTCATCCCACAGTATATAAAATATTAGAACTTATTCCTCCTGTCAATTTTGTGTCCTTTAACAAATTTCCCTATATCTCCCTTCCCTTTCCAGTCTCCAATAATTGAACCTAGGAAGATGGAATAAGATACATGAAGCTTGGATGAGCAAAGAAAATGCAAGATAATACAGGCAAATCTAAAAGAGCACTGAGTGTGTAAAATAATAATACTGACAACTACTAATGTAGGTAAAAAATATTACTGTTTATGAGATCAACTTTTTAGCTTCTACGTATGAGTGAGAACATGTTTAACTTTCTGTTCCTGGCTCATTTCATTTAACACTATGTCCTCTAGGCTCATCCATGTTGCCATGGAGGACAAGACTTCATTTTTTACTGCTGAATAGTATTTCTGTGTGCGTGTGTGTGTGTGTGTGTGTGTGTGTGTGTGTGTGAAATCACATTTTCTTTAGCCATTCATCTGTTGATGGACACTTGGGTTGACTCCATAGCTTGGCTATTGTGAATAGTGCTGCAACAAACAGGGAGTGCGGACAACTCTTGGATGTACTGATTTCCTTTCCTTTGGCTATTTACCCAGCAGTGGGACTGCTAGATCATATGCTAGTTCTATTTTTGTTTTTTTGAGGAAACTCTATACTGTTCTGTATCGTGACTGTACCCACCAATAGTGAGTAAGAATTTCCTTTTCTCCAGCTCCACACCAGTTGTTATTTTTTGTATTTTGACAGTAGCCATTCCAGCTGGGGTGAGATGATACCTCACTGTGGTTTTCATTTGCGTTTATCTGATGATTAGTGATATTGAACTTTTTCCATATATTTGTTAGCCATTTGCAGGTCCTTTGGAGAACTATCTGTTCAAATCATTTGCCCACTTTAATTGTTTTTTTTCTTCTTTTGCTGTTGAGATGTTTGAATTCTTCGTATATTCTAGATATGAATCCCTTGTTGGATGAATAGTTGGCAAATATCTCTCACCCTATGCAAAATTAACTCAAAATGGATCAAAGACTTGAATGTAAAACCTGAAGCTATAAAAACTACTAGAAGAAAACACAGGGAAAATGCTTTACAACATTGGTCTCAGGAAATATTTTACGAATAAGACCTCAAAGCACAGGCAACAAAAGCAAAGATAAACAAATGGGATTATATAAAACTAAAAAGCTTCAGCACACCAAAGGAAACAATCAACAGAGTGAAAAGAGAACTGACAGAATGGATGAAATGAAGACTTTTAGAACCAAAACATCCGAGAGATTGTCCCACTGAAGACCTACACACAACACCACACTAAGAGGTATACTTTGACCAAAAGTAAATTGAACCTGAGAAGATGGAATAAGATACATGAAGCTTGGACAAGCAAAGAAAATGCAAGATAATACAGGCAAATCTAAAGGAGCACTGAGTGTGTAAAATAATAATACTGATAACTACTAATGCAGGTAAAAAATACTACTGAACTAAAACCTTATAGAAGATAAACACTAACTTATGATTTAAGGGGAACAACAACCTCCTAACCTAAGAATAAAAAAGAATTTCCTTATCCTGATAAAGATGATTAAACCCTATAGAAAGTATTACCTTTAATTGTAAAATTCAGCACTGCTCTAAAATCAGCTCCATTTTTATGCCTCATTGGGCTACAGAGTCTGGAAGCACATTGTGAGAAGAAAAAAAATCGTTATAGGGTCTAGGAAGGAAAAAAACTAAGCTATTACTATGTGCAGAACATTTCTGAAGAGGAAATTCAAGATAATCTAGACAGCTATTAGAATTAACTAGAGAGTTCAATGAATTGCAGGATATAAATTCAGCATAAAAATTACTAGCAAAAATTAGATAAGTAATATAAGATTCCATTAACAGTGAAAAAACCCACAAGGTTTCCAGAGATACATGTAATGATGTGCAAGACCTTCCTGTTAGGAGGAAATGGGTAAACTTTGTTGGAAGGCATGAAAGAGGACCTAAGTGAATGGAGAAATATACCATATTCATGAATGGGGAGACTCCGTCATGATGAAAACTATCATTACATTGATCTAAAGATTAAATGTATTTCCAAAATATTTTTCCAAAATTAGTTTCTCATGCTGATTTACAAAATTAATATACAAGAGCAATGAGCCAGAAATAGCCAAGACATACCTAAATATAAAGGTGAGAGAGATAACGGATATCACAACTTATTTTATAGAGCCGCAAGTCTTAAGAGAGTATGACATGGTTCAGGGATGGGTAAACAAAATAATGAAACTGAGGCTACAGCTAGAAAAAGACCCATGATTATATGTGAACTTGATATAGGATGGGGGGCATCACCCCTCAATGGGGAAGGGGTTCACTACTTGGCACGTGGTGCTGGAGCAACAGAAAACAAATTCATCAAGAAAAAATGAATCACAGATAGGCCAACACCTAAATGTGAGAATGCAAAGCTGTAAAAGATAACATGAGTTTATACGAATATCACAAAACATAAGGGAAAGTTTGAGGTATCAGACACAGTAAAACGTAAAATTCTGTTCAGAAAAAGGCACCATCAATAAAGCAAAAAAATTTACAAGACTCAGTCTGAGAGGATATATTTGCAATCCACATAACCAATAAAGTATCACTACCCAGATCCATAAATAACTCTGAAAATCAATAAGAAAAAGGCAAGCGACCCAATGGGAAAATGAGCAAATGATAAGAAACAATAAATATCAGGAGAAAACGATGGGCAATAAATATGTGAAAAGAGGCTGAGCTTCACTGCTAACACTGAGAAACACAAATTAAAACAACTAGATGCCATTTTTCACCCATTAGAGTGTAAAAAATTAATAAGTCTGATACTACTGAGTGTTGCCATGAATCTGTGGAAATGGAAACTCCGTCTGTTGCTGGAAGGAGTGTAAATTGGTATAACCACTTTGGACAGCAACACAGCAATACTTAATAATAATGGTAATGATAACGCTAATGGTTAATACTTATTGAACATTTATAAAGTGCCAGGCACTGTTAAAAGCTGGCGTGGAAAGCTGACAACACACATTCCCACAAGCCAGGGGCTCTTTCTGCAGTGGCCTGGCCACGGCACCAGCAGACACAAGCAAGGCTGCTCATGGTGTGGTGGGAAAGCAGAATTCATTTGTAAGTTCCTGAGTGGGGAAGGATCATTAATCTGTGCCTCATTGGCATGACGGAACATTTACTCCAGTTAACAGAAACACACTGAATTGATGTCCATCAATATTGATAAATTTCAAAAACTTGATGTGAGCGAAAAAAGCAAGTTGCAAGAACCTTGACACTATTTTGCCATTTATGTCAACTTTAAGGCACATAAAATATTGGTGGATGCAAGCATGTGATAGAAAAGTATTAACTTGTAGGTGGGAAATACGGACACCAGCCCTCCTCCATAGTGAGCTGAGAGCTGGCTAGGGAGCTGCTGGAGCCTGCCATCCGTCCATCTGTCCATCCATCCACAGGAGCCAGGCCATCTCCAGCGGGGGAACACCGGCTAGGGAAGCAGGAGTCAGCCTTGAGGAGCTGGAACCTGGAGGAAGGTTACTCTAGGAATTCAAGGACTTACGACGTTTGAAATCTACTAATGTCGTTTGTTATGATTCAGTATACGTTAAAAAGTCAGGAAACAGCAGATGCTGGAGAGGATGTGAAGAAATAGGAATGCTTTTTTTTTTTTTTTTTTTTTTTTTAGACAGAGTCTCACTCTGTCACCCAGGCTGGAGTGTAGTGGTGTGATCTCGGCTCACTGCAACCTCCGCCTCCCGGGTTCACGCCATTCTCCTGACTCAGCCTCCTGAGTTGCTGGGACTACAGGTGCCCACCACCATGCCCGGCTAATTTTTTGTATTTTTAGTAGAGATGGGATTTCACCATGTTAGTCAAGATGGTCTCGATCCGCCCGCCTCAGCCTCCCAAAGTGCTGGGATTACAGGTGTAAGCCACCACGCCTGGTTCTAAGTCTTTGCTATTGTGAACAGTGCCGCAATAAACATACGTGTGCATGTTTTATAGTACTATGATTTATAATCCTTTGGGTATATACCCAGTAATGAGGTTGCTGGGTCAAATGGTATTCTGGTTCTAGATCCTTGAGGAATCGCCACACTGTCTTCCACAATGGTT